>NC_000002.12:85360693-85666076 GCF_000001405.40 Homo sapiens
AGATTAAACTTTATTAAAGTTACTTTTCCAGAAAATTCAGTGAATATGGTAACATAGGAACAAACTTAGGCTCATAAGCCCTTTACATTTTTACATAATCTTTAATGATGTTGATCAGGAAATTCTTTCACTGGTAGAATTACTTCTCCATTCTCCAGAATTGTATCATCTGGGAATATTCTGGGCTTCTTTTCAATGGTGCCATATGGTTTTTTTAGATACATGATACTTCTTGGTGCTCTATATGTTCAGAGAAACTTCTCTAGTAACAAACTATAGAAATGATGATTTTTTATTTTTTAAACAGTAGAGACAGGGTCTCCGCATGTTGCCCAGGCTGCTCTCGAACTCCTGGGCTCAAGCAATCCTCCTGCCTCAGCTTCCCAAAGTGCTGGGATTGTAGCTGTGAGCCACCACACCTGGTGATTTTTAGGATTTTAAAAGAACACGTTGAAAAATTAGCTCTGTATCTGTGAAATGAGTTACAAACAATTGGCCGAGTATTTTGGTCGGTTTTTTGTTTTTCATCTGTAGCAGGGGATAGGTTTGGCTGAGCAGAAAGGCCATAGGAAACTGCTTCACTAAACTTCGCTCACTCAGAACCCTCAGACTTTCAAAGAGCCAGGAAATCGGTATAAAATTTTTGAGATAACATTAATTAAGCTTTTTGCAGTTTTTCCTAGGACCAGATTAAACAGAAGTTTTCCTTTACAGTATTCATTATGGTTGGTATCTCCAGAGTTCATCCTTTTTTTGTGGTACTGGGAAAAGTTGCAACATTTACCTTTGCAGGGACATGGATGGAGCTGGAGGCCATTATCTTTAGCAAACTAACACAGAGCAGAAATCCAAATACCACATATCCTCACTTATAAGTGGGAGCTAAGTGATGAGAACACATGGACACATAGAAGGGAACAACACACACTGGGGCCTATTGGAAAGTGGAGGGTTGGCCGGGCCCGGTGGCTCACGCCTGTAATCTCAGCACTTTGGGAGGCCGAGGCGGGTGGATCATGAGGTCAGGAGATCGAGACCATCCTGGCTAACACGGTGAAACCCCGTCTCTACTAAAAATACAAAAAAAATTAGTCGGGCCTGGTGGCAGGCGCCTGTAGTCCCAGCTACTCGGAAGGCTGAGGCAGGAGAATGGCGTGAACCTGGGAGGTGGAGCTTGCAGTGAGCCGAGATCGTGCCACTGTACTCCAGCCTGGGTGACAGAGTGAGACTCCGTCTCAAAAAAAAAAAAGAAAAAGTGGAGGGTGGGAGGAGGGAGAGGATCAGGAAAAATAACTAGTGGGTACTAGGTCAAATACCTGGCTGATGAAATAACATGTACAACAAACCCCTGTGACCCAAGTTTCCCTATGTAACAAACCTGCACATGTACCCCTGAACTTAAAAGTTAAAAAAAAAAAAAGTATGACATTTAAACTATTATCTTTGGGGGATTAATATGTGCCTAGGAGATTGACCCTTGTCTGTTTTACAGGGTGAAAGATTGTCTGCTGGATATTCTCCATCATATGACAAGGACAAGAGTGTTCTGGCTTTCAGAGGAATCCCTGTATGTATCACCCACAACTTGGTACCTTCTGCCAGGGCTTTTGTTGTGTGTTACTGTGTGGTGCCAGAACTGTGGTAGACGCTGGGGACACAAGGGTGGCATAGACCTTAGCTTCCAAGAGCTCACACTTGAGGGGAGTGAGGGGAGGGTGTATGGAACACAAACATACAAAACAACTTCTATTTAATAAGATAATTGCCATAATGAAGCAGGCTATAAAACGCAGAGAGAATACCAAAGGCACACCACAGTCTGAAATGAGTGTATGAATTTTTGTTTATTTACATTCAAGGTGGACATACACTTGTCCCCAACATCACCCAAGTTCCACATCATAGTTAAAGTTTTCCAGGTACCTCAATTTAAAATGGACTTCAAGGCCAGTAAGTGGCTCATGCCTGTAATCCCAGCACTTTGGGAGGCTGAGGCAGGCGGATCACTTGAGGTCAGGAGTTCAAGACCAGCCTGGCCAACACAGTGAAACTCCATCTGTACTAAAAATACAAAACTAGCTGGGTGTGGTGATGCACACCTGTAGTCTCAGCTACTTGGGAGGCTGAAGTAGGAGGATCACTTGAGCCCAGGAGGTGGAGGTTGCAGTGAGCCAAGATCAGGCCACTGCACTCCCGCCTGGGCAACAGAGTGAGACTCCGTCTCAAAAAATAAATAAATAAAAAGTAAAAGAAAATAAAACTGACTTCAGTCAACCCATCAGGGCACACTAGGTCCTTTTGGCCTCCAGTGTCAAGGACATTCAGTACAGTGGGTGGGAAGCGTTTGTGTATATGGGGGTATGTGGATTCTATCCTCAAGCTAAAGGTCAGCTGCCTCTACAGATCTCAGAGTTGAAGAACCATGGCATTCTCCAGGCTCTGACCACAGAAGCTTATGAATGGGAGCCACGTGGTAAGGTTCCCTTCAGGGCCCTTGGAGTCTGGGTGGGACCCAAGTCAGACCTTCCCATGCATCTGCTGTTCATCATTTGAATTTCTCTCACTCCTTGTCTTTCAGAATTTTGTAGATGTATCAGTCCTTGGGGAAAAATAGAATCAACACTGAATTAGGAATCAAAAGACCAGAGTTCTGATCTTCCTCTGCTAGTGGTTTACTGTGTGCCTCTGGGCAAGCCATATGATCTCTAATATTAGTACCTCCCTTATCCTCAAAGGGATGTTATGAAAATGAGACACAATATAGGAAAAGCCTTTGAAAAGTTATTCTACTTCATCTGCTTTGCAAGGCGCTTCCCCATACTATATTTAAAGTTCACTCTACTTGCCAAGTGATTATGGAGAAAGGTACACTCCAGCCTGGCCAACATGGTGAAACCCCATTGTATTAGTCCGTTTTCATGCTGTTGATAAAGGCATACCCAAGACTGGGAAGAAAAAGAGGTTTAATGGACTTACATTTCCACATACCTGGGTAGGCCTCACAAACATGGTGGAAGGCAAGGAGGAGCAAGTCACATCTCACATGGATGGTGGCAGGCAAAGAGAGAGCTTGTGCAGGGAAACTCCTGTTTTTAAAACCATCAGATCTTGTGAGACTTATTCACTATTATGAGAACAGCACAGCAGAGACTGGCCCCCATGATTCAATTATGTCCCACTAGGTCCCTCCCACAGCACATGGGAATTATGGGACTTACAAGATGAGATTTAGGCGGGGACACAGAGCCAAACCACATCACCGTCTCTACTAAAAATATTTTAAAAATTAGCCAGGTGTAGTGGTGTGTGCCTGTAATTCCAGCTACTCTGGAGGCTGAGGCACAAGAATTGCATGAACCCAGGAGGTGGAGGTTGCAGTGAACCGAGATTGTGCTACTGCACCCATACCTGGCCACTAGAAATATGAACTTTTAAAAAAATACTCTTTTTTTTTTTTTTTTGTTAGGGACAGGGCCTTGCTTTGTCCCCCAGGCTGGAGTGCAGTGGTGCAATCATAGAATTTGTGGGTTCAAGCAGTCTTCCCACCTCAGCCTCCTGAGTAATTGTGTACCACCAGGCATAGCTAATTTTTTTTTTTAAGAGACAGGTTCACCGGGCACAGTGGCTCACGCCTGTAACCCCAGCACTTTGGGAGGCTGAAGCAGGCAAATCACGAGGTCAGGAGTTCAAGACCAGCCTGACCAACATAGTTAAACCCCGTCTCTAGTAAAAATACAAAAATTAGCTGGGCATGGTGGTGCACGCCTGTAATCCCAGCTACTCAGCAGGCTGAGGCAGGTGAATCACTTGAACCTGGGAGGCAGAGGTTGCAGTGAGCCGAGATCATGCCACTGTACTGCACCCTGGCAGCAAAGCAAGACTCCATCTCAAAAAAAAAAAAAAGAGACAGGTTCTTGCTGTGTTGCTCAGGCTGATCCTCACCTTATCCTCCTGAGTATCTGGGAATATAAGTGTGAGCTTCTATGTGTAGCTAAAAAATATTCTAATATAGGAACATCATTTGGACATCTGTGAAGTTTCTTTTAATGGAATTTTATCTTTATGGTGACAAACCCAGCATTAATACATTAATAATTTTTACTTTAAATACATATATATATATATATATATATTTTTTTTTTTTTTTTTTTTTTTCTTTCCAGAGACAGGGTCTCACTCTGTTGTCCAGGCTGAAGTGTAGTAATGTGATTGTAGCTCACTCCAGCCTTGAACTCCTGGGCTCCAGCTGGGACTACAGGTGTGCACTACCATGCCTAGCTAATTTTTAAAAAATTTGAGATGGAGACGGTCTCATTATGTTGCCCAGGCTGGTCTCAAACTCCTGGCTCAAATGATCCTCCCACTTTGGCCTCTCAAAGTGCTGGGATTACAGGCATGGTGGCATGTGCCTATATCTCTGGCTAACTTTAAAAAAAAAAAAAAGTAAAAAATAAATGTAGGCTGGGCACGGTGGCCCACGCCTGTAATCCCAGCACTTTGGGAAACTGAGGCGGGCGGATCACAAGGTCAGGAGTTCTCTACCAAAAATACAAAAATTAGCCAGGAGAATCACTTGAACCCGGGAGGCAGAGGTTGTAGTGAACCGAGATCGCACCACTGCACTCCAGCCTGGGCGACAGAGCGAGACTTCTTCTCAAAAAAAAATATATATATAATAAATAAAAATAAATGTAAAAGAGAATTAATAAATAAGCTGACTCAATTGGCAGTGCTCTTGACTATATGAGTAAGTGGAAGAGAGCTGAAATAAAGGAGACAATTATAAAAAGGAAAAAAGATAACCTAATTAACGTGAGCTGTGTTAATTATCCTGACTATTTGTCCTTTGCCCCCGTGTTCTTCTGTTGGTCAGGGGAAAACAGTATTTATGTCACACGTAGGAGGCATCTCCCTCATTCCAAGAGAAAAGGAGAAGCTCTTACGTGGTTTGGGCATTTGTGTTGAGGTTTTAAGCACCAGCTTGCTATTGCTGGTGGAAACCTTGAACTTTTGTTGACTAACCTGTTTTGACAGCATATTCCCACCCCCTTGCCACTGTGGTTCCTGCTCCTGGCTCACAGACTTTGATCAAGCTGTTTGTAGGCGAGGGTGTATGGGGTTGGGGAGGGATTGGTTAAGTTGCTGGTAGATGAGGCTCTGACAGGTGAAGAATCAATAAATCAATAAAGCTGCATGAAGGTAAGAGGGTGAAGGATCCTGTTCAGCTTCATAATAAGCATTGCATCCTGCTGTTCTACTCTTCCCCCAGTCCCTTTTTTTTTGAAACAGAGTCTCACTCTTGGCGCCCAGGCTAGAGTGCAATGGCGCAATCTTGGTTCACTGCAACCTCCGCCTCCCGAGTTCAAGTGATTCTCCTGCCTCAGCCTCCCAAGTAGCTGGGATTACAGGCATCTGCCACATACCCAGCTAATTTTTTTTTTTTTTTTTTGTATTTTTAGTAGAGACAGGGTTTCACCATGTTGGCCAGGCTGGTCTCAAACTCCTGACCTCAGGTGATCCACCCACCTCAGCGTCCCATAGTGCTGAGATTATAGGCGTGAGCCACCGCACCCGGCCTACTCTTCCCTTTTTGTTCAGCCACTTTGTCCCTCCTTTTTAGCTCCTATGCTGAAAGTAAGTTTTATTTTCTTGATCCTCCAAGGTTGAATATTCTCTTAAAGCTGTCTTAGGAACTCCAAGGCTCAGTGTCTGCTACTCCGGACTGGAGCAGGTGAGATGGAATTTCCTAAAGGTCCAGATATTTAGGACCCTGGACCCATCTCACCCGCTGCCTCTGTCCATTGCCCTGCTGGACCTGAGCCCACACCTATGTTGATAATAATAGCTTACATTTGGGCCACGTGCTCTCCTAGGAAGTAGAATTACCCCATCCTCACAACAGCCCCATGAGGGGTTACAGATGATAAGTAACTTGCCTGAAGACATACAGCTAGTAAGAGGCAGAGATGAAGCATTCACAAGTAGTTTGGCTCTCAAGTGTGCTTTCAGTAACTATCCTCTACTGCTTCCCAGCCGCTTTCTCTTCCTTATTATCCATTAGTGTCTGGTAGCATTTCATTTAATCTGCAGGTATATTCTCCCAACAGTTTATTGTCATGTGATGTCCTCAGCCAAGATTGTGAGGCAGAGAGGAGCTGTCCCAACCTACTATACCACCGAGGCTGGAGAGATCATATTTTTGGTATTAAACTGGAGTCTCTCCATCCTTCACATTGTTGATGTCCTCTGTAGCAAACCGGAAAAGTCAGTGACAGAAGATGCCGCTAGCAGTTTGAGCCAGAGAATGACAGCTCTGGTTTGGAGAAAAGGGCCGGATGGTGGCTCTAGAAAGCCCATCCTTCTGCTCTTCTTTTTTTCTCCCCCTTATATTGTGCTTTCATTCATTCATTCATTCATCAAACATTTGTTGAGCACCTATTATGTGTCAAGCTCTGTGCTAGCCTCTGGAAAACCTGCCCTCATGTAGCTCACTGTGGAGTAGGAGAAACAATGACTACACTATGATAAGCACGGGTTGTCAGGGTCTCACAGAGCAGTGGCCCCTCATCCAGACCGATGAGGTCAAAGAAGGCATCCAGGCGAGGATGGTGTCAGAGCTAACTGAAGAATGAGAGGGAGCTGCACCAGCAGGGGTTGGAACTGAAGGTGGCAGTGCCTGGAGTCTTGATTCCAGCAGAGGGAGAGCAGTCTGTGAAAAGGCACCAAGGGTGGGAGAGGGCAGAGCACATGGAGGAACTTCAGGTAGTTCTGGATGGCCCTGGGGCAAAGCTAGAGAGGTAAGAAGAATCTACAAATGTTCCTCGAGTTACATGAACTTCCATCCCAATAAACCCATTGGAAACGAAAAATTTAAGTCAGAAGTGCATTTAAGGCTGGTCCGAGTAGAATGATTTTTACAACGAATTGATCACAACCAGTTACAGATGTCTTTGTTCCTTCTCCACTCCCACTGCTTCACCTGACTAGCCTTTAAAAAAACAAAAAATTTAAAAACAAAAAGAAAAGAAAAATGCATTTAATACCCTGATAAATCCATCAAAAAGTCAAACAATTGTTAAGTGGAACTGTCATGAGTTGGGGAACCATCTGTAGATTGTGAAGTTATGTGGATACTGTGCTGTAGAGTATGGGTTTTATCTTGAGGACTGTGGAGAATCCCTGGAGGGTTTTGAGCAGTGATGTCGGATCTTACTTTTCTTTTCTTTTTTTTTTTTTTGAGGTGGAGTCTCGCTCTGTTGCCCAGGCTGGAGTGCAGTGACATGATCTCTGCTCACTGCAACTCCGCCTCCCGCGTTCACGCATTCTCCTGCCTCAACCTCCAGAGTAGCTGGGACTACAGGCGCCTGCCACCACGCCCAGCTAATTTTTTGTATTTTTAGTAGAGACGGGGTTTCACTGTGTTAGCCAGGATGGTCTCGATCTCCTGATCTCGTGATCCGCCTGCCTTGGCCTCCCAAAGTGCTGGGATTACAAGCATGAGCCACTGCGCCCGGCCAATCTTACTTTTCAAAAGCTCACTCTAGCAAACCTGTGAGGAGAGGATCAGAGGGTGTTAAGATCCAAGGCAGCCAGATGTGGTAGTGCGTGCCTGTAGTTCCAGGTACTCAGGAGGCTGAGGCAGGAGGATTGCTTGAGTCCAGGAATTCTGGGCTGTAGTGTGCCATGCTGATCATGTGGCCCCACTAAGTTCAGCATCAATATGGGGACCACCCGGGAGTGGGGGATCACCAGGTGGCCTAAGGAAGGGAAAACTGGCCCAGGTCAGAAATGGAGCAGTTCAAAAATCCTGTGCTGATCAATAGTGGGATCATGCCTGTGAATAGCCACTGCACTCCAGCCTGGGCAACACAGTGACACCCCATCTCTTAAAAAAAAAAATAGGCCCAAGGCAGGCAGACAAGGCTGGGGTCTGCAGTAGAGGCCCAGACATACCTAGATCTCAGAGGGTCTCCTTTTCTCCTACTATTGCAGTTGTGAGTACAGAGGTGGTCAGAGCCCAAGAAGAATGGGAAGCTGTGGACACCATCCAGCCAGAGACAGGTAACTGTACGAATGCTGCTGTCTCCCCATAGCCCCTCTGCCAGCAAAGGCACCATCCACACATGTGGCAAATGTTTCTGTGAGTCTGGGACTAGGAGATAGAATTCCTGAGAGTGCTCATTTTAACTATATAACATAGATTACAGTACCTTTTTCAAATCCTAAGATGATGACATCCTACCTCTGGAGGAAACCAGAGTGAAGGCCATGGAGAAAGGGCTGCCATCCCTGTCCATCTTTCACCCAGCCATGAGAGAAGACAGGGTTGACCTTGGTTAGGGCAGCTTCTACAGAGTGGCAAGGCTGGGTAGGAGGATGGAGATGGGCCCCTGTGTAAGGCTGCTCAGGTTGTTTACTGCACAAGGAAGTCCCTGGGGATGGGAGCTGAAGCAATCTGCTGGAAGGCTCTGAAGGCTGAGTAAAAATTGTCTCCTGTTTCTTTCTAAGAGGTTGGATGAAGAGATAGAACTAGGACCTATATCTAGCCTGAGCCTCTCTTCAGCTCCTTGGGCCCAGTGAATAGTATCAGCCATTGCCTATATTGCTAACTAATCAGTTAATTCCCTATTGGCTATAACAGAGGTGTATGGTTGGGGGTTCCTATACAGGGTGTAAGAAGGGAAAAGTGGAAATTAGGAAAGGCCCTTAAACAAACTGGTTGCATGCTCTTATGTGGGTACCCACCCCAGGCAGTGACTTGCCCCCTCGTAGATGAGAGCATTTAGGGATCACCTCGTGGGGCAGATCCGCCCCATACCCACCACAGAGGCTGACCTAGCAAGACTGAATAGCCTCGTCCAAAAAGAGAGTCCTCTTCGCCGACAATGCCAGCCTCTTGAAAGAAGATTGGTTGTAGCTGTAAGTGTCTGATGTTCAACTGGAAGCCAGTGCTTGGCTTGGAAGTGACAAGTAGGAGGGCCTCAGTAAATGTTTGTTGACAGAATGACTCCTATAAATCCTGGCATGTCTTCCGTTTTGCCACAGGGAGCCAAGCTAGCTCAGAGCAGCCTGGGCAGCTAATCTCCTTCAGTGAGGCCCTGCAGCACTTCCAGACTGTGGACCTTTCCCCCTTCAAGGTATGAGGGTAGCAGGGTTTGGAGTCTCAAGCAAAGTGCCTTTTCCCTAGGAGCCAAGCCTCTATCCCACCAGGACAGGGCATTGGGCAAGCAAATCTCCCCTAAGATCTTGGTGCCCAGGATCATGGGTGGCCTAGGACCCATGCTTCATTTGGGGCCTTGGTAGCTTTTGTGGGACTATGCCCTTACAGCTCCTGTAGCCCTGTCATTCAGGGGCCTGTATAGCTGTTTATCTACTCTTCCCTTTTAGGGATGGGGACATCTAGAGTCAAGTACTAGGTAGATCCTTGCAGAGGCAAGGCAAACTGTTCAGGGAGCTGAGTGATTCATGGCCAGTGGAGGAAAACCTTCCATTCCCTCAAGGAACCAGAAGCTATTTAGGAATTTAAGAAAGATATAAGCTGGAAAAAGAAGGAATATTTGGGGGAATAAACGCTAGGGGTGGGGTGGGTGCTGGGCATAGTGGCTCACACATGTAATACCAGCTCTTTCGGAGGAGGCTGAGGTGAGGGGTCACTTGAACCCAGGAGTTCAAGGCTGCAGTAAGCTATGATCACACCTGGGCAACAGAGTGAAACCCTGTCTCCGTAAAAAAAAAAAAAAAGCTGGGGAGCTTTCTGGGCCATATTGAGTAACAATACGTTTAGAGAAATGTGATTTCAGGTCTTCTACCTAAAACCTTGCTCAGGGGAGAGAGGCTAAAAAGATAGGAACCAAGTTGTTTTATAGGACCCAGAGAGCCGAAAGCTACCGAAATCAGAATATTCTAAGGCTTGCAGTAGTGACCCTGAGCCATGAGAAGCCAACATGACCTCACTTGGGAAGTGCTGGTTGTGACCAAAAGATTCCAGCTACCCCTCAGAGTCATCTAACTCTAGTGGGTCCCCACCTCCTGGGAAACCTGTCCTGGCATTTGTCTGACTGCCTGGGGGAGCTGGGCAGGTGTAACCCCTGTGGGAGTCAGTGGAATACCTAGTTCTGGAAAAGCCCAGAGGACTAAATGCAAATAATGGCTGATAATACCTACGCTTGGGGATGTCTTTCACCTTGCAAAAAATCTGGGAGCTGGAAGAGCCTGGCTCTAGAGACTCAACAGGTGCCTTGCAGCTTCTGCCTCCTTCCCTTGGCCCAAAGGCCAGCCAGATAGCTGGGGGAGTTACTTTCTGCAAGCACTGCCTCTGGTCTGAGCCTGATGGGAAGTTGATTAAGGGAAATGAACCAGCATTCTGCCCATTGCCTGCAACTTCTTCCCCAGAAAAGAATCCAGCCAACTATTCGAAGGACTGGGCTCGCCGCCCTCCGACACTACCTCTTCGGGCCTCCAAAGCTCCACCAGCGCCTTCGGGAAGAAAGGGACTTGGTCCTGACCATTGCTCAGTGTGAGTGCAATGCGAGCCCACAGGGCAGTTGCTGCATCTGTGGTTGGGCAAGACCGTGTGTGCTGACCCTGTGAGGCTAAGCCAGGAATATTGCATGTACCATGGTTGGCGGGTGAGAGTGGGAGCTGAGAACTGGATGTCTCACAGTCCAGATCTCACATTCTCTGAGAAGCACCCGGTTCTCCCATGAGGGGCAATCTGGCAGAGAGTGTGGGTGTGTTTTGGGGCAGGTGGCCTGGATAGCCAAGACCCAGTGCATGGCCGAGTCCTCCAGACCATCTATAAGAAGCTGACCGGCTCCAAGTTTGACTGTGCCCTTCATGGAAACCACTGGGAGGACCTGGGCTTTCAGGGTAAGAGGGAGGAGTAGCTCATCTTCTTTTTCATGCCTCTGATTCCAGGACTAGAGTGAGAGGCCAGGTCGTTCTCTTCCAGTGCTATGAGGGGGAAGATCTTGGGGGAGTATTCCGGGAAGAGGGTGCAGCAAATGCAAAAGCCCTGAGGGGGCGCCTGCTAGTTCTGCTTGAAAAATAGCAAGAGTAGGTCGGGCGTGGTGGCTCACGCCTGTAATCCCAGCACTTTGGGAGGCTGAAGAGGGCAGATTACTTGAGGTCCTGAGTTCGAGACCAGCCTGGCCAACATGATGAAATCCCATCTCTACTAAAAATACAAATATTAGGGTGGGGTGCGGTGGCCTGTGCCTGTAATCCCAGCACTTTGGGAGGCTGAGGTAGGTGGATCACGAGGTCAAGAGTTCGAGACCAGGCTGGCCAACATGGTGTAAGCCCGTCTCTACTAAAAATAGAAAATTTAGCCAGGCCTGGTGGTATGCGCCTGTAATCCCAGCTACTCGGGAGGCTGAGGCAGGAGAATTGCTTGAACCTGGGAGGTGGAGGTTGCAGTGAGCCGAGATTGCGCCACGGCACTCAAGCCTTGGTGACAGAGTAAGACTCTGTCTCGGAAAAAAAATTAAAAATAAAAATTAGCCAGGCGTGGTGGCACGTGCCTGTAATCTCAGCTACTCAGGAGGCTGAGGCAGGAAAATCACTTGAACCCGGAGGCAGAGGTTGCGGTGAACAGAGATCGCACTACTGCACTCCAGCCTAGGTGACAAAGGGAGACTGTCTCAGAAAAAAATAGCCAGAGTGTGGCTGAGGTGGAGATGAAAGTGACAGGAGGAAAGATCACTTGGTGGTCTTTTAGGCTGTTGTAAACATTTACTGTAAGTGATATGGAAAACACTGGAGTGATGTGACAGAATCTGGCATTTTTGGGTTTTTTCCTCTCTAAAAAATATTTATGAAAATTTTATCATATATTATTTTACTTTCTGAGTGAAACAGAATCATTTCACCAGTTTTTGGATTGTACTATTTTTTTTCAAAACCATATCAAATTGGCTGGGCATGGTGGCTCACACCTATAATCCCAGCACTTTGGGAGGCCAAGGCAAGTGGATCACCTGAGGTCAGCAGTTCAAGACCAGCCTGGCCAACATGGCAAAACCCCAATTCTACTAAAAATACAAAAATTAGTCGGGTGTGGTGGCACGTGCCTGTAGTCCCAGCTACTCGGGAGGCTGAGGCAGGACAATCGCTTGAAACCGGGAGGATGAGGTTGCAGTGAGCCAGGATTGCGCCACTGCACTCCAGCCTGGGTGACAGAGCGAGACTCTATCTCAAAAAAAAAAAAAAAAAAAAGACAAAACCATATCAAATTATATTTGTATAGAATAGGAAAATAACTTTGAAAGGAAACTTTAAGGCCGGGTGCTATGGCTCACTCCTGTAATCCCAGCACATTGGGAGGCCGAGGCAGGCAGATGACTTGAGGTCAACAGTCTGAGACCAGCCTGGCCAACATGGCGAAACCCCATCTCTACTAAAAATATATAAATTAGCCAGGCATGGGGGTGTGCACCTGTAATCCCAGCTACTCAGGAGGCTGAGGCAGGAGAATCGCTTGAACCCAGGAGGCGGAGGATGAACCCAAGATTGCACCACTGCACTCCAGCCTGAGTGACACAACAAGACTCTGTCTCAAAAAATTTTAAAAAAAAGATAAAAGGAAACTTTATGTACCCCTAATTAACTGGTGGTCTGTTGGTATGGCAACATGGTTAAGTCCCTGTTCCCTCTCTCATCTATCATGTAATTGTCTTAAATGTATCCTCTCTATATATTGAGAATCGCACCAGTAATGTTAAGATTTTTGTTTCAATCAACAAACATAATTTTTTTGAGGAGGGGTTCTCACGAAGAACCAGAAAACCTGCTAGACAAATTGTAGAAGAGCTGTGACACTGCAATATACATAATTTCTGAATCTCTGGAGAAAAAGGAAAATCTGGGCCAGGCACGGTGGCTCACACCTGTAATCCCAGCACCTTGGGAGGCCACGGCGGGAGGATCACGAGGTCAGGAGTTCAAGACCAGCCTGGCCAAAATAGTGAAACCCTGTCTGTACTAAAAATACAAAAATTAGCCAGGCATGGTGGCGCGTGCCTGTAGTCCCAGCTACGTGGGAGGCTGAGGCAGGAGAATTGCTTGAACCCAGGACGTGGAGGTTGCAGTGAGCCGAGATCTCACCACTGCGCTCCAGCTTGGGCAACAGAGTAAGACTTCGTCTCAGAAAAAAAAAAAAAAGATAAGAAAAAGGAAAATCTATTGTATTTACTCTTTCCATTGTTTGTTCTTCCTTCCTAACCCTCTTTTTTTTTTTTTTTTTTTCTATTTCAAGGACTTCCTTTAGTTATTCTCTTAGGATAGGTCTGCTGGCTATAAATTGTCTTTGTTTTCCTTCATCTGAGAATGTCTCAATTTCCCCTTCACTTCTGAATTCTCTGGATATAAAATTCCAGGTTGACAGTTCTTTTTTTTCAGCACTTGAAAATGTGCTACTTCCTTCTGGCCTGCATAGTTTCTGATGAGAAATCCACTGTCATTTGAATGATCTCTCCCTTATAAGTAAGGAGTTCATATTCTCTTTCTGCTTTCAAAATATTTTTTGTGCCAGGCATGGTGGCTCACACCTGTAATCCCAGCACTTTGGGAGGCCAAGGCAGGAGGACTGCTTGAGACAAGGAGTTCAAGATCAGCCTGGGCAACATTATGAGAACCTATCTCTACAAAAAATAATTTTTTTTTTCTTGAGATGGAGTCTCACTCTATTGCCCAGGCTGGAGTGCAGTGGCATGATCTCAGCTCGCTGCAACCTCCACCTCCTGGGTTCAAGCAATTCTCCTGCCTCAGCCTTCTAAGTAGCTGGGACTACAGGCCTGTGCCACCACACCCAGCTATTTTTTGTATTTTTAGCAGAGATGGGGTTTTACCATGTTGGTCAGGCTGGTCTTGAACTCCTGACCTCAAATGATCCACCTGCATGAGCCTCCCAAAGTGCTGGGATTACAGGCATAAGCCACCATGCCTGGCCAAAAAAAAAAACTTTTGTTTAGTAGCCAGGTGTGGTGGCGCATGCTTATAGTCCCAGCTACTGGGGAGGCTGAGGCAGAAGGACTGCTTGAGCCCAAGAAGTCGAAGCTGCAGTGAGCTGTGATAGCACCGTTACACGCTAGCCTGGGTGACAAAGTGAGACTCTGTCTCAAAAGAAAGATCTTTGCTGGCCGGGCGCGGTGGCTCATCCTGTAATCCCAGCATTTTGGGAGGCCAAGGCGGGTGGACTACGAGGTCAGGAGTTCGAGTCTAGCCTGGCCAATATGGTGAAACCCCATCTCTACTAAAAAAATACAAAAATTAGCCAGGCATGGTGGCATGTGCCTATAGTCACAGCTGCTTGGTGTGGAGGCAGAGGTTGCAGTGAGCCAAGATCGTGCCACTGCACTCCAGCCTGGGCGACAGAGCGAGATTCCATCTCAAAAAAAAAAAAAATCTTTGCTTTGTCTTTGGTTTTCAGGAATTTGACTGTGATGTGTCATTGTGTGGATTTATTTGGGCCTCTCCTGTTTGAGGTTAGCTCAGTGTCTTGAGTCTGTAGGTTTGTGTCTTTTGCCACATTTGGTCAATTTTCAGCTGTGATTCCTTTGAATACTTTCTTCAGCTCCACACTTTGTCCTCTCTTGTGGGATTCCAATGATACAAATGCTATCTTTGTTCATTTTTTAAAATCTTTGTTATAGCCTCAGATCTCCAAGGCTCTGTTCATTTTGGTTTTTGTTTTTCTGTCCCTCTGTTGTTCATATTATGTTATTCTATTATTACTGTCCCATATTCAAGTTCACTGATTCTGTTGTCTCCGTTCTCCTGTTGACCCCATCCAGAGAGTTTTTAGTTCTAGTTCTTCTATTTTTCAGTTCTAAAGTTTCCATTTGGTTCTTCTTTATATCTGCTGTTTCTTTACTGAAACTTTCTATTTTTTCATTTTTTCAAAGTGTATTTGTTCATAATTGCTTACCAAAGGCATTTTATGGTAGATCCTATAGTCACTTTCTATCATTGCTGTAACAAATTACCACAAACCTAGTGGCTTAAAACAACACAAATTATTGTCTTATAGTTTTCTAGTTCAGAAGTCTGACTCAGGTCTTACTGAGAACCTGTGGTCAAGATCAAGGTGTTGGCAGCACAGTGTTCTTTTTGGAGGCTCTGGAAGAGAGTCCATTTCCTTGCCTTTTGCAGCTTCTAGAGGCCACCTCCATTCTTCCATCTTCAAAGCCAGAAACAGCATCTCTCTGAGCCCGATTCCTCACATCTCTTTCTCTGGCTCTGGGCTTCCGCCTTTCTTTTCCACTTTTAAGGACCCTTCTGATGACATTGGGCCCACCCAGACAGTCCAGGATCATCTCCCTCTCTGCTGATCAGCAACCTTAATTCTACCTGCAGTCTTAATCCCCTTTGCCATGTTACATAACATAGTCATAGCTTCTGGGGACATGGTCATCGTGGGGCGGGGGGATTATTTTGCCTACCACGGCTGCTTTAAATTCCTTGTCAAATAATTCCAACAACTGTGTCATCTCTGTTGGTGTCTGTTGATCATCTTTTCTCATTCGAATTGAGAATTACCTAGTTCTTGGTGTAACAACTGATTTTTTATTGTATCTTAGACATTTTGGGTAGTCTGTATGAGACTCTGGATCTTACTTAAATCTTCTACTTTAGCAGGCCTCCCCTGTTACTGTGCCAGCAGGGGAAGGAGGGACGTCACCATGTTACTGCCAGGTGGGGGTGGAAGTCCGGGTATCCCACTTGGCTTGCAGTAATACCAAGTTCAAGACCAGCCTGGCCAACATGGCTGGTGGGGCCAGGGGTGCCTCGTTACTCTTCCTATGTGGCTTCCACATTGCAGAGGAGGCAAGGGGGCTCCTTACCACTGGGAAAGATAAAGTCCCAGCTCCCTGCCCGGCCTTCTCTGACGCTACCCTTGTGGAGCTAAGGGGTGCCTTGATACAGTTAGGCCAGGATGGAAGTCTAGGGTCCCTGCTCAGCCTTTTCTGGAGAAGAGTGGGGATGGGGCCACATTTTTCTCTGTGGTGTTTTGCTGCAGTAGGGTGGGTATTGGCTAAAGCCTTCTGTCTTGCTACACTGCCTCTTTCCCCACCCTTTGGCTAGAGAGAGCAGCTTTCCTTGGGGCTTTTTGGTCTGCTCCCATTGGCATTTCTGGGTTGCTGTCTTCTCCATCTGGGATATATTAGGCAAAAAGAAACCCAGGAATTCACCAGAGAGTCATTTCTCAGCTCTCAAGATTCCTAGTAAGTCTGTCTTCCCTCCTTTCAGAGCCTTCTGTTTATTTTATATAGTAATGTCCAGGGCTTTAGCTGTACTTAGTGGGAGGAATAGGCAGAAAGTGCATTATTCATCTTGTTCCAGAACTGTAAATTCAGCCTTTTTTGTAAAGGATTGCTTTGGTGGTTTTGTGTAGAAGTAACTATCAAGGGTCATAGGCAGCAGCAAGAAAACTGATGTGGGAGGCTGCCTCCAGGGCGCTGGGGTCCCCATTTGGTGCATAGCCCCTGCTTAGCTCATTAGAATGAGCCCCACAAGTGTGGCAGAAAGTGGACGTGTGCTGCTCATGCTCCGCTAGCCTGGGAAGAGGCCAGTGTCAGGGCAGCTTCCCATGGCAAGCCCTTGAAGCATTGCTCGCTGCCACACCCTGTTTCCTCACGGTCTCTGTTACAGGAGCGAATCCAGCCACAGACCTGAGAGGCGCAGGCTTCCTTGCCCTCCTGCATCTGCTCTACCTGGTGATGGACTCAAAGACCTTGCCGATGGCGCAGGAGATTTTCCGCCTGTCTCGTCACCACATCCAGGTGAGACTTTGGTGGGAAGCCAGAGGAAAGGAAAGGGCCGTGGAGCTAGGACCTGAGTGGCCGAGAGGGCTCCCAGGACAGCTGAGATAAACCAGGAATGGGCTTCCCCGTCAGTCTGACCTGCATTGAAATATGAGCTGTACCGCTCATTAGCTGTGTAGCTCAAGCAAGTTCCTCGACTCCTCAGAGCCTTGATTCCCTCATCTGCAGAATGGAAATCATAGTGTTGTTAGAAATGCTTGTTCTTTGGTGCCGTAAAGAAATAGCACTTGAACATAAATTTAATTTCTTCAGCAAGGATTTTTTTTACTTTCTGCAGAAAGGGTACACTCACTAGCAGTTTTGCCACGAGAGTACACTGAATAAATGAGACAGGATCATTTATAACTTGACCCATATACTTTACTGCTGTGTCCGGTTTCTATTGGCTGGAATGGGACTTCACATTCGTATTTGTCTTGATTGGCTAGCAACTTAGAACTTTTTAAAAGAAGCAAAGGAAGAGGAGAACAAAGGAAGGAAGAAATAACTTGTGGAATGCTGAGAAAGGTAAAAACACCTTCAAATAAGGAAGAAGAATAGGCTATGACTTAATGCTTGCTTGGACCAGTATAAGCATGCCAGGGCAAATATTTAGGCTAAATTGTGGGAGCTAAGAACATAAAGTACAGTGACTTCTTCATTATGGCTAGCAGATATTTAAGAACGTTAGCAGAGGTCTTTGAATAAATTTTGCTTCTAAGAGAAGTTACTATTTATCTTAATTAGATGGGGAGGAAAGTCTTTGAAGAGGAACGTCTACTTTACTTTTTACAGTGTGACCCTGAAAATCTGAGGTCTCAGTTAATTTAGAAAGTTTATTTTGCCAAGGTTGAGAACACATGCCCGTGACACAGCCTCAGGAGGTCCTGATGATATGTGCCCAAGATAGTCAGAGCACAGCTTGGTTTTATACATTTTAGGGAGACATGAGACATCAATTAACATATGTAAGAATGAACATTCATTCAGTCCAGAAAGGCGGGACAACTAGAAGCAAAAGCGGGAGGACTCGAAGCAGGGAGGGGACTTTCAGGTCATAGGTAGATAAGAGACAAATAATTACATTTGAGTTTCTGCTTAGGGTCTCCAAAGGAGGCAATCAGATATGCATTTATCTCAGTGAGCAGAGGGGCAACTTTGAATAGAATGGGAGGCAGGTTTGCCCTAAGCAGTTCCTGGCTTGACATTTCCCTTTAGCTTAGTGATTTTGGGGGCCCAAGATATTTTCCTTTCACATTTTCCCCCTTTTCTTTTTTAAAATCTTTTGGAGAAAGCATTTTAGAAGAAAATGAATCTCTGGTCTTAGGTTTCATCTGATCTCTTACGGCTAGGATGGTTTATTCCTAGACGGATAGGTCCCCGAGTTATTAGGAAAGTTCATTTTTAGAAGGTTGTGAAGTCTCATGTCCTATGAAGAGAAAATACGGGGAGGAAGTGAAAACAACAACAACAAACAAAAGAACAATCCTGGATATCAATATAGGCCACATTCTTCTGAAGTCTATACATCAGTAGGCAGGTATGAAAGTGGCTTATGTATGTAAATAGGTTGCTGTTATTTTCTTCTGAAGTTGTCTGGCTTCAGTTTGCAGGGCTGTAAGAAAGTACGGCTTAATTTTCAGTGACTCCAAATTAGGAAAATGGAAAAAAAAAGGAGGAAAAGAAATTTAAAACATTATTTTGTTTTGTTTTGTTTTGTTTTTTTGGAGACGGAGTCTCGCTGTGTCCTGTTGCCCAGGCTGGAGTGCAGTGGCGCGATAGCACACTGCAGCCTTCGCCTCCCAGGTTCAAGTGATTCTCCTGCCTCAGCCTCCTGAGTAGCTGGGATTATAGGCACATGCCACCACGTCCGGCTAATTTTTGTATTTTTAGTAAAGACGGGGTTTCACCATGTTGGTCAGGCTGGTCTCGAGCTCCAGACCTCGTGATCTGCCCGCCTCAGCCTCCCAGAGTGCTGGGATTACAGGTGTGAGCCACCGTGCCTGGCTGAAAACATTATTTTGAAGACTTGTAGCCAAGAAAAATTAGAATTCAGCCCAAACTGTAGAAAATTATTAAAATTGAAAAACATTAGGCAAGACTAGGATCTAATGACAGGTGTACTATAGTTTTTGAAACATAATTTTTCTTTCTCCAGTTTCCTGTTTTTACTAAAGACAAATCATGGTAGGACCGATTTGCTTTATAATACTTAGCCAGATTATTTGTATAAAGTACAGCAAGAATAGTTATTTTTCACATAGGCTTTTTTTAAAAATTGGCTTTGATGGAACTTTGTTATATAGAAGGAATCTCAGGCAAGACTTTTTTTTAAAGCCAAGCCTTGCCATGGATTTGTACCATCAAATATCTATGAGTTGGGTGAATTTCCTCTCCTCTTGAGGTTCCAGGATAAACCTGGGGCTCCTGGGCCTGCCATAAAGTAACATTCTTTACTTAACACAAGTCAGAAACCCTGTTCAGGGACTGTGTACACAAAATATGAGGCCAGTTTCCCAAGGGCGTTATTGGCTTCATAAATCAAGTTTGAGTTCTTAAAAGAAATGACATGGTTCCAGTCAAAGCCTTGGTAAAATAATTAGTTTCTCCAGTTGTGTCCTATTAGCAGTGAAAACAGATTCTTATTGTATTTATGCAAATAACTGTATTGCCATAAATTAAGAATACTCACAAATAGTTTCCAAATTCTGGAGAACTCAGGTAGAGAGAAACAAATATGTTCCAAATTTTGGTCATAGCAGTATACTAAATTGTTAAAAGCTGTCAATAGCTCAAAAGAGAAGTTTGAAGACTCTGAAAAACAAAACAAAGGATCAGCAACGTTTTAAGCAAAAGGTCAAAAAAATTAGTTCAATCCATGCAGTTAATTCCTGTTCTGCTTTGATATTCATGAACATTTTAGCTCTCCATGAGTCTGAAAGTTTTTCCTCTATTCTGATGTCACAATCTCCAAAGTTATCAGAAACCTGCATTCAAGAGCCCCTGTTAGAGTTTTAAGATGATGATTATTATTTATTTATTTATTTTTAGACTACTCTTGCTCTGTCGCGCAGGGTGAAGTGCAAGTGGTGCAATTTTGGCTCATGGCAACCTCCACCTCCCAGGTTCAAGCGATTCTACTGCCTCAGCCTCCGAGTAGCTGGGATTACAGGCACCTGCCACCACACCCAGTTAATTTTTGTATTATTAGTAGAGACAGGGTTTTGCCATGTTGGCCAGGCTGGTCTTGAACTCCTGACCTCAAGTGATGTGCTCGCCTCAGTCTCCCAAAGTGCTGAGATTACAGGCATGAGCCACCATGCCTGGCCTTTTATAGCTGATTATAAAACCACCTTCTAAAGAGGACCAAACAACACAACAATTGTCTGTGGATGACAAAAAGTTTTAGGGAAGCCATTGTTGAAGACCCAGTTGACAAGGAAATTTGTTATCTCTGTGGCACAGAATAATTTAACATAACAATTATAATTATTACTGATAATGTACACTAAGTTATATCAGAATTTTAGGAGTTTCCCATAATTTTGGAACACATACCAATAACACATTTATACAAATACAGCCCAAAGAAAATCGTACACCATTTCATATTTGACAATGCTTCCTGTATAATTTTTATACCAAATAAGCCAAATTATGTCATTTTTGGACTTTATGGAGCCTAATATCTTAAAGGATTTATCAGGTCAGAAAAAGACATAATTTATGATTTGATTTTGGAAAGTTTGTCAAATATCAAAGGTTTAAAACTTGATATCACAAAATAGGATCACAGGTCATTATAAGATAAGTCATTCTTTTAACCAAAGCAATAACTCAAGGATTTCAAAAAGAAGGTGAAAATCTCCATTCCTTGAGAGCGGAGACTTGATTTTTCAATCAATAAGCCCTAATAAAAACAGCATGAAGCCAATTAAATTTATTTTTCAAAATTTTGTAAACAATCTATAAAATTTTAATCTTGACCATAAGATATAACTTCCATAAGCCTTTTATAACCTTTATAACCTTTATTAAGGGGCTGGTTAATGCTTCAAGAAAATCTTGTTAATCTGATGCAGGGGCTCATGTGCTGCTTTTGCATCAGTGTGCCTTTGACATTCATGATTAATTTATAAAGAAACTTAACCTATTTTATCTTTAAAAAATCAGCTCTTGCAATCTCATGCACCCACCTCTTCCGCAATAGTCCCTGGGCCTTGAAGAGTTGAGTAGCTTTAATTTCTGGCCCCGTGTCTTAGGAATGCAGTTTATTCTGATTGGCATCTTCTACCAGGCCTGAAGATGAGGCTTTAATTGCTGTCAATGTTTAAGATTTGGGCTGGGCGCGGTGGCTCACACCTGTAATCCCAGCACTTTGGGAGGCCGAGGCAGGCAGATCGTGAGGTCAGGAGATCAAGACCATCCTGGCCAACACGGTGAAACCCCGTCTCTACTAAAAATACAAAAAATTAGCTGGGCGTGGTGGCGGGTGCCTGTAATCCCAGCTACTCGGGAGGCTGAGGCAGGAGAATGGCGTGAACCCAGGAGGTGGAGCTTGCAGCGAGCCGAGATCTTGCCACTGCACTCCAGCCTGGGTGACAAAGCAAGACTCCTTCTCAAAAAAAAAAAAAAAAAAAAAAAAGATTTGGCAGGACATAGGGCTGGGTGCAGCGGCTCATGAGTGTAATCCCAGCACTTTAGGAGGCCGAGGCGGGCAGATCACGAGGTCAGG
The DNA here is from genome assembly GCF_000001405.40 of Homo sapiens. Classification (NCBI taxonomy): domain Eukaryota; kingdom Metazoa; phylum Chordata; class Mammalia; order Primates; family Hominidae; genus Homo; species Homo sapiens. The sequence continues at coordinate 85,382,231 of NC_000002.12, forward strand.
AGGTCAAGACCATCCTGCCTAACGTGGTGAAACCCCGTCTCTACTAAAAATACAAAAAATTAGCTGGGTGTGATGGTGGGTGCCTGTAGTCCCAGCTACTCAGAGGCTGAGGCAGGAGAATGGCATGAACCTGGGAGGCGAAGCTTGTAGTGAGCCGAGATTGTGCCACTGCACTCCAGCCTGGGCAACAGAGCGAGATTCTGTCTCAAAAAAAAAAAAAAACATTTGGCAGGACACGGTGTTCCTTTTAGACCCAGGAGTTAAAGCCCTGTAACTCAATGTCACAAGGACTTTTTTTTTTTGAGACAGAGTCTCACTTTTGTCACACAGGCTGGAGTGCAGTGGCGCAATCTTGGCTCACTGCAACCTCCACCTCTCGAGTTCAAGTGATTCTTCTGCCTCAGCCTCCCGAGTAGCTGGGACTACAGGCGCGTGCCACTATGTCCATCTAATTTTTGTATTTTTAGTAGAGATAGGGTTTCACTATGTTGAACAGGCTGGTCTCGAACTCTGGACCTCAGGTGATCCACACGCCTTGGCCTCCCAAAGTACTGGGATTACAGGCGTGAGCCACCGCGTCTGGCCAGCACTTTAAAAGCACATACAGAAAGATACACGGATGTAATAACCTTAATTTAAAAACAAGACAATTCAGTTACTTATCTAGGGATGGGTCTCGGGCTGTAGACTCTACCATCCCAGAAGCAGGAAAAAAAAAAAAAAACAAAAAAAACTCATCTTCCCTGTTAGAAGTGAGCTCAAACTCCATAAAGAAATTACCTGCCTTCCATTGTCATGGAAACAGGAAATCTTACCTTCCTTGTTAAAAGCAAGTAAAACTCCAAAAAAAAAAAAAAGAGGAGTTGTACAACAAAATAAACTTTAGATCTTTTTTGTTTTTTTGTTTGTTTGTTTTGAGATGGAGTTTCACTCTGTCACCCAGGCTGGAGTGCAGTGGCGTAATCTTGGCTCACTGCAACCTCCACCTCCCAGGTTCAAGCAACTCTCCTGCCTCAGTCTTCTGAGTAGCTGGGGTTACAGGCGCCCACCACCACGCCTGGCTAACTTTTGTATTTTTAGTAGAGACAGGGTTTCACCATATCATATTGCTTGATCCTGGGAGGTCGAGGTTGCAGTGAGCTGTGATTGTGTCACTGCATTCCAGCCTGGGTGACAGGGCGAGACTCTGTTTCAAAAAATAAAAATAAAATGGAGGGATTGCTACATTTTGCTACTTGAGAAAACCATAAAACCCAACCCCAGAGGGCAGGTCCAGACAGAGATAGAGAAGCTACTGGTCTCAGGCTGGTCTTGAACTCCTTACCTCAGGTGATCCACCCGCCTTGGCCTCCCAAAGTGTTGGGATTATAGGTGTGAGCCACCACGCCCAGCCAAAGATCTTGAACAAATTTGGGGAGATCAGGGATTCTCTGGAGGGTGTACTCCCAGACCTCAGCAAATTGTTCTGTTGTTTTGAGCCATAAAGTTAGCTCATGCTGGTACCAAGCATGGATAGGAGATTTGTCAAAGGCCAGGGGTACCTCCACTCAGAATCCCTCTGTGGTTACCAAAATGTGAACCCTGAAAATCTGAGACAGGTCTCAGTTAATTTAGAAAGTTTGTTTTTCCAAGGTTGGGAATGCGCACCTGTGACACAGCCTCAGGAGGTGCTGATGACATGTGCCTAAGTTCATCAGAGCACAGCTTGGTTTTACAGTTTTAGGGAGATATGAGACATCAATTAACACATGTAAGATGAGCATTGGTTCCTCCGGAAAGGTGGGAGGACTGGAAGCAAAAGCGGGATGACTGAAAGCAGGGAGGGGGTTTCCAGGTCATAGGTAGATAAGGGACAAATGGTTGTGTTCTTTGAGCATCTGATTAGCCTTTCCAAAGGAGGCAATCAGATATGCGTTTATCTCAGTGAGCAGAGGGGTAACTTTGAATAGAGTGGGAGGCAGGTTTGCCCTAAGCAGTTTCCAGCTTGACATTTCCCTTTAGCTTAGTGATTTGGGGAACCCAAGATATTTTGTTTTCACAATAGAAACTTCAGCTGGCTCATTGGGAAAATTAGAGACAATGTACAAAAGTAGCAAGCACAGCTGTGCTGTTGCTGTTTCAACTCTCTGCCCTCCCTGAGGAAATGCCTTGCACAGGGGTAGCATCTCTTGGCCCTGAAAGAGAAGAGTTAGCCTCCACGGGCCCAAGAGGAGGAGATGGACCTCCATGGGTTATGTGAGCCACAGACTTACCAACAGGCCAGAGGTGCTTCAGTAGCTCCTCTGTCTCTGTCTGGACCTGCCCTCTGGGGTTGGGTTTTATGGTTTTCTCAAGTAGCAAAAGGTAGCAATCCCTCCATTTTATTTTTATTTTTTAAAACAGTCTCACCCTGTCACCCAGGCTGGAATGCAGTGGCACAATCACAACTCACTGCAACCTCTACCTCCCAGGCTCAAGCAATCCTCCCACCTCAGCCTCGGCTGGGACTACAGGTGTGCCGTACCATGCCCAGCTAATTTTATTTTTTTAATAGTCTCTCCATTTTAGAAAACAAATTTGACCTGTTTCCTGCCATCTGTCTATCCCATATTCATGGGACCTAGGATTCATTCATTCACTGAATGAATATTTTTTCAGCATCCCTTGGTGCTATTCTTCTTGGTACTTGGGATACATCAGTAAATAAAACAAAGATTCTTCCAGCAGAGATGACCATAAGCTCAATATATCAATACATTATAGAGTGCTCTAGAAGGTAATAAGTACTAAGGAAAAATAAATAGGATAGAGTTGAGAGAATGTGGAGAGACAGTTACAGTATTTTTATAGGGTGGTCAGGGTAGCTGTCATGAGAGAGTGAGACTTAAACCAAACCTTGGAGGTGGGAATGTTAGCCAAGCTGATATCTGGGAGAAGAACATACCAGGCAGAGGGATTAGCTAGAACTAAGGTCTCAAGAAAGGAGTGTGTCTAGCATAGGTAATGAGTAGTAGGGAAGCCACCGGAGTGAAAAGAACACAGGAAGTTTCACTCATGTCTGTATGAAGAGACCACCAAACAGGCTTTGTGTGAGCAACAAGGCTGTTTATTTCACCTGGGTGCAGGCGGGCTGAGTCCGAAAAGAGTCAGCGAAGGGAGATAGGGGTGGGGCCATTTTATAGGATTTGGTTAGGTAGTGGAAAATTACAGTCAAAGGGGGTTGTTCTCTGGCTGGCAGGGGTGGGGGTCACAGTGCTCAGTTGGGGAGCTTTTGAGCCAGGATGAGCCAGGAGAAGGAATTTTACAAGGTAATGTCATCAGCTAAGGCAGGAACAGGCCATTTTCACTTCTTTTGTCATTCTTCAGTTACTTCAGGCCATCTGGATTTATACGTACAGGTTTGGGCCCAGAGGCCTGACAGGAAGGGCAGTAGGAGAGGTGGTCGTAGATGATGGGCCAGAGGGCGCAGGGCCTAGCAGGCCATGGAAAGGACTCTAGGTTTTACGCTAGGTAAAATGAGGAGGCACTGCAGGGCTTTGAGCAGCAGAGTAACACAGTCTAACTTACTTTTTTTTTTTAATGGATCCTACCAGCTGCTAAGTTAAGAATAATTTCCAGTGAGGGCTTTTGTAGTAAATTAGAGATGATGCTGGTTTGTCAATCTCCCCTTCCAGCAGAGGAATGTGTGGGTAAGAGAGTCACAATGTTTCTGAACAAAGCCATAGCTCCTAAGTGGTGAAGCTGGGCCTAGAGCCCCTGTTTCCTGACAGCTGGCCTGGCGGTGGGCTCTGTACAGCATTGATTCCCAGCCAGCAGCACACCCTGAAAAGTCACATAGCAGTGGGAGTGCAGATGCTTAGACTCTCCCCATCAGAACCACTCAGTTGGAATCTTCAGGGTTGGGGCCAGGTCAGCAGCAGCCGCAGAAGATACTCTGGTCTTCCTGCTTCAGCAGACAAAGGTTTCTAAGCCCAAACGTGAGGCATGAGGATAAATGAAATTGTAAATGGAAGCAGAAAAATGTCCAGGTCTGAGTTCCTCTGCTGTGTTTTAGTCAGTTTCAGTGCAGTATTTTAGCTCTAAACAATGCTTTTTAGGTCTGAGGGAACTGCTGAAGGAAAGGAGACATTTAGATCTGAAATCCAATTTTTACCATTTTTTGATACGTAGGCTTTTTTTTTTTTTTTTTTTTTTTGAGATGGAGTCTCGCTCTGTTGCCAGGCTAGAATGCATGGCACAATCTCAACTCACTGCAACCTCTGCCTCCTGAGTTCAAGCGATTCTTCTGCCTGAGCCTCCCAAGTAGCTGGGATTACAAGTGCCCACCAGTACACCTAGCTAATTTTTGCGTTTTTAGGAGAGACAGCGTTTCACCATGTTGGTCAGGCTAGTCTTGAACTCCTGACCTCAAGTGATGTGCCCACCTCGGCCTCCAAAAATGCTGGGATTACAGGAGTGAGCCACCATGCCTGGCCAATCAGTGGGCTTTTTAAGAATGTTCCCGGGCTGGGTGTGGTGGCTCACGCCTGTAATCCCAGCACTTTGGAAGGCCGAGACAAGCAGATCACCTGAGGTCGGGAGGTCGAGACCAGCCTGATCAACAGATCAACATGGAGAAACCTTGTCTCTACTAAAAATACAAAATTAGCCAGGCATGGTGGTGCATGCCTGTAATCCCAGCTACTCGGGAGGCTAAGGCAGGAGAATCGCTTGAACCTGGGAGGCAGAGGTTGTGGGAGCCGAGATCGTGCCATTGCACTCCAGCCTGAGCAACAAGAGCGAAACTCCGTCTCAAAAAAAGAATGTTCCTGAGAATGGATGAACACTAAGTTCAGGTCCTCTGTTAATAATGTTGTTACCATACTGTTTTTCTCATATTTATTTTTAGATTGAAAGAAATCAAGGGAAGGGATGATATTATGCAAGTATATATGATCATTAAATAGGCAATACCTGAAGGTACAGAGGTATACATGAAGGTCAGCATCAATGGTGTTCTCAGCTACCCATGTTGAGGCAAGTATAATAACGACGAACATTTGTTAATACCTACTTGGGCCAGGTGTTGTGCCTAGTACTTTGCACATGTGATCTTAAGTAATGCTCACAGCAACTCTGTGAGGTGGGTAGTGGGATAAAATGTTAAGTGTTGACAAAATCTGTCTCATAAGGCCAGGCGCAGTGGCTCATGCCTGTAATCCCAGCGCTTTGGGAGGCTGAGGTGGGCAGATCACTTGAGGTCAGGACTTCAAAACCAGCTTGGCCAACATGGTGAAACCCTGTCTCTACTCAAAATACAAAAATTAGCTGGGCGTGGTGGCACGTGCCTATAGTCCCAGCTATTTGGGAGGCTGAGGCAGGAAAATCCCTTGAACCCAGGAGACAGAGGTTGCAGTGAACCGAGATCACGCCACTGCCCTGCACTCCAGCCTGGGCGACAGAGCAAGACTCCATCTCAAAAAAAAAAAAAAAAAAAAATCTGTCTCTTGGAGTTGTTGTAATGATTAGTGACTTAACTCTACCCAGTGTGGCACTAGCGCTGGATTTCCAAGACCACCTGCAGGTTCAATGATTCCTGAGAGACTCAAGGGACTCTACGTATAGTTATACTTAACAGTTCTGATTTAGTACAACAGAAGCAAAATCAGCAAAGGGAAGAATTACATGGGACAAATTCCACAGGAAACCAGGTGGTGATGTCCAAGAGGCCTCTCCCAGTGGAATCACACAGAACACACTTCATTCTTCCACTGCCAAATTGTGCAATACGTATAAAATGTCACCAATCAGGGAAGCTCATTAGAGGTACCCAGTACTCAAGGTTTTTACCATGACATGCTGGTCATGTAGGCACCCTCTGCCTAGCACATACCAAAACTCTGGAATCACAGAGGGAAAGCTGGTGTTCTGCATAAAGTATCTTTTTTGTGTTTGTTTTTTTGAAAAAAAAAAAATTTTTTTGTAGAGACAGGATCTCACCATGTTGCCCAGGCTGGTCTTGAACTCCTAGACTCAAGTGATCCATCCGCCTGTAATCCCAAAGTGTTGGATTGTGAGCCCTGGGCCCAGCCAGCAAAAACTATCTTGTTTGCATGAGCAGTTGAGGAACAATGTTAGGGAATGATGGGAACCATCTCAAAATCCAAGTTCTCAGCTGTCAGCCATGGCCTGATCTAAGAATTTTCTAAGGCTCAGGCTCTAAGGAGTCTCAGGCCTGCTGTGTTAACTTTTTTCTGCACAGCACTCAAAGTTTATGTCCTTTTTGATTTTGAGAGATGGGAAGACTGAGTTTCACAGAGGTTGGGTGACCTTCTCAAGGACACACAGCTACCAGGTAGCCAGGCCAAGATCTGGAATTCAGGTATCATGGAAGACCCTGAGAAAAATCTCTGTGGAGCCAGAAGACCTTCTGCAGTTCAGCACTGTCCAGAACTTTCTGCAGTGACAGAAGTGGTCTAGATATTGGAAATGCACCATCCAGTACAGCAGCCACTAAGCACACGTGACTACTGAGCACTGGAAATGTGGCTAGTACCACTAAGGAGCTGAATTTATATTTGTTTTTCATCTTTAACTCATTTAAATAGCTACATGCAGCTGGTTGCCACCATACTGGGCAGTACAGTTCTATACTATAATGTAATGGATTTTTCTTCAACTGGGAAGCAGGTGGGATAAATAGACCTTGGTTCTTGTTCTGTACTAAGGAATGCACTGGTCTATGTGTTCCTCTCACTGGGTGTCCTTGTGTATGTGCAACAGGGGAAAATAACATGTCATGTCTGCAAGTTCCCTGAAAAAAAGGCCCTTTCCATTCAGGGATTTTGCAAGCTTGGTTTCATTGTTATTAAAGAAAGGAGCTTGCCTGACTAAACATAGAGCATTAAAGCTGTCCCTGTAGGGGATTCTGAGGCCCTTCCTGGTGAAGCTCCCCTGCCAGACTCAGGCTGCCTCCTCTTGGGGTCTGACCCGCACAGCTGGCTCTCAGGCCTCTGTGTTATCGTGAGATGGGGTGTCCCCCCAAGTCAGGATGACCTTCTACCCACGTGCGTCTTCTCTGTCTTAGGATGAGGTGCTCACGATCAGCCAGACAACCAGAAGCCCAAAGAAGGGGAGAGGAGACTTTAAGAACCCGTAGGGCTAGTTAGAGCACCGAGCCTCTCACTTCTGTCTTCATCCTGACACCAGGAGATGATGTGGGCCCAGGGGTTGGGTCTGCTGCAGGCCAAGGAGAGCTGACGGGTCAGGATGATGAAGAGGCTGGAGAGCTAGCACGGGGGTTATGCACATCAGCTCTGGAGCAAATAACCTCAGTTGGTATCCTGGTTCCCATGCCTTAGGAAAGTTACTAAAGGTCACTGAGCCTTAGTTCCTCATCTGTAAGATGGGAAGAAGATTATTAGGAAAATTAAGTGGAAGCAATAATAATATCAGCTGTTGCCTCTGGGGCTGTGCTTGCCTGCGAGCCACACCAGGCTGCAGATGACAGGAAACACAGTGAGAGCTGGAGTTGCTGCTGACTGGGTGCCCCTCCATTCCAGCAATTCCCTTTCTGTTTGATGTCCGTGAACATCACCCACATTGCCATCCAGGCCTTGAGAGAGGAGTGTCTCTCCAGGTGAGTCCCCAAACACCAGCTGGTTAGAGTGACCCAGCAAAGCCTTGTTCGTCCCCACTCTGGCTTAATTTTCCCCAGCTCTACTCCACCTGCTGGCTCCTGGAGGGCCTGGACAAAGTCCCCATGCACCGGTCTCCCCAGGACATCCCTTCTCCCACCCCTGGCCTTAGATGTCAGGCTCCTGGGGAATGGTGGGGGCATCCTGGGTTTGGGCTGGCTCCCCTGGGGAAATGGGGAAGGAAGGCGGGAGGGAACCTAGGTCTCAGCCTTCATCCACCGCTGAGCAGGTCACCTTGCCTTTTTCCTGCAGAGAGTGTAATCGGCAGCAGAAGGTCATCCCCGTGGTGAACAGCTTCTATGCCGCCACATTCCTCCACCTCGCACATGTCTGGAGGACACAGCGGAAGACCATCTCAGACTCGGGCTTTGTCCTCAAAGGTGTGCTCTTTCTTCTGGGGAGGCCTAGGCTGAATGCACAGTGTCCCAGGTCCAGAGAGCCCAAGGTGGTTGCTAGACTGGTTTTGGCTGCAGTTCTTCCCCATCCACACTTTCTCAAATTCCAGCTTACCAAAATCTCCATCACCCACCCCCTGGAGTCTGCTAGTTCTCCTTTCTCTGCCCTGACTGTCGCCCTTTTCTGGTCTTATACTTATGACAAGCATATATTCTGATCAAAAATTGGGAGCCAGGGTCCAATAGTTGGACTATTCAAAGTTGCAATTGTGCAGACAAGGTAGAGTGTGTGGTCCCTGTGGCTGTAGCTGGCTCCCTAGCCTACCTCTCTGGTGATCTCTCCATCTGAGGCTCCTTCACTTTCTCTCCATGGGATAGGGGTTGGGGGTACTCCCTAGAGCTGCTAGGCTTGAGGCCTTGACTGTTGTGTCACCCAGAGCCCCCTCAAGCCTTCTGCTCCCCAATTCTCTCTGTTGCAGAGTTGGAAGTATTGGCCAAGAAGAGCCCACGGCGGCTGCTCAAGACCCTGGAGCTGTACTTGGCCAGGGTGTCAAAGGGACAGGCCTCCTTGTTGGGAGCACAGAAGTGCTATGGGCCAGAAGCCCCTCCCTTCAAGGATCTCACCTTCACAGGTGAGAGTGACCTGCAGTCTCACTCATCCGAAGGCGTATGGCTGATCTGACCTCCGAGATGAATGGAGGCTTAAAGGCTGAGCTGCAGGGGCTTTCAGGGGGTCAGTGGAGCCATGTCAGGAGCCTGGCCAGGCCGCACCCCTTGCTGTCTCAGCAGATGGGATATAGGAAGCTCCTGGGCTTAGCTGTGGGAAGCCAAGTACCCTCACCGGCATGGGACATGAGGGGCAGCTAGACTTCACCCCCTTCCCGCAGACCTGCCTCCAGAGCAAGGAGAATTCTGCCTTAATCTGTTGGGCTCCAGTCTCCGGGTTGAATTCCAGTGTATCCCACTGGGAGTGAATGGATCATGAGGTGGGATGGCCCCATCTGGATGTTCTGCAGATCCCCACATGGGAGGAGATTCCCAAGTAGAGGCAGCCAGAATTCTGACTCCCTGGCAGCAGCAGGGCTTTCAGGCACCAGTGTCTGTGTTGTTAGAACTCAGAGGAAGAGGCAGGGGCAGCAGCCGACAGGGGGCAGCATGACCCAAGCAAGGGGCCTGAGGCCTCAGTGGGGGTAGGGCAAGGAGGTACCTCACAGGTGGGTGTGAGGCCCCCTCTGGAGTTTCTGGCCATTCACTTACCCACTCTCTTCTCCCCCTGACCCCCGCTCCATTGTTTATGATGGAAAAACGGACATTTGGCTAGGTGTCTCTCACGGCTGCTCCATCCTAGCCCCCACAAGCTGGGGCTTCCTCCTGTAGATGCTGTGCATGCCCCATGATGAGTTTCTGGCCTAATTGAGGGAAGGAGGAAATTCATACCAGCAGTTTTCAAATAAAAGAATTGTTCTAATTAAGCGTCTCAGGTGTTTTTTTCCAAGACAAGTCTTGCACCATCCTGTGGTCCTGTCATTCCGGAACCTGGTTAGAGCCAGGCACACCTAAGGGTGAAGGCATAGGTGGGTTCCAGCCTGGTCATGGGCTCCAGGAGACAGAAGGTTGCCTGTGCTGCAGCCAAACCTTGCTGAATTCATAGGATGTCCATCCTCTGCTATACTTACAAGCCCAGAGACTCCTTGCAAGCTCTAGCCAGTGGACGAGGTAGCCCAGCTCTTGTTAAGATTGACTGGTATAAGGCATCCACACCACGTTTTTCCTGCATTTGCTTCTGGCGAAGGCCAGCACTGTTGGTTCCTTCCCAAAAGAGCCTCCAGACTGGGCGCAGTGGCTCACGCCTGTAATCCCAGCACTTTGGGAGGCCGAGGCGGGTGGATCACGAGGTCAGGAGATCGAGACCATCCTGGCTAACACAGTGAAACCCCGTCTCTACTGAAAATGCAAAAAATTAGCCGGGCGTGGTGGCGGATGCCTGTAGTCCCAGCTACTCAAGAGGCTGAGGCAGGAAAATGGTGTGAACCCGGGAGGCGGAGTTTGCAGTGAGTCGAGACTGTGCCATTGCACTCCGGCCTGGGCAGCAGAGCGAGACTCCGTCTCAAAAAAAAAAAAAAAAAAGAGCCTCCAGGCCAGGGTACCTGAGCTGGGGAGTGGGGGGCAGGTGAGAGCCCCACTATGCTACCTTCTGTCCTCCGGACCCCCTCAAGTGGAATGCTATGGAAGACCACTATCTGGCCCTGCAGGCCTCTTTAAGTCTGACCCACTGCAGGGGGAAACATCACAGAGGTAGGGAAGAGAGGTGGCCACCCAGGCGTGGAGGGGAACTCCTGACTGCTGTCAGCAGGATGCCTCAAGGGTGGGGCTGGTAACAAACCCCATAGTTTGCCTTGTGTTGTCTGCCTGACCTGAACTAACCCCTTCATTCACAATACTTCCTCCAGTCTGGTCCTCAGCTAACCAACAGAGATAGCAGGGAGATTGCTGGGCATGGCATGGCAGGAGTTGAATTGCAGGGGAGAAAAGCTGCAGCTCGGCCTCCACTTTGGAGTATCAGGTTGGGTGATTCTTCCCTCTGCAGGGTCCTTTCTGCCCACCATCCACCTGTTTAGTGCCCCCCAGATGACAGAGTACTCACAGCTTCAGACCCTGGAACATTAGCAATAATGTAGTCTGGCAATTTTAAATTTACAGTTCTGTTAATGAACTGGTTGTGAGGGGTACCTGAACCCTCTGAAAGCAGATGCAAAAATCTTTTTTTTTTTTTGAAATGGGATCTCACTCTGTCACCCAGGCTGGAGTGCAGTGGCGCGATCTCGGCTCACTGCAATCTCCACCTCCCGGGCTCAAGCCATCCTCCCACTTCAGCCTCCTGAGTAGCTGGGACTACAGGTTTGTGCCACCATGCCCAGCTAAGTTTTGTATTTTTGGTAGAGATGGGGTTTCACCATGGTCCCCAGGCTGGTCTCAAACCCCAGAGCTTAAGGAGTCCGCCTGCCTCTGCCTCCCAAAATGCTGGGATTATAGGCATGAGCCACCGTGCCCAGCCACAAAAATCTTAATCTGTGTATATTTATAGGGAAAGGGGCTAGGCCTTTCATAGGAGACTTAAAATACTCCCCGTCTCTACAAAGGTTGTCAGAACCACTAATGTAGTGCAACCTTTATTCTCTCCCCTTTAAAAAACCATCCCTGGCACCTGCTCTTTGTGTAGGCTGTCAAGTAGGGCTAAGAAGTCTATGGAGAAGACATGGAGGCAGATCCACAGAGGAGCTCATTTCTTTTTTATTTTTATTTTTTGAGTCGGAGTCTCTGTCACCCAGGCTGGAGTGCAGTGGTGCAATCTCGGCTCACTGCAACCTCTACCTCCCGGGTTTAAGCGATTCTCCTGCCTCAGCCTCCCAAGTAGCTGAGATTACAGGCATGCGCAACCATGCCCGGCTAATTTTTTGTATTTTTAGTAGAGAAAGGGTTTCCATGTTGGCCAGACTGGTCTCAAACTCCTGATCACAAATGATCCGCCCGTCTTGCCCTCCCAAAGTGCTGGGGTTATAGGCGTGAACCACCGCACCCGGCTGGGGTATCTATGGTATGGTTCTTGGCACAAATCAGCAAGTTCAACTTGCCAATTGATCAGAATTTTTGTTTTGGGATGAAAGAATCCAATTTCTGGAGCTCAGAAGCCACATAGTCCAGAGGACCTGGGGGTGAGGATGAGTCAGGGTGGTTGCAGCCTTGCCAGGCCTCACGGCCTCTGGTCCAAGCTGACACAGGCTCACTCACACCCTGCTCTTGGCCCCTGGGCATGCCTTCTCAGATGGGACCTCTTCTTGGCTACTGCATTCTCCCTGCTATTTAGCTCTCTAGCCTCTGACATCCCACCACCACTTCATTACCCAAGAGAATGAACTAAGGTCTAGCAAAGGAAAGTAACTTGCCTAGGATCACAGAGGCAGGGTAAGAACCAGACTGAAGACTGTCCATGCTAGCCTGGTGCTTTTCGCACAGCCCTGCAGTGGCCCTGGGCTCACCAGCCAAACATGCTGGGCAATGTGCCTACGAAGTAATAAGCCAGGCTTGGTACAATTGTGAAAGGCTGTCCTCTCTTGCTCAGTGGGCATATGTCACTTGAAGCTGCCTGGCAGTGCTTTATTAGGGCATCCGAAGAAATACTGCCTTAAATGGAACTGCATCCCAAGCCCATTGCCACAACCTTCTCCCTGTTGGGAATGTGAGACTGAACTGAACACCCGGATGCAACTGATCCTGAGGCCTGGCACTGTGCCACCTCCCTATTGGGTTCATGGCAGTCCCTGCAAGCCTGGCTGGGACTCCTCTGTCATGCAAAGCAGCTCTGGCCCCTCCAAGGCTGTCCAATTGTCATCTGTGTGCTACTCCACCCCCAGCATGGGGATGAACCCAGGTGAATAGGTGGGTGACAGTGAGAATCAGCCCAGGGCAGGTGGTGCAGGAAAAGAGCTGGGAAAGCACTTGTCTCCTTTATTGAACATCTGCAGGGGGCACCTCTGCACTGACCAGGCAGCCAGAGAAGCAAGCAGGCAGGTGGTGGGGGGCAGGGGAGCATGGGGCAGGAAGACGCCCACCCTCATTTCCAGTCCTTGAAAAATTGCTTGAAGATGGGACTCTCATGGCCCTGAGGCAGAATCTCCACCTGCAGGGACAGCGGGGGAGAAGTCTGGTTCACAAAGTTGCCACCTCTGCCTCTGCCCAGGAGGACAGGAGGGGGCCAGAGCCAGGGAGGAGGGTGTGGGCGCCTGGCCTGAATCCATGTGCAGTCCAGGCTGGGAAAGCTCCCCTGGATGAGCCATGAGATGAGAACCAAGATTTCAGGGACACAGACAGAGGCAACAGACTGCTTCAAGGGCGTGGGTGCACAGTTTAATAAATGCCACCAACGGTAGCTGAGCCCTGTCAGCTCCCCACGGGATGACTTGTGGACACTGTGCTGCGGCAGGAGGGGTGGCACCAGCCAGGGACAACGGCCCAGAGGAGGAGTACCCAGTTCTCTGGGCACCCAGGAGAGTGCTGCCCAACATCCTCTTTGAAAATAATAAGTATTTTGACATTTTGAAGGATTGAGATGGGCTTTCCCACTGGATGGGTCTAAGAGGGAGGCCTGGTTGTTCCTGACAGTGCCCAAGGCTCTCCTGCCCTTCCTGGCCAATTTGAGGGGTCAGGGGCCACAGGAAGAGCCCTAGGAAGAGGGCTGTGGTTGTGCGCATCTCCTCACCTGAGTGTTCGGGGCGTACTGCATGCGCGAGATGAAGCCCTCGGCCACCTGCAGGGCTGCCTGCCGCTCCTTCTCATTCGCTTTTCGCCCTAGATCATAGGAAGGAGATTTTTAAAAAGAGCAGGGACCCTCTTTAGCTGCCATCCCATTTTTCTTGAGGAAATTTAAGGGAGTCCACAGAAGAGCCAGCAATTTTTACAATAAATGGACCAGGGGTCCCAAGAATGCCGAGGGGCTCTTTGGAGATGTGGAGTCAGTCCCTTAAGAATTTTCCCAAACCGGCAGCACCAAGGTAGATGAAAACCCCTCGTCTGCCCGGGTCTGATCATGCAAAACTCTGCTCTGACCTGGGCCCCTGGAATATTTCAGGGAGGGGAACAGGTGTTCACCCTAGCATCAGACTGTGAGGCCGCAGGTCTCCTTTTCCTCTAGGACCCCTCACCTCTTGAATTCATCAAGCCTTTTCTGAAAAACTAAATAAGACAAAGGGTACAATTTATTATAGAGGTGATTTACTCCCATAATGCCAGCAGGGCTACACTGGCCTAACAGTTATGCTAACTAAGCACTTACAAAAATGAAGACCCCACGTAATCCAGTCATTTCTGCTAGCAGTCCTGAGAACTCAAACTGCTCATTCCAGGCTTTTTTATTTTTATTTTTTCTGAGACGCAGTCTCGTTCTGTCGCCCGGGCTGGAGTGCAGCGGCACCAACACGGCTCACTACAGCCTCAACCTCCCAGGCTCAAGCAATCTGCCCACCTCAGCCTCTCGTGTAGCTGGGACCACAGGTGCACGCCACCACACTCAGCTAATTTTGGGGGGTTTTTTTTTTGTAGAGAAGTGATATTTCGCCATGTTGCCCAGGCTGCCAGACATTTTTCCAAGGAAATGATACCGAAACGATGCCGTGATGTGGTTGGCTCTCTAGGCAGGCTATAAAATGCCATGAACTACAATGTATCTGAAATTAATATGCTGGATTCCTTCCTCTGTCAACTGACCAGCTGCCCCCCTACCCATGAGATCCTTCTCTTCCTGGCCTCCCAAGTTTCCTGTTTTTCCTCTGATTTCTCTTTCCATAGTTGTTGGGTTCCTTGCTCCGGTTTATACATGCTTCTGTGGGCCTCTGTGAACCCCCCTCTGCTTGGCATTGGTTCCATGGGATATGTGCCCTCTGGCAGGAGAGAAAAGGCAGCCCTGCAGCACACGCCTCTCGCTTTCCACTCTTTTGCTGCTCCCAGCTCCTCCCTTTCACTTCTATCCCTGCTGAGTTTCAGAAGCAATACTATGAAATGCCTGGTAGCAGCTATCTGTAGATACCCACCTACTTGTCTGCCTTCCTGACCAGGCTAGGGGCTGGCATTTTCTCCACCTTGGTTGACCCCACAACTGGGTGTTGAGCAAATGCTATTGCTGAAAATTCTCAGACCCCAGGCAGAGACTGAGAACAAGTTTGTTTCATTTTCAGTCAAACCAAGCAGAACAGGCTCTGCCCAACAGTGTTTCTATTTCCAGAAGATAGAATCTTTTGGAAAAACAAGTTCTACAGGTTCACCACTCACTGCATAAAATGATGTTTAATTTGTCTAAAATTCATTTCTGTCAAACCTTGAGACAGAATCCCAGGATCAGGGGTCCCAGAAGCCCCAAAGGTCTAGAGCTGGGCTAGGGCAGTGGTTCTCAAAGTGTGATCCCTGGAACCAGCAGCACAGACATAACCCATAACCTTGTTAGAGATGCATGTTCTGCCCCACTCCAGACCTAGTGAATCAGAATCTATGGGGGTGGAGCCCAGCCATCTAAACAGGCCGTGGGGTGATTCTGAGGCTTGCTGTAGTTTCAGAGCCATTGTCTAGAATTTAGGAGGTGGGAACAGCAAAGAGAAAATGGCGAGGCAGTGGCTCACATCTGTAATCCCAGCACTTTGGGAGGCCGAGGCCGGTGCATCACTTGAGGTCAGAAGTTCGAGACCAGCCTGGTAGTGAAACCCCATCTCTACTAAAAATACAAAAATTAGCCAGGTGTGGTGGCACGCACCTGTACTCCCAGCTACTCGGGAGGCTAAGGCAGGAGAATTGCTTGAACCCAGGAGGCAGAGGTTGCAGTGAGCCAAGATCGTGCCACTGCACTCCAGCCTGGGTAACAGAGCAAGATTCCTTCTCAAAAAGAAAGAAAGAAAGAAAGAAAGAAAATAGCAAGGCCTATGCCATGGCTCACGCCTGTAATCCCAGCACTTTGGGAGGCCAAGGTGAAGATCACTGGAGGCTGAGAGTTTGATACCATCCTGGGCAACATAGAAAGAACCCATCTCTATCTTTTAAAAAAAATTTTTAAAGAGAGAAAATGGTCAGCCAGAAGCATGCAGGCTTCCTGAGGCTGTCTTTTACAAGCAGCTAGACAGGCTGAGTCCTGCAAAGGGAAGCCTGCCCGGGTCAGAGCAGCTACAGGCATCTCAGGCTGTTACAGAGGAGCCACGTACCCTTCCAGATATAGATCTTGCCACAGAGCCCGTTGTCCAGCACAAAGCAGTCATCAGATATCAGCAGTTCAAGGGCAAATGGGCTGGAGTCAGCCACCTTGGTCAGGTTCATCTGTCCAGTGGCATCAGAGACCTGGGGAGGAGGGACAGTGCCTGATCTCACCCCCCACACACCAGCCCTCACCTCAGCCTGAGGAGGGGGAGGCTGGTCCTCCCTAGGTCCCTCCCACTGTGCCTCGCTGCCCACTGCCCAGGTCCCAGGAGCAGACAAGAGAGTGAAGACCTGAAAAGCAAATTCCAGGCAGCCCCACTCCCTCTCATCACCCCAATCCCTGCAGCACAGGGGCCCCGAACCCATTTGGAAATTAGGTGGATTCCAAATTACAAAGAAATGCACAGAATTCAAGAAAGAAAAGCTCAGCATTGGCTTCAAGCCTTCACCAAGCATAGGCTGGAAGTGAGGTGCACTCATCTCCTCAGGAGGGCCTGCCTTCCGCCCACTCCCCATCCTTGTCTCACTCCCAGCCCTGTATAACTCCCCACCTCCCACCTCGGTTCCAGCCCCACCTTCCCCCTGCCTTCTCCCCTCCACCCTGCTTGCATGCAGCTGTGCTGTGCAGGCTCCCACCCTCCCTGCTGCCGGGTCCCAGGGCAGGCTTGGGGGGCCCACCTTATACAGAGCTGCGGCCTGGGCATTTGCCTTGTCAGCTGTGAGGTCTTCCTCAGGGTTGCCCTCCTTCAGAGCAGGCTTGGGGCCCAGGACCTGCAGGGGCCAGGGCAGGCCAGGTTTATAGGGACCCCTGCCCTGGAACTTCCCAGCCCATCATGCCCAGGGCCACTGCTTCTGGTGGGGCAAACTGCGCCCTGCACTAGGGCACCCAGCAGAGGTGAGGTGAGTGAGGGCTGAGTCCAGCCCACCCCACCAGCCAGGCTGCTCAGCCTCGAGGACGAGCATCTACCCAGAGGGGCACCCTGTGAGCTGGCCACAGCCCTAGGCAGTACACCAGATGGCCCCTGCCACCCTCCACCGGCCACTCTCAGCCCTCAGCTCATCACCACCTCTCTTGGCCACTTTCAAGCAGAGGCTCCCAGCCACCCACTCCAATGTCCCCCAACCTGGATCATCTCAGCAGGCTCCTCCCCATCAGTGACAATCTCCACCTGGGCCTTGCCCTGTCGCTCACTGTCCCGGATGGCCAGGGCCAGGTCCCTCGCCTTGTTGCGTTCCAGGATGTTGGACTTTCCACCACACCAGGCGAAGATGTTCTGCAAGGAAGCAGGAAAGTCCGGGTCAGAGCCAGATGCCTGTGTCCTGCTCCCCAGCTCAGAGAAGGGCGCACAGCTCTCCCTCTCTCCTCTCTGAACTGTCCCTGAGGCAGGACAACCAGGAAGGCAGAGCACAGCACAGAGGGCTCTCTGAAAATGCCCACGACCACCCACTGCAACTGTTTCTCTGCCCACCTGCCATCTGTCTTCCTTTCTTTTTTTCGAGACAGGGTCTCACTCTGTCATCCAGGCTGGAGTGCAAAGACGTGATCATGGCTCACTGCAGCCTTGACGTCATGGGCTCAAGCAATCGTTGCACCTTAGCTTCTAAGCAGCTGAGACTATAAGCACTTGCCACCATGCCTGGCTAATTTCTTAATTTTTTGTAGAAATGGGGTCCCACTATGTTGCCCAGGCTGGTTACAAACCGCTGGGCTCAAGCCTCTTTCTTTTTCTTTTTTTTTTTTTTTTTTGAGATGGAGTTTCGCTCTTGTTGCCCAGGCTGGAGTGCAATGGTACAATCTCAGCTCACCGCAACCTCCACCTCCTGGGTTCAAGAGATCCTCCTGCATCAGCCTGCCGAGTAGCTGGGATTACAGGCATGTGCCACCAGGCCCGGCTAATTTTATATTTTTAGTAGAGATGGGGTTTCTCCATGTTGGTCAGGCTGGTCTCGAACTCCCGACCTCAGGTGATCTGCCCACCTCGGCCTCCCAAAGTGCTGGGATTACAGGCGTGAGCAGCCACGCCCAGCACCTCTTTATTTTTCTTCCCATCACATATCTCCTATGTTTAAACGTCTCTTAACCACCTATCTCCACCTACTAGAAAGTGAGCTTCATTAGGACATGAAGGTT
The DNA here is from genome assembly GCF_000001405.40 of Homo sapiens. Lineage (NCBI taxonomy): Eukaryota > Metazoa > Chordata > Mammalia > Primates > Hominidae > Homo > Homo sapiens. The sequence goes on from NC_000002.12 coordinate 85,400,143, forward strand.
TTGTTTGGCTTTGCTCACCACTGTGGGCCCACTGCTAAAACAGAGCCCGGCATGGATTTAGGCGCAAAATAAATATTGACTGACTGAGTGAAGGACTGGATGGGTGAATGGCTGAATGGCTCCTTGAGCGCAGCATCTCACACTTCTACCCACCGCCCTGCCAGGCAGAGCCCCTGTCACCTCTCCTTTTCTGGTAATGGCGAGGTCTGTTCACCTGTCCCCTTCCTTGTCTCAGCACGTGTAGTCCTCACCAAGAGCTCCTGGATTGATCTCCCTGCCCCAAATCTTCAGCGCCACAAGACGCAGCCCATACTCCTCAGCCAGCCAATCTCCTCATGACCTAGGGCTCACCTTCCACCTTGCTTAGGAATTTCCCTCCCCCTGCTCCTGTCCCCCAGCCCGGGTCCCAGTCTCACTAGACCCCTGGTGTGTGCATGTCTGCACCCTTCCCCACCTTGGTGGCTCAGCTCACCTTCTCCCTTTGCCTGGAGTGGCATCTCCCCTCCTATAGGTCTAGTCCAATGTCACCTTCCTGGGACAACTGGCTTCGGCTCAGGCTAGAGGGCCCCTCCCTGCCCCAAGACCCCCCCAGCACATGGCAGCTGTCCCCCTTAAAGCCCTCATCACATCCTGCCTCAGGTTATGGCAAGTGACTGGCCCATCTTGGCTGCCTCCCCAGAGCGAGCTTTTATGGTCCCTGTGCTGGCTCAGAGAGAGCATCATAGATTCACTGAACGAAGAGATAAATGACTGAATTAATGAATGGTCTGGCAGGCAGTGAACTCAGAGGCTTCCAAGAGGAGGGAAAAAGCTCCAGAGCATCAGAGGCAATGTCTAGATGGCAGAAGGAGGCTGGCATCAGTCCTTACAAATATAGGGACATTCTCCAATGGTCAGAGTGATCTCACTTGGAATGGGTTTACGGCTTCTCAGCTTCTCTCCCTCTTTCCTGGCCTCCTGCCCCTCCGTCCTTATAAAGGATGGTGCCAATACGGAGTGCTCAGTCTGGCCAGCCTACCCACCTGGCCCAGGTCCAGGATGAAGCAGTCCCCAGTGTTGAAGCTGTCCCAGTTCAGTGCCCGCTCGGTGGCACGGATGTTCTTCTTCCCCTTCACCTGGTAGAGTTTCTTGATGGCAGCTGGGGCTCCTGTGGAGGTCTTGTGAAATGCTGACTCCACACCACCTTCCTGCAGCCCAGACGGCCCATCTGAGTGGACTGACAGGAGACCCAGAGCCCTCTGCACCCCATCCCACTGGAAGACGGGCAGAAAGGTGGGGACCCGGCTCCAAAGGCACCCGGGTCTTCTGCAGGGTGAGAACCAGCCAGAAGCAGGGCTGGCTCTGAGGGAAGCTGCAGGGTGGGGGTGCCTAGAGGTGGGCTCTGACCTGGTACTTGAGGCCCCGTGGGAAGTAGCTCATGAAGAGGTCAGACTCATTGCCCTGCACCTCGCGGTGCTGCACAGGCCGCTCTCCCAGCAGCGTGTTGAGGTGCACAGCCAGCACGGCACAGGCCCCCTGCTCATCCCGGGATGACTGCTGGCCTGGGACAAGTGGGAGAGGGCAGGGCAAGGCCCTTGTGATCCATACCAGCCCCCTCCCTCCCCTTCCTGGGCCCAACCTTCCCCCATCCAGATCCCCTTACCTATCCACAGGTGCAGATGGGAAACCTCTTCTGGGCCATTGTGCAGCACTAGGTAGGAGTCCCCCGAGAAGAAGACGCCCTGGTTCTCTTGCGCCACAGGCACCGGCTTCAGCTTCTCCACCCGCCACACATGCAGGCCTGGATCCTGCACTGAGCCTGGGAATGGAGAGCCACTGCGAGAAGAGAGAGGGTTGACAGCAGCCTGGACCCACTTGCCCAAGCACAGCCCTGGGCAGGCCTGGCGACTGCAGTCTGGGGATGAGGAGAGCAGTGGGGAGGGGCAGCCCTTGGAGGTAAAGAAGGGGAAGTTGTGAAAGGAGATGGGGCATGCAGCTTACCTCTGGGGAATGGCTGTGTACATGCTGTCTTCAGATCTGGAAAGAAAGAAGAAGCCATTATTATTACAAATGCCACAAAAAGGACCTCTCACGTGGGGCTGGAGAGGCCCTTTCCAGTGGCCAAGTACTTTCATATTCATCAACTACTCCACCTCTAGGAGCCCTAGTTCCATTATGCAGACAAAGAAAATGAGTCTCAGAAATGAGTCCAAGGCCACACAGCTAGTGAGTGGTTCATGGAAATAAGGTCTCTGACCCCTGGGCCAGGGTCTTCCGTCTGCTGAGATCTCACAGAAATTAAAATAAAAGCAGAAATTAACAGAAAACAGAAACAAGAGAGAAGAGCAATGAATTTTTTTTTTGAGACTGAGTCTCACTCTGTTGCCCAGGCTGGAGTGCAGTGGTGCGATCTCGCCTCACTGCAACCTCCGCCTCCCGGGTTCAAGTAATCCTCCGGTCTCAGCCACCCAAGCAGCTGGGATTACAGGCAACACCATCACACCTGGCTAATTTTTGTATTTTTAGTAGAGATGGGGTTTTGCCATGTTGCCCAGGCTGGTGTTGAACTCCTAACCTCAAGTGATTTGCCCATCTCAGCCTCCCAAAGTGCCGAGAGTATAGGCATGAGCCACCATGCCTGGCCTCAAGTTGGCTTTTTTTTTTTTGGAGACAGAGTCTCACTCTGTCACTCAGGCTGGAGTGCAGTGGCGTGATCTCAGCTCACTGCGACCTCTGCCTCATGAGTTCAAGTGATTCTTGTGCCTCAGCTTCCCAAGTAGCTGGGATTACAGGCCCACACCACCACGCCTGGCTAATTTTTGTATTTTTAGTAGAGACAGGGTTTCACCATGTTGGCCAGGCTGGTCTTAAACTCCTGACCTCAGGTGATTCACGCGCCTCAGCCTCCCAAAGTGTTGGTATTACAGGCGTGAGCCACCGTGCCTGGCAAGTTGTTTTTTTAAACCGATAAAATTGATAAATCTTTAGACAAACTGATTAACAGAAAGAGAAAACACAAATATCAATACAGAAATGAGAGATGTGAGATCACCATAGATTTTACAGATATTAAAAGGATAAAGGGAATATTATAAAAACTTTATGCCAATATATTCAACCACTTATATAAAATGGGCAAATTCCTTCAAAGACACAAATTATGAAAGCTCATTCAAGAAGACACAGATTATCTGAACAGTGGCCATATCTATTAAAGAAAATAAATTTGTAGTAAAAAACTCGTTCCCCCGCCAAAAAACCCAAGCCCAGATGGCTTCCCTGGTAATTTCTACCAAAAATTTAAAAAGGACATAATACCAATTGTACACAAAATCTTCAAAAAAAGAGATGACAGAACACTTCTCAATTCATCCTATGCTGCCAACATTCTCCTGATAACAAAACCAGATAAATATATTATGCAAAAAGAAAATTACAGATCAGTATCTCTCATGAACATACACATACAAAAATTAACACAATTTGGCTGGACACGGTGGCTCACGCCTGTAATCCCAGCACTTTGGGAGGCCAAGGTGGGTGGATCATGAGGTCAGGAGTTCGAGACCAGCCTGGCCAACATGGTGAAACCCTATCTCTACTAAAAATACAAAAATTTGCTGGGTGTGGTGGCACGTGCCTATAGTCCCAGCTACTCAGGAGGCTGAGGCGGGAAAATTGCTTGAACCCAAGAGGCAGAGGCTGCAGTGAGCTAAGCCCATGCCATTGTACTCCAGCCTGGGTGACAGAGTGAGACTCCATCTCAAAAAAAAAAAAAAAAAAAAAAAATTAACAAAATTTTAGCAAATGAAATCAAATAATATATAAAAAATAAACCATGATGACCAAATGAGGTTTATCCCAGGAATGCAAGGTTGGTTTAATATCTGAAAATCAGGGTGATGATAGCTAATAATAATGCAGTGTATATTTCAAGATAGCCAGAAGAGAGGATTTGAATGTTATCATCACAAAGAAATGATAAATGTTTAAAGTGATGGATATGCTAATTACCTTGATTTGATCATTATACAATATATACACATACATTGCATATGTACAATGAAACATCACACTGCTCCTGCTAAGTATGTGCAATTATTATCTGTCAATTATAAATTTAAAATAAATAAATAAAGCCGCTCACAACGCAAAAAAAAAAAAAACAGGCCAAAATTTGAAAATCAATGCTATACACCCTATTAACAAACATGTATGTGTAATCACCTCAATAGATGCAGAAACAGCATTTAGCAAAATTCTACATTCATTCCTAGTTTAAAATTTTTTCAAGCCTGGGCAATATAAGGAGACCACAACCCTACAAAAATTTTAAAAATCAGCCAAGGCCAGGTGCAGTGGCTCACACCTGTAATTCCAGCACTTTGGGAGGCCGAGGTGGGTGGATCACGAGGTCAGGAGTTCGAGACCAGCCTGGCCAACATGGTGAAACCCTGTCTCTACTAAAATACAAAAATTAGCTGGGCATGGTGGCATGCGTCTGTAATCCCAGCTACTTGGGAGGCTGAGGCAGGAGAATTGCTTGAACCCAGGAGGCAGAGGTTGCAGTGAGCTGAGATTGTGCCACTGCACTCCAGCCTGGGTGACAGAGCAAGACTCTGTCTCAAAAAAATAAAATAAAATAAAATAAATAAAAATCAGCCAAATGTGGTAGTGCAAGCCTGTAATTCCAGATCCCAGCTACTCAGGAGGCTGAGGAGTGAGTATCGCTTGAGCCCAGGAGATAGAGGCTGCAGTAAGCCAAGATCATGCCACTGAACTGCAACCTGGATGACAGAGTAAAACCCCCTCTCAAAAAAAAAAAAAAAATTTTTTTTTTACCCACAAACTAGGAATAGAAAGAAATTTCCTTAACCTGTTAAAAAGGCATCTATTAAAATACAACAAACAAACAAAAACCCTTCACCTAACATTATATTTAATGGCTGCTCTAATTCTAAACTCCCTCCCTGAGAAATTTCACCCACTCCCAGGCATCAGCTATCAATTCTGTATGCCCAGCTTCCCTCAAATGCCAGAATGATGAACACTTTTTCTGGACAAAAGTCATTCAAGGGAAAAAATGCTAAACGCAAGTATTTTTTAAAAAGATATTATCTTTTTAAAAAATTCAGAAAATGCAACAGCTACGGCTCCACTCACTGTCGCTTTCATAGGTTCCCATCACTAGAGGATTTCTTTTTTTGGCTCAAAATGCAGAGATCACAGAGCCAGCATGCACTTCGTACATAATACAATTCATGCTGTGCATCCATTTGGACAGAGTTTGTGTAAGATGAGCCCCAGTGGCACAGGGTAAGGGCTTGGGGAATTGGAGGGTAAAAATGCAAGCTGGCACCATTAGGAGATTCTTGGGGGCTGGGGCAGCAGGATCAGGAAGTGCAATATTTCGCAGGGGCCAGGGAAGTCAGGGGTAGGGGGAAGGCAGATGACAGAGCAGAAGGTATTAAGTCTGAGTAGGAAACAAAGAGGGACAGGTCAAGGGCAGTGATAATGGATGTGAAATGCTGTGTGAATTATGACTTTCCTTTTCCTTTCCCAACCTACAAAATAGTGGAAGGCATATTTTGGCACCACGATTCCGGAAGAGGACATGCAGAGAGCAGAGGTTTGCGGAGGGAAACTTTAACGTTTCTCCATCCCACAGAGGATCACATGCTGTGCCCACATCCCCTGCAACAGGCAGCCCAGCCTGTGACTCAGGCCTGAGCTGGTGAAGTGGCTGCCCCAAGCTCAAGCCATCAGGGAGCGCTCAAGAATGAGACACGGAGTGCGCCAATTGTCACCTTTACTATTTTTCATTCTGTGTTTAACTCAAAATCAGGCAGCCTACATGCCAGAGAGCCACATCAGGGTTTGGATGAAAGGGGTTTGGCAGGCCGGGTGCGGTGGCTCACGCCTGTAATCCTAGCACTTTGGGAGGCCGTGGTGAGCAGTTCACTTGAGGTCAGGAGTTCGAAACCAGCCTGGCCAACATGGTGAAACCCCGTCTCTACTAAAAGCACAAAAATTATCCGGAAATCACTTGAACCTGGGAGGCGGAGGTTGCAGTGAGCCAAGATCCATGCCACTGCACTCCAGCCTGGGCAATGGAGTGAGACTCGGTTTCAAAAAAAAAAAAAGAAAAGAAAGGAGTTTGGCTGCTCATTAGAATGACCTTGGGACCTTATTAAAATGTCGGTACTGACAAAGATTCTTTGCTTGGCCAAACTTTAACTAGGCTTCTGAACCACCCCGTAGGCCCATCTGTGTGCTTGTAAAATCCGGTTTTAGCAAAAGAACCCTGCTAAGGCCATTTACCTAGAACCCCCTACCCTTGATATCTGGTCGATCTGATAATCGTGGATATCTGATTGGGTTCCTCAACACCCTGCCCCCGCCGCCCCAGTGATGTCTGATCACTCTGGCCTGTATTCAGCAAGAATCCTGTTAGGGGCCGGGCACAGTGGCTCATGCCTGTAATCCCAGCACTTTGGGAGGCCAAGGCGGGCAGATCACCTGAGGTCGGGAGTTCGAGACCAGCCTGACCAACATGGAGAAACCCCATCTCTACTAAAAATACAAAATTAGCTGGGCTTCGTGGCTCATGCCTGTAATCCCAGCTATTCGGGAGGCTGAGGCAGGAGAATCACTTGAACCCGGAAGGCAGAGGTTGCAGTGAGCTGAGATCATGCCATTGCACTCCAACCTGGGCAACAAGAGCGAAACTCCGTCTCAAAAAAAAAAAGGAATCCTGTTAGCTCAGTCTAGCCAGAATCTCTTTACCCTTGATGTTTCCTCTTAGTAATTTTCTTTTTTTTTTTTTTGAGACAGAGTTTCACTCTGCTGCCCAGGCTGGAGCGCAGTGGCACAGTCTCAGCTCATTGCAACCTCTGCCTCCTGAGTTGAAGCAATTCTCCTGCCTCAGCCTCCTGTGTAGTGGGATTAGAGGCGTGCACCACCACATCTGGCTAATTTTTTGTACTTTTAGTAGAGGTGAGGTTTCACCATGTCAGTCAGGCTGGTCTTGAACTCCTGACCTCCAGTGATTGCCCACCTTGGCTTCCCAAAGTGCTAGGATTACAGGCGTGAGGCACTGCGCCTGGGCCATATTTTTTTTCTTTAACAGTGCCCAAGCCCCTGGTCTGGGGATTCTGATTCCACAGGTCTGGAATGGGGCTTGATCACCCATATTTTGAACATATGTTCAAAGTGATGGTAGTAGTGCCAGTGAATTCTGTCCAGAACAGTGTCAAATGCTCACCTGCACATTAGAATCATTTGGGGGCTTTTGAAAAACCCCAGTGCCAGCCAGGCATGGTGGCTCATGCCTGTAATCCCAGCACACTGGGAGACTGAGGTAGGTGGAATGCTTGAGCTTAGGAGTTCAAGACCAGCCTGGGCAACATGGTGAAATCCTGTCTCTACAAAATATACAAAAATTAGCTGGGCGTGGTGGCGCACACCTGTCATCCTAGCTACTTGGGAGGCTGCAGCACAAGAATTGCTTGAACCTGGGAGGTGGAGGTTGCAGTAAGCCGAGATCACACCACTGCACTCCAGCCTGGGTGACAGAGTGAGACTCTGTCTCAAAAAAAAAAAAAAAAAAAAGTAATTTACAGAAAAATAAGAAAGAAAAACCCCAGTGACTAGCTTCCATATTGGACTCATTAAAACCAGACTCTCTAGGTGGAGCCTGGATGTCAGTGTTTGAGAAGCTCCAGATGACTCTAATGCTTGGTCAGGGTTGAAACTCCTGCTGCCTCATTAGATCTCTGTCCCGAGACCTTTTGTTCCAGTCTCTCCTGGGGAAGGGTCCACCCTGACCTCTGGCCTTTCATTCTTTCCCCTATCCCAGCCCTCTGTCCAAGCCCACAGCTCCTTGAGCTTCCTCAGTGTCCATGTTCACCCTTACATCCATTAAAGCCCCCTCATCCTAGGCTGGGCACAGTGGCTCATGCCTGTAATCCCAGAACTTTGGAAGGCTGAGGCGGGTGGATCACTTGAGATTAGGAGTTCAAGACCAGCCTGGCCAACATGGTGAAACTCCATCTCTGCTAAAAATACAAAATTAGCCAGGCATGGTGGTGCGTGCCTGTAGTCCCAGCTACTTAGGAGGCTGAGGCAGGAGAATTGCTGGAACCCGGGAGGCAGAGGTTGCAGTGAGCCGAGATGGCACTACTGCACTCTAGCCTGGGCAACAGAGGAAGAATCTGTCACACACACACACACACACACACACACACACACACACACACAAGCCCCCTTATCCTTCCAGGCCCGTATCAAGCCCCAGCTGTCCAAGGAAACTTCCAGGACATTAAGTGGCCTCCGCCTTCTCTGGGAGTTCTCCCAGCCCTCTCCCCTGGGAGCACATACTTTAGCCTGTTTTATAGCATAAACTGGCTGCTTCACATCTCAACTGGAGCAAGGACACACCTGATGCCTCTGTTCCTCAAGCAGCCCAGCAAAGAGTCTATTCCATTCCACTCAACGTCTGTGCTGGGGGCTTGGCACTGGGGGTGACATGCACAGAGACAAAGAATAGCCCATGTTTTATGGTTTAGCTGCAGGGTGCAGTGAACAAGGGAGCCACCATACCCAGTGAAACCGCAGACGAACTTCCTCTAAGTGGGGAATGTCACAGAATCACAGATGTCAGCATTAGAAAGTGCTAAAGTTGAAGAGGGGAGCTGGGGCCGGGGGGGAGGAATAAAACAAAAAAAAGAAAGCGCTAAAGTTCTTATCTAGTCCTGCTCTGCCTGCACCGCCCTACACATACCCATACACGCATAGTGCAGAAATCTCTTCTATAGCATCCCTTACCATCCTCTTCTTGAAGGCTTCCAGTGATGGGAAACTCACCACCTTACCAAACAGCCTCTTCTACACCTCTTAAAGCCTTTACTTTTCCCCACTCTGCCATAGTGTGGTGAGTTATGGACCCGCCTACCTCCACTACTACACTGTAGGGTCCTTTAGGGCAGGAAGTGTATTTTGCCTCTGGATCTAGCTGGAACCTCATGCAGGTGCTCAAAGAATGCATTTGATTAACTGGACCTGCTGGGCTCTGATTATTAGACTGGGGTGGCACCTAAGGGATAGCCCAGGATTTCAAAAGGCTGGGACAGGCTGGAGCAGCCCCAGGAGGCAGAGAGCAGGGGCTAGGGGTCCCAGACTGCCATGGGGCTGGGGGAGGGGAGGACGCAAGTCCTGCTGGCTGTCCCATGGTCCTGACTTAGGCTGTCTTTGAGGACACACTGGGGGACCTCGGAGAGGAGGTCACCGTTACACACACCTTTAAGGAAAGACTTGACAGCCATCAGAGGGACAAAAATCCTGCCGGGGTCCAGTGGTACCTTTGCCTTCCTCAGACCCTGATTCCACTGACCCCCAATAGGTCTCTTCCCTTCACAGTCCCTGCTTGCCCCTAGGTGTGAAATGAAACAGCACCTCCACTTCTCCTGGTGGAGGTAGGTGCCCACCCTCGAAACCAAACTGAATCTCCCAGCCTGGGACATGGCATTCTCAGAATCTAGGTCCAGAGGCCTCATTTGGGGATTCCAAATGGTTTTTCCCCTGATACCAAATAGGTCTCCTACCCTTCCCCAGGGTCAACCACTTCCTCCCTCCCCACCTCCTACCTCAGACAGTCCACCTAGACCCTCAGCCAAGGTCTTCCAGAGTTTGCAAAATAATCAAATGTGCCACTTGCATTTGAATTCAAATGGCTAGGACTGCCCTGCCCCCTCCCCAAGCCACTCCCACCCAAATAGCATCACACCACAGTCCTGTCTTGGGGACAGGCAGCTTCTAATCTGATTTCACCTCCAGTCTGGCTGAGGGCCTTCAGGAGCAGTGTGGTGGCCTCCGTCAGGAGGTCTGGCACAGCTGGGACAAGCCCTGACCCAAGAGTTCCTCCATGTGCAGCATGGGCACAGCCCACCCATCCTCCCGGGCAGCTTCACAGCTGCCATCAGATCAGGTGCCTGGAGCCTGGCATAAGGCTGGCAGGACAGCAGGCTGGGGGAACTCCACCCTGGCACAATGTGGTATCCAGAAATGTGGGTCTCTGTTCCCAGGCCACCACAGCCAGCCCTCGCCTGCCCACCCAGGAGGGTACCAGCCAGCCGCGCTGGCAGCCACCCTGCCACCTTCACCTTTCAACACTCCTACTTTCCTTTCTTCCTCCTACCTCTGCTTCGTAGGTTCGTCTTCCTTCCAGCCTGCCCCACCCGGCTTCTCACTTCCCTCTTACTTCTCTGGCTGCCCCAACCACCAGCCCCACCCACCAGCCCCACCCCTGGGCTCCTTCCCCAGCCGGTGTGGAGGCGATGTCCCCCGACAGGGAGGGGCAGGCAGTGCTGGGAGGCCAGCAGGCCTGAAGCAGAAGAGCAGTCACTGGGGTGGGCAGTGGGTATGCCAGGCCGTCTCCTCAGAGGGGCACACAGGGAGGCTGGAGGTCCACACAGCCCCACCACAGTGGCCTCAGCCCGCTGCAGGTCACAGCCAAGGCAAATCAGGGAGGGCATCTCTGAGTCTGAGACCAGCAAGGAAAGCCATGTTCTCCATTCAGGGCCTGGGGCAGGCGCGGCACAGCCCCCACCGCTGCTGGGTTAGTCACATTTTCTGGGCAGGGTCACTGGCTTCACATTACTTTTTCCTCCTCCCTCAGTTTGTCTTTCTCCTTGCCCTGAATGCAAGTATTTGATTTTTTTTAAGATCAGTTTTTTGGTTTTTTTTGTTTTTTTTTTTTTCCTGAGACAGGGTTCACTGTCACGCAAGCTGGAGTGCCGTGGCATTATCACCGCTAACCGCAGCCTTGAACTCCTGGGCTCAAGCGATCCTCCTGCCTCAGCCTCCTGAGCAGCTGACACCACAGGCCTGCACCAACATGCCCGACTAATTTTTTTATTTTTTCTGGAGACAGAGTCTTGCTACTCAGGCTGGTCTAGAACTCCTGAACTGAAGCAATCCTCCCACTTTGGCCTCCCAAAGTGCTGGGATTACAGGCGTGGGCTACTGCACCTGGCTAAGCTCAGTTCTCAGGGAATGGCTGAGGCCATAAAACATTCTTCACCATCTTCCGCATGCCATGCTGATGCCTCTCAGGTCTCTACCCTTTGGTCTGCTTCTCATTCACCAGATGTTTATCATCATGACTTCTGGGCCCTGGGCCCTCTGAGAGACAGCCCATCCTGGGTTGACCCAGGGCAACTATCCTGCCTACATCACAGTCACTAGACCCTAGAGCTTGTCTCCTCCAACTCGCTGGCTTTCTGGAGGACACCGAGGTCCTGAGAGCACAAGAGACTGCCCACAAACACACAGGGAGTGGAAGCCCCTGCAAGGGAGGCTCCCATTCCCTTCTGAATCCCTGGGGGAAGGATGAGCGGACTCAGTATGAGGCTCCAGGAGAAAGTGAGCACCCAGTTATGCAGCCACACAAGCGTAGTTCCTCTGCCCAGAACCTAGCCGGCCTGTCCTGGAAAGGTATTGGTCAGCAGGCTGGCTTGAGACAAGGCTCCAGGTTCAGGGTCAAGGCCTGGGGACCCTGGAGCAAAATCTGGAACAAATCTTCCTAATTAGCAGACCTTCAAACAAAACCTCATTATTTGACTGCGTGGGAAAAGTCTGGAGAAAATACAGTACTGGATAGGCTGGGCATGGTGGCTGTCTCCGGTAATCCCAGCACTTTGGGAGACTGAGGCAGGCAGATTACCTGAGGTCAGGAGTTCAAGACCAGCCTGGCCAACATGGTGAAACCCTGTCTCTACTAAAAATACAAAAATTAGCCGGGCATGGTCATGGGTGCCTGTAATCCTAGCTACTGGAGCGACTGAGGCAGAAGAATCACTTGAACCCAGGAGGCGGAGGCTGCAGAGAGCCGAGATGGCGCCACTGCACTCCAGCCTGGGAGACAAAGCAAGACTCCATCTCAAAAAAAAAAAAAGCAATACTGGATGAATGTTTCTCATTGAAACGAAATTGATAAAATTTCACTAGAGCAAGACGGGAAGTTAAATCTTCTCCCCAAAGAACATGGCCTGTAGCTAGCATCCAAGTGTCTCCATGGCCAAACTGCCAGGCTTAAAAATAGGGTAATATGGGCCGGGCGCGGTGGCTCACGCCTGTAATCCCAGCACTTTGGGAGGCCAAGGCGGGTGGATCATGAGGTCAGGAGTTCGAGACCAGCCTGGCCAGCATGGTTAAACCGCCATCTCTACTAAAGACACAAAAAATTAGCCGGGGGTGGTGGCGCATGCCTGTAATCTCAGCTATTCAGGAGGCTGAGGCAGGAGAATCGCTTGAACCCGGGAGGCAGAGGTTGCAGTGAGCCGAGATTGCGCCATTGCACTCCAGCCTGGGTGACTGGGCAAGACTCAGTCTCAAAAAATAATAATAATAACAATAATAATAGGGTAGTTTGGTGGAGGGTGGGAGGAGGGAGAGATTCAGGAAAATAACTAATGGGTACTAGGCTTAATACCGGGGAGACAAAATAATCTGTACAACAAAGCCCCATGACACGAGTTTACCTATATAACAAACATGCACATGTACCCCTGAACTTAAAAGTTTAAAAAAGAAAAAAAAGGATAGTCTGGGTGAGAATCCCAGTAGGGCCTAGTCCCCACAAAACCACAGGCTGGGCGGTTAACCTGGTAGAGTGATAAGAGCTAGACAATTTGGCTCCTTACTAGCTGTGCAAGTGACTTAACCTCCTGGAGCCTCCCTGTGCCCCAATCTGTAACACGTGCATACAGTTAAATGTGAAGATGAAATGAGATCCTATGATTAATGAGCAAATAATACATGCTCGATAAACCCAGACTTCTTTCTCTTCCCTTTAGTTTGCAATGTGCCATCAGCACCTGAGGTAGAAATGTGCCTGGCCACTCCCCTAGCTCCCGGTTTCTCCACAGGAGGAAAGAAAGTTAAACCACAGAGCACTCTCCTATTTCCATCCCCAGCCCCAGCGCTGGAAAGCTTCATAGATTTTGGTCACAACAGCGCATACCTTGGGTGGCTCTTAAGTTCTGGACTCTGTGACCCACGGAGGGAACAAGGATCAATGGGAATCACTGTTCCTCACACTCAGCTGTCTAGGCTAAAGCCTCTCCTATCACCACAGGAAAAAAGGGGAGAGGTTTACACATTAACAGCGAAACAACTGGCTGGGCGCAGTGGCTCACGCCTGTAATCCCAACACTCTGGGAGGCCGTGGCGGGCGGATCACCTGAGGTCAGAAGTTCGAGACCAGCCTGACCAACGTGGCGAAACCCCATCTCTACTAATAATACAAAAATTAGCTGGGCGTGGTGGCGGGCGCCTATAATCTCAGCTACTCGGGAGGCTAAGGCAGGAGAATCGCTTGAACCCGGGAGGCGGAGGTTGCGGTGAGCCGAGATCTCGCCACTGCACTCCAGCCTGGGCAATAAAAACAAAACTCCGTCTCAAAAAACAAACAACAACAACAGCGAAACAAAAGGGCCGGTCGCTCAGCCTAGGACTCTCGGGAGCGGCTAGGAACTCAATGCACATGCTAATGAGTTATCTGGTAACGACGCTCTAGAACTAGTTTTTTTACCAGACGCACAGTGTTCCTACCCTTGTGGTCTCCCCTGAGCACTACTGCTTAGTTTGTCCCAAATGAAGTAAAATAAAGTATTTCTTTAGCACGGACCCACCCTCTCCCGCCTTTTCTTACAGGAAGCCAGGAGACGGCGCGCCCCTAAGAGAGGACCCCGGCTGTGGGAGAAGAGGAGGGAGCGGGGCGCCCCCGAACCGGCTAAGCCCGTTCGACCCCTACATGGGGAGCCCAGGTCCCCGGCGACCGGACCCCGAAGCGCACTACTTGCCTGCCAACGCCTTGCTCCGAGGCCCTGGGCGCTGTCTCAGCCGCCCCCCGCCCCCTGGAGGTGCGCGGCCAGGAGCCGCCCCCGGTGAGTCAGAGGGAGGGGCCCGGCCGGTCTGAGCTGGCGGGGAGCCCCTATGGGAGGCTGGGGCGCCCGAAAGGGTCCTAGAATTGGGCGTGGGAAGGAGGGTATAGGGGAAGCTAAGGACAAGCTTACTGTGCTGTAAACTTTGCGAGAGAATTGCAGTGTTCACTTCCATTCAATCGTTAGGCCCCCGGCCTCAATCACCCTGTGAACAGCTACTGTTCTGTGAGAGCCTACTATGTGCTTGGTGCGTCCTCACATCTACTATCATTATTCCTGCTGGAAACATGAAGTCTTTGGGAGGCTCAGAGAGGGTAACTAACTTGTCCAGAGTGTCACATTGCTAGTTCAGTAGCAGAACTAAGATTTTTTTTTTTTTTTTTGAGACAGGGTCTCACTCTGTCGCGGCACCTGGAGTGCGGTGCTGTGATCACAGCTCACTACAGCCTCAACCTCCCAGGCTCAAGCAATCCTCCAGCCTCAGCCTCCTGAGTAGCTGGGACTGCAGGCATATGCCACCACGCCCAGCTAAACTTTTTTTTTTTTTTGGAGAGACTGTGTCTCACTCTATTGCCCAGGTTGGTCTCAAACTCCTGGGCTCAAGTGATCCTCCTGCTTTGGCCTCCCAAAGTGCTGGCATTATAGGCATGAGCCACCGCACCCAACTGCTGAACCAGGATTCTAACCCAGGCTGATCTGACCTGCAACACCTGACCCTTCTCTTCTTTATTCAGAGGAAAACAGGCCAGCAAGCATCTGCACCAGGAGGCCAGGCCTTCTGGAAATGTGTTGGACAGCGATGGGTCCACACTTCCGCCTTGGCTCCTGAATGTGGCATAGCCAACCCATGAGAGATGTCAGTTGACAAAGAGCATGAGGATCAGGCCATGGCCTTGTGACACAGTGGTAAGATCCTTTTGTGGGAGGCAGCTTCGAAAATCCCAACCAGAATGAGTTTCTCTGAAGTCCATGGGTGGGGCCTGGGGTAAGGAAACAATCTTTCTATCTGGGTGACCTCAGACAAGCACACTCCAGCAAGGAGTCCTCGGAAACCACCTCCCGCTGCCTACTATCTGCCTTCCTTTGACCAACTCTGCTCACTCTGCAGACTCAGCTTAAATATCCCTCCTCTGAAACTCCCTCTGCAGTGCTCCCCAGGTATTCTGGACATCAAGCCACTGGGCCACCTGCATCTACACGCCCATGGGAACACTTCTCAGGCACACCCGATAGCAAAAGTGGATTTGGATCCATGGGCAACCTGGCCTGCTTCCAGACAACTAGGCCTCTCCAAGGTTGTGCCCAGGCATAGTCCTTCCAGAGCATTCAGTTTTTGTTTTGTTTTGCTTAGGTCAAATTTATAGTGAAATGCACAAATCATGTGTACATTTAAATCAGTTTTGACAGATGCAACACCCATGTAACCCACATCCCTACCAAGATATAAAACACTTCTATCACACCAGAAAGTTCCCTCCCCACCATGTGCTTCCTCCACCATAATGTTAGCACCTCTAGCCAGGGACCGTGTCAAGTCATCCTTGCAATCCCAGCACCCTGCATAGCGCCCAGCAGGTAATAGGCACTCAAAAAAATTTTTACTGAATGCATTAACAGATTAGACAGCAAAACCCCCACATTCTAATACTGCCCAGATTCTGTTGCCTCGGGATAATCCCTTAAGACTTCCTAGCCACAGATTCCTCATCTGTGAAACGAGAACAGAAGCCCCAGTCCTCCTACCTTGGAAGGTTGTGAGGATTCAATGAAAGGCTGCTTTTTTTCTTTTTTCTTTTTTTTTAAGAGACAGGGTCTCACTCTGTCACCTAGGCTCTGGAGTGCAGTGGCATGATCATAGCTCCCTGCAGCCTTGAACTCCTGAGCTCAAGTGATCCTCCTTCCTCGGCCTCCCAAAGTGCTGGGATTACAGGAGTGAGCCACTGTGCCCAGCCGGGAGGATCCGCAAAAAGAATGAAGGCCTGGACAATGCAAGATACCATCACCATTATTAATAAACTCCTACTTCTAGGATGAACACCTGGCTGAAGAAACCCAGGAGAGAGAAGCACTGGACACTGGCTTCTGGGCTTAGCTGCTTGGACTCTGGCCAAGGTCTGGGGATGTCCAGGACAATCAGCTTTCTGCTTCTGTGCCCATAAACTCGGGGTATGGACTCATTTCCAGTGCTGAGAAGTTCTGAAATTGCAAAAGATTCTTCCTAGCAAGTTCTCGACCTGTCTTCTAACTACCCTGCCATGTGGCCCTCTCTGGGCCTCAGTTTCCCATCTGTGAATGAAAGCACTAGACTCGAAGGGTCCCTTCTGGCTCCTCTAACTCCAACCGAGAGGCACAGCTCAGGCTGAGCAGTTGCATTTCCTCATCACGGGGGACTGACAGGGATCTTTTGCAATGCTCAATTCTAACATCAAAATTCCCCCAAATATTCCTTTTTTTTTCTTTTTTCGAGACAGAGTCTCACTCTTGTCGCCCAAGCTGGAGTGCAATGGCACAATCTCAGCTCACTGCAACCTTCCCCCCCGCCGGTTCAAGTGATTCTCCTGCCTCAGCCTCCCGAATATCTGGGACTACAGGCGCACGCCACTATGCCAGCTAATTTTTTTGTATTTTTAGTAGAGACAGGGTTTCATCATTTCGGCCAGGCTAGTCTCGAACTCCTGACCTCAGGTGATCTGCCTGCCTCGGCCTCCCAAAGTGTTGGGATTACAGGTGTGAGCCACCTCACCGGCCCCAAATATTTATTTGAAGACATTGATTCAGGATGCTTCTAGCCATTAAATTTGATTTGCAAATGAATTTTTCTGGATCACCTCACAGGCCCTGGGGAATGGCCAGGGGTCTGGGTGGCCATATTTTCCGAATAAAGCTCAAAACCAAAACTTTGGTTTTGCCTTTTCTTAAATCACTGCTAGGTGCTCAGGGGCAACCAGAACAGTGACATGCTGGAATTCCTTGTGACTTCTTGGGAAAGTGGGACTGTCCAGTACAGCATGAGTGGCCTGGGGAGGGCACCAGGTGCCTGGGATGGGGGGACTAGTCCCCCAGAAGACAAGTTTACCCCTGTACAGCCAGCGTCACACTGGGTACTCAACACCATAACAGCTAACACTATTGTGTGCTGCCACTATATGCCAGGTGCTATCCTTGATATGATTTTCTCATTTAATCCTTGCATTTACTCTCTAACATGGATCCTCTTATTATCCTCCTTTGACAGATGAGGAAACAGAGATAAAGAGAGATAAAGTAGGTCAAAATCACTTGTTCTAGGTCCCACTTAGTAAGCGGCAGAGGATAGATGGGAGCCATGTAGTGGGAGTCCATGCCCTCCCCACTATCACCGCATGCTAGTGCCAGTTGTGAGTCCTTTCACATGCAAACAGCTATCTCAGCTCTTTTTTTTTTTTTTTTTTTTTTTGAGACAGAGTCTGGCTCTGTTGCCCAGGCTGGAGTGCAGTGGCACCATCTCGGCTCACTGCAAACTCCGCCTCCTGAGTTCAAGCAATTCTCCTGCCTCAGCCTCCCGAGTAGCTGGGATTACAGGCACGTGCCACCACGCCCGGGTAATTTTTTCTATTTTTAGTAGAGATGGGGTTTCGACATGTTGGCCAGGCTGGTCTTGAACCCCTGACCTCAGGTGATCTGCTTGCCTCAGCCTCCCAAAATGCTAGGATTACAGGCGTGAGCCACTGCGCCCGGCCATACCCTCCCTTTTGAGGTGAGGCTCTTGAAGGCCCAGACCTTTCCTCCAGTGCTTTGAGGTCTGATCCTGATGATAATAACACCTCACTCATAACCTGGACTTCACAGTTTACAAAACACCCCTCCTCCTCACCCCCTCCCAAACTCGGTTTATTTTTGTCGTTAAAGCAGAGTTGTAGGCCAGGGTGGACCATAGGTTTTCTTGGTCACGAGAGACTTCCTCCCTCCCTGGGCTCCCCTCTGTAGTGGTGCCAAATAAAAATCTGATCAGTCAAGCCTGTAAGGTAACTAGCGCTAATGTGCAGAGCCAGTCCTGGGCAGGCCTGTTCATTATTTTGCACACTCTTACACCGAAAGGGCCCAGGACCCTCGCCTGACCCAGCCTTGCCTGCCAGGCCTGGGCTGGGTCTCCCAGCCCAAATTCTCACAAGAGGGCCGACTCCGGCCAGAGCGCGCCCCTCTTTGTGCCTCGGTTTGCCCACCTAGAGGTCAGTCCCGCAGGCGTGGCGGGTACATCTCAGGGTCGGCAGAAAGTGCCACCGGGAGCCCAGCCGGAGTTGAGGGCCTCGCGCCGGGCCCACTGTCCAGATCCAGGGCTCACGAGAAAAACGAGGACGCAGGAGAGCCACACGCCAGGACGCGTGTAAGGCCCCAACCCGGCCCCAGCCTGGGCCCTAGACCCCTAAGAACTACAAATCCCAGCAGGCAGTGGGCCGCGGGGCGGGGTCTCGGAAGCTGCGGCCTGTGGTGCCTTTGCTGAGCCCAGGTCCGGAGGGCCCTCGGGGACGGGAGCACCACAACAGACCCCCGGACACACTTACACACACAGTCTCACAAACACACAGTCACACACGCACACACACACACGCGCGCGCGCGCGCCTTTTGGCCCCTCCCCTACAAACTACAAATCCCGGCAGGCAGCGGGCCGTTGGGCGGGGCCTTGGGTGCTGATCCGGACGCAAAGATTGCGCCAGCCAGGGTGGGATCCCGGTAGCTAGGTGGGGGCTACCCTGCTGGGGAAGAGATGGCCTTCTCTCCTCGCAAACCCAGCTCCCCACCCCTGCACGCGCCCCTCTGCCCTGGAGTCGCTGGTCCGAGCCCTCCTTCTCTGCGAACCTGAGCCCCGCCCTGCCCTCCCTACGAGGTTGGGGCCGTGGGAGATGAAGATGGTGGGTGGGGGGTTGGGCCCACAGCCTGCTAAGCAGGCAGAGTGGCCTCCTGAACCCTTCCTCCATCGCCTAGAGCAAACTCCCATTCCTGGAAGGAGGAGCAGCCCAGACCCTGAGACTGGACTAGGTCTGTTAGGGTCCCTGTGTGGCCGGCAGGACTCGTGGTGAAGCCCGGGGAAGGCCTGGGTCCTCCAGGTCAGGGATGTAGGTCCCAGGGTGTGCAGGCCGCGGTATCTGACCATCGTCGGCGCCCTGCGCCCAGGCATCAATTTTACATGGCAGAGTCAAGGTGAGGTTAGGAGGCTGCCAGGAGGTAATAACCAGGGCGCTCGCATTCAGCATCCTCTCTCTCAAAGCACTCTCCTCACACCTCAGGGTCAAATGTCAGAGCTCTTGTCCTAACTTCCCAGGTTGCCCAAGGAGCTTCTGAGGCGCTACAGAAGGGACTTACCCAGACCCTTCAGTGCAAGCCAGGAACTCAGGGTCCGGCCTGCTCGGTAGGATGAGCTGTGCTGAGGCCCTACTTCATCCACCCTTCTGGGCCAGGGCAGCCTCTTTCCAGAGGCCTCTTCTCAGCTGATTTCTGGCTCCCAAGCGGGAGACTCAGGTTACACCTGTATCGGGAGCAGTGACACCACAGTGGCCAGCAACACATTGGACTTTCTGTCTCCAACTCCATTTTCAGCTTTTACACTTCCTGATCTGGGCATATACTGCTACATACTGGATCATCAAGGAAGGAGGAAAATACCTAGTCAATGAAGGTTTAGCCATGACCTTGTAAGTCAGTGAGATTTCATTCTTGTGTGGTTAGTTCGAGGCGAGCTACTTCCTAGAAATATTTCATTTGATCTCTAAACACCTAGAAACAGCTCCAAAAGGGATATTCAAAGTAGATTGCCCAGATTCTCTTGATAGCAGATGTGGGGTTCATATTAACTGGTCGCGTGGTCTCTAAGCATGCCTATTTCTGCCTGGGAAGTTCTCAAAGGTTTGGTTTTCTGAGTGTTTCTGTTAAAACAATCAGCCTTTTGTTGAGTAGCCCTTTTGCCCCTAGAGAGGAGAGATAGGTACCATAGAAACTTGGAGACAGCTATTGACTCAGTCCCTGGACTCTTTAATAAGAGCCCGTTCTGTTTTGTTTGTTTGTTTGTTTGTTTGTTTCCTGAGACAGAGTCTCGCTCTGTCTCCCAGGCTGGAGTGCAGTGGCGCAATCTCGGTCCACTGCAACCTCTGCCTCCCGGGCTTAAGCGGTTCTCCTGCCTCAGCCTGCCTCAGCCTCAGTAGCTGGGATTATGGGATCACAGGCGCACACTACCACGCCTGGCTAATTTTCGTATTTTTAGTAGAGACGGGGTTTCACCATGTTGGCCAGGCTGGTCTCGAACTCCTGACCTCAGGTGATCAGCCCACCTTGGCCTCCCAAAGTGCCGGGATTACAGGCATGAGCCACCGTGCCCGGACTGAGCCCATTCTCTTATTATTAGAAATCTTATTATCAGAATGTGAGCTTCTGCATTCCAGGGCTTCGCACCAGACCCTCAAGTCAGTAATGACCCTTGGGACATGCAGTGTGCCAAAAGCTGTTGAATGCCCATTCCTGCTCCCTGAAGATCCAACCAGCAATCAGCAGGGTGCAGTTAAAGTCACAGAGCAGTGTTGTTAGGTCATTACAGGGAATGTGGCTAAGGAAGGGCAAAGCCCAGCAAAACTTGTCCTAACTTCCCACGTTCTTTCGCTCTGCGGGCCTTGCCTTCATTTACCTTCCTGATAACTAAAGCCTGGGTCGGTGGTCCTCCAGGCCACGCCCCTTCCACCGTCAGCCTCCGGGCCCAGGAAATGAGCGACAGGCTGCCATGCCCCTCCTCACCACCAGGGGTCGCCCTCTCCCGTGGAACGACTGCTTAGGTCCCCACAGTGGCCCGGGACGGGGTGAGGGGACTGTGGCTTTGGCTCTGTGTACATCATATGGCCTTGGCCAGCATCCATTCTTCTCTGGCCTCGGCTTTTCTGTTGGTAAAAGGGAGGGAGGGTGATCTCAGGGCCCTCCAGGCCCATCAAGGAAGGAGGTGGGGTTGGAGACGTCGGGGAGCCACTGTGTCCAGTCTCTCCTAACGGGGAGGGTAGAAGACCAGCTGGGAACAGGAGAAGCTTGGCTCCCAGGCTCTGTGCTGAAGAAGGAAGCCTAAGCAGGGCCATGTTACATTTGGTGGAGGAGGGAGAGTGTAGGGGAGGAACAGACGCCGGCCGCTCCCGCTAAGGAAGGCAAATTGAGGAAAGGACCCAGTGGGGTGGGGAAGGTCGGCCAGAGGTATCCAGAGAACCAGAGAAAGTGAGTGTGAGGGAGTCCTTGGTGATCCATCTGCGCTGGGGAAAAAGGTTTTCAGCAGATAAACAGCCGGGACCTCGGGGGATTGTGCCTCAGCCTAGGCCCGGTAGTCGAAGACATATGGACAGGAAATGGGCAAGACACGGGCCTTTCAGAGAAGAGAGACCAAAGATGTTTGCAGAGAGGCAGGCTTTGCGCAACCTGTAAAGAATGAGTAAGGTTTGAATAGCAGCTACAACAAATATTGATTGAGAGCCTGCTGTGTGCCAGACTGTGGGCCCGGCACTTGGAATTTGGCCGTGAACCTAGCAGACACAGTGGCTGCCCATTTACATAGCGTGCAGTCGAGTGTGGGAGTTTACAGTCTAGCTGTGAAATAAACCTGTAGGTTTAATTATGGTGGGAGCTCAGAGAGCGGGGTAGGAGACTGTCCTGGTCTGGGACCTCCACTGCTGAGGAAGGGTCACCTAAGCTGGGGCCTGCAGGAGGAGGGAGGAAAGGGGCCAGGATGTTCCAGAGGAGGAATAGCAAATGTACACTCCAGATAAGAAGGGCCTGGTGGAGATTAGAAAGGGTGGAAAGAAGCCATGTCACACTGTGTTTGCAACCACTCTCCCCCACACCCAACCTCACCTGTGTATCCTGTGTACTTGGTCACCTCCTGGGCTCTCTTGGGGGCAGAATCTGGGCAGCGGGGGAATGGATCAAGCTGAAAGACAGCTAAAGAGACTGTGGCTGAGTGCAGGATAAAGAGCCAAGGTGGAAGGGAGAGGGCTGGGCTCTGGGAGACGGGGACATCTGTGAAGAGGATATTGCCATTTTGGGGGTAACATTTTTTGAAGTATGATATACATATAGAAGAGTCCTTTTTTCTTTCTTTCTTTTTTTTTTCTTTTTACTGTTGTGCTGCATATTAAGAATGCCCTCTTGGTCGAGTGCAGTGGCTCACACCTGTGATCCCAACACTTTGGGAGGCTGAGGCAGGAGGATTGCTTGAGCCCAGAAGTTCAAGACCAGCCTGGACAACATAGTGAGACCCCATATCTGTTTTTAAATTAAAAAAATTAAAAAGAATGCTCTCTCTCTTTGTCATATTCTGTAAAGATTGAGTAAATATCTAGAAATTCCACTAAAATTTCCTTAAGTCAACAGGACACAGAATGGTCTGCCTGGGCCTCAGTCACATTGGAGGAGCAGAGAGAGAAGGTGAGTGTGAGGGAGTCCCTGGGAAACAATGGAGGGACTGGGGATGGGGAGGTAGGAGGGGCCTGATCTTTCCAGGCATCAAGAAGCATTTGGTTTCTGTTCAAGGAGCCATGAGGAGTCACTCAAGGGTTTTAGGCAGAGCCGTGACACAACCAGAGATACTACGAGCAAAGGTTCCGGAACAGGGCAGGGCAGGACAGGTGAGTGGGACAGAGGCACACCACCTGGGTGGGACAGAGGGAAGAGGATGCTGCTGTCTGGGACACTGTGCCCTAGAGGCTGGGGAAAACCAACCTCAACTTTCAGCTCCCAGCCTAACCCTAGGAGAACCTGAGAAGAACTAGTGGAATGCCTTCCGGAAAAACAGAGACAAACTACACACCAGACTTTTGTTTGTTTGTTTTGTTTTGTTTTGAGATGGTGTTTCACTCTTGTCACCCAGGCTGGAGTGCAATGGCACGATCTCGGCTCACTGCAACCTGCACCTCCTAGGTTCAAGCAGTTCTCCTGCCTCAGCCTCCCTAGTAGCTAGGATTACAGGCGCGTGCCACCACGTCTGGCTAATTTTTGTATTTTTAGTAGAGACAGGGTTTCGCCATGTTGGCCAGGCTGGTCTCGAACTCCTGACCTCAGGTAATCCGCCTGCCTTGGCCTCCCAAAGTGATGGGACTACAGGCGTGAGCCCCTGCACCCGGCCTGTTTTTTTTTTTGTTGTTGTTGTTGTTTTTGTTTTGTTTTGTTTTGTTTTTTGAGACGAAGTCTCACTCTGCTCACTCTGTCGCCCAGGCTGGAGTGCAATGGCACAATTTCGGCTCACTGCAACTCCCACCTCCCAGGTTCAAGTGATTCTCCTGTCTCAGCCTCCCGTGTAAGTGGGATTATAGGCGTGTGCTATCACACCCGGTTAATTTTTTGTATTTTTAGTAGAGATGGGGTTTTACCATGTTGGCCAGGCTGGTCTCAAACTCCTGACCTCAACAGATCCACCTGCCTTGACCTCCCAAAGTGCTGGGGTTAGAGGTGTGAGCCACTGCACCTGGCCAACAAACTACACACCAGACTTTCTACCCACTGCCAGGGGAGACAGAGGGATGGTCTCTCACAAAGCTCTGAAACTGTGGCAAGAAATGATTGTGCACCAGGGAGGGATGGGGCAGAGGCCTCTCCTAGGGAGCCATCTGTCCCTCGCTCTGTCAGCCCTTCATCACCCATCACAGCTGTCCCGAGTCAGCTGAGTCAGCAGACCTGTGACAGCAGCAGGCGAGGGAGGAAGAGGGGCCTCTGCTAGCTTGTGTGAAGCCAGCCCCATCATCCATTGGCCCAGGACAGCCCCTTCCCTCCCTACTGCAAACTGCTGTCCCCCGGGATTGCCCCTGGCTTTAACTTGAACCCAACCACAGAGTTCCGTTGGCTGTAGGCCCTTCCACCAGGAACGTCTTGGGCCTCTAACCTGAGCACCTGCTCTGGCAAAAATGTCCTGAGGACTCAAGGCCCCTTACCCTTGTGGGACCTTCTTCTCCACATGCAGCTCCCTGCCCTGTCCCCCTGTTTCCAGGCTGGTCTTGAGCTTCTGAGCTCCCCAGCTCCTGTCCCCCTATTTCCTCAGGGACAGACCTCTCCCCACGCACTTGGCCCTAACCTCATGTTCAGAAAGTTCTTTCCTTTCTACCCCACCTAAACTTCACTTGCCTTTGTGGGTTCCCACTCTGCTGGGAGAGGAATCCTTGTGTCATCAGTACCTCTCTTCCACTCCCCTCAAGAAGGGAAACCTGGCTTTCCCATGGTGGCCCCCACATAACCTCCTGTTGGCCTGGCCTCCCGCTCCCTGGCCCTGCCTTCCCCTAGTGCCTCTGTCTTCCTGTGCTTCCTTATATTTGAAGTCCAGGTCACATCTCCCTCCCTCTTTCCCTTCCTCCCTTCTTTTTCTTTCTTTCTATCTATATTGATGGATTTTTTTAAATTATAAAAATAATTAATGGTTGGGCACAGTAGGTCTCACCTGTAATCCCAACACTTTGGGAGGCTAAGGCAGGAGGATCACTTGAGGCCAGGAGTTTCAGACCATCCTGGGCCACATAGCAAGACCTCATGTCTACAAAAAATGTTTAAAAATTAGCTGGGCCTGGTGGTGTGAGCATATAGTCCTAGCTACTTGGGAAGTTGAGGCTGGAGGATCAGTTGAGTCCTAACCTAAACTTGAGGCATGAGTTTGAGGCTGCAGTGGTCTATGGTCATGCCACTGCACTCTAGCCTGGGTGACAGGGTGAGACCCTGTCTCTAAAAATAAATAGTCCTGGCTGGGCTTGTTGGCTTACGCCTGTAATCCCAGCACTTTGGGAGGCCGAGGCAGGTGGATCACAAGGTCAGGAGTTTGAGATCAGCCCGGCCAACATAGTGAAACCCCGTCTGTACTAAAAATACAAAAATTAGCCAGGCATGGTGATGCGCGCCTGTGGTCCCAGCTACTCAGGAGGCTGAAAAAGGAGAATCGCTTGAACCTGGGAGGCAGAGGTTGCAGTGAGCCAAGATCGTGCCACTGCACTCCAGCCTGGGTGACAGAGCGAGACTCCATCTCGAAATAAATAAATAAATAAATAAATAGTCCCAACACTATACAAGTATAACGCCGTAACACTAGTTCTATCTGGTTCCACCTTCCCAGGAGACACCCATACCTGGGTTCACTGTTTGAGTTTCTTGGCATCCATTTGGTGATCCCACTGACTCTGAGGTTTCATCCCCAAATTAAAGTTCTTTTCTTTCTTTCTTTTTTTTTTTTTTTTTTTTTTGAGACTGTGTTTCACTCTTACTGCCCAGGTTTGAGAGCAATGGCGCGATTTCGGCTCACAGCAACCTCCGCCTCCTGGGTTCAAGCTATTCTCCTGCCTCAACAACCTCCTGAGGGCTGGGATTACAGGTACTCGCCACAATGCCCGGCTAATAGTTTTGTATTGTTTTTAGTAGAGACAGGGTTTCACCATGTTGGCCAGGCTGGTCTCAAACTCCTGACTTTGTGATCCACCCACCGCAGCCTCCCAAAGTGTTGGGATTACAAGCGTGAGCCACCACGCCCGGCCGGATTAAAGTTCTTAACTGAAAGTAAGAGAAACAGACTCTAGCTAGTTTAAGCTGGAAAATAAATTATTAAAACTATTCTGTAGCTCATAGCATCTCCAGCAGGGCTAGAGAGTTAGCCAGGAATAATGTCCCAAAGGTCACAGCCAAGCCAGCCTGGCAGAGCCACCCTGGACACTGATACCACTGTTTGCCAATGCCATTGATTTGGGCCCTGGGTGGTGGCACTAAGGGCTCACTCCCCTAAGCCTCTGGAAACAGGATTTGGCTGTCACCACCCTCCCAGGGTGCATTTTTCTTGGTGCCTGATGCAGGTTCAGAGTCTGGCACGGGGCCTCTGGCTGGCAGACCCTGCACCTCAGCGGCAAGGGGAGGCTGGGAAGGCCTCACCTGGCTTCTGCAATTGGAAACGAGGATTCATGAGGCGGAGAACTCCCCAAATGTAAAGCATGTTTAGCAGCCAAAAAGGATGGCAGATGTCCCCTTCTGTTCTTGGTGAGCCCAGCCACCCACATCTCCGCGGCTCTTCCTCCACGTGCTGCGCTCTCCCACCTCTGAGACCTCTGACCACAGCCTGCTTACCTGTCCCCCTGCAGGTCCTCAGAGCCACCTCCATCTTCCTCCTTGCAATGAATCCCACTCCACTCACACCACGGGTCCCGGCTACACTTCGCCATCTTCTCTGTCTGCTGGCAAAAATGACCTCAAGTATTTCTTCCATATGTAGGTTTTCGTCCACGGTTCCAGGCTCATAACTCCCACAGCCCTGTTTAGAGCCTTTGATTATGATGTTGGCTGTGTTAGGCCTCAGGAGCAGGCCTTGGGGAAACAGAATCTCTCTGGCCTTTTCCTGTCCTCCTTTCACCCGCCTAAGGCCGTACTCTAATCTTCCTCCACCTTTCTGATTGTGGGACCCTAATTCCAGAGAGGGTCCTGCCCCATACTCTGGGAGAAGGAATGCTGTGGTTATGAATCTTCTATAAAAACCCAAGAGGCCTGGTTCAGAGAGCTTCTCCATAGCTGACCATGTGAGGCTCCTAGAGTGTGGTGTGCCCACGGAGGGCATGGAGCCTCCACACCCTTTCCCACTATTTCTGCCCTACACATCTCTTCATCTGTATCCTTTGCAATATCCTTCATAATAAACCAGTAAACATAAGTAAGTGTTTCACTGAGTTCTGTGAGCTGCTGCTCCAGCAAATTAATCAAACCCAAAGAGGAGGTTGTGGGAACCCCAGCTTGAAGCCAGTTGGTCAGAAGTTCTGGAGGCCCAGACTTGTGCCTGGTATCTGGGGTGGCCGGGCAGGCGTCTTGGGGACTGAGCCCTCAACCCGTGGGATCTGACTCTGTCTCCAGGTAGGTAGTGTTGGAATTGGGTTGGAGGACACCCCGCTGTGTCCGCTGCAGAACTGATTGCTCACTGGGTGGTGGGGAGAACTGCCCACCCCGCCACCACGTTTGGTCACAGAAGTCTGCTCTGTGTTGACTGTTATTGTGTGAGAGCAGGGGAAAAATCCATTTGAGTTTTATCTAAACACCACTGTGTGTTTTCTGAGGGTGGATTAAGACTACCTTGGGCCCATGGCCTGTTCTCAGTAGCTGAGACCTGAGAAATTTGGAGAATCACTTTGTGCTATGGAAGGACCATAAAACAGGCACTCAGGTGCTGCTGGACAGTGGGGCGTTATACCTTCAAAATGTGAGTTTCTAGTAAGTCCACTTCCAGGAATTCATCCCCAGGGAATATCTATGGTGTGCACAGAGCAATTCCATGCCAAAGATGGATAAAGAGAATGTCCCAATCTGCCTGTGTGACAACATGAGGCCACTGAGGCAGCCCTCTTTCCTTCCCCTTCTCCCAGATCTGCCCAGGCCAGTGCCCCCACCCAGATGGCATGGACTCTGCCCTCTGCCTGGGGCCCTTTCACTCACCCAGGCCTTGGCATTTGCCTATGCAAAGCCCTGAGCAGAGCAGGGAGGTGGCTGGAGTGAGGGCAGCATGGACTGGGAAACTCGCTCAGGCTGAGGTTTACAGTGGGGTGGTGTCCAGAACTTCCTACTGACCCTGATTCCAAACGAGGTCCCCTTGGGTGAGGGAAGTTGCCGCCTGCCTTATGGTTCAAATGTGGAAGAAAGGTCAGCTGAGAGTGGAGGACAAAGAATAGACCCAGTAGAACCAATTCTGGATGAGGATTTGTTATTTTTGTTTTTTTGGTTTTTCCCTTTGTACCAAATGGGCTCCCTGTGAAGCCACCCCAGTGACTCTTCTTGGTTTCTTGGATGCCCTTTTGCCTGCAGGTCCCAGGAATTTTCTGGTCTTCCTCTCCATCCCTGGGTGTCTCCCCAGTGCCCCCAGCCTGGTGGCCCCCAAAGATGCAAGCACGTGGGCTTTGTTTCTCCTTTGTGCCAACAGCCAGGATGCCACCGAAATAATAAGCACAAGAAAGCTCCAGGGCCTTAGAAGTTCTCATGTCATCATTCATGATCGTGGTCTGTGTTTCCTCATTCCCTGACTTAAACAGAGTCAGACACCAGGCCCCAGCCCTCCTTTTTATCTTTTTATCGCCACGCTTCTCAGAAAGTCAAAGTTCCTAAATTCACTCAGGTAACAGAGCCCCTGGAAGTCATGAGCTCCTTAAGGAAGGTCACAATTAGCACTGCTAATTCCATCGTAGGAAAGTAGGGTCCAGACCCAATCCTGGTGAGGTACAGGTTGCTTAGCCTTTAGGGCACAGGCTCTGGGGCAGGCAGAGCTCAGGTTGAATCCCACCTCCAACACTTGCTAAGTGCATGACCTCAGGAAAGCTATTCAACTTCTCAGAGCCTCAGTGTTATGACTGAATTGTGTTCCCTTAAGATTCATATGCTAAAATCCTAACCCCCCATGTGACTATTTAGAGATAGGGTCTTTAGGGAGGTCATTAAGAATAAATGAGGTCATGGGGGTGGGGCCCTAATCTGATAGTGTGGGTGTCTTCATAAGAAGAAGAGTTACCAGAACCGCCTCTCTCTGCACAGACAAGAGGCCATGTGAGGACACAGAGAAAGCAGCCGTTTACAAGCCAAGAAGAGAGGCCGCATCACAAACCAACCTTTATGGCACCTTGATCTTAGACTTCTAGCTCCAGAACAGTGAGAAAATGACATTTCTGTTGCTTAAGCCACACAGTTCGTGGGTTTTGGTTATGGCAGCCTGAGCTGACTAATACACTCAGTTTCCTCATTTGAAAAGCAGGGATAAAACTAGTACTTGCGGCATGACGTTATTGTGAGAATCCAATGAGGAAACACACGTAATGCCTTCCTGCTTCATTTTCCTACGGCATCTTCAACGCCTGGAACAGCCTCTGGCAGACAGTGGATGTTCAATAAATACCCACTGAATGGATAAATACATCCATCAAAAAATGAAGCTGCCACACTAAATATGAGAACTTCTTTCTAAGCGCTTCCCTCGCCTTCATCTCCTTAATCGTTGGTCATCACTCACCAGCAAATGACAACAGTAGTAAAGGGTTTAAGAAAAGTGTCTGCAAGGCCAGCATGCTGTTTTTAATTGGATCTGCCAAATAATGTAATGTTGTCTATGAGTTGAGAAAGGTGACACTGATCAGAGAGCTGAAGGAAGCCTGAGAACCCTGGTCCAGCTTGGCTCTTCCTCTTATCGTGCAGAGGGGCTGGAGACCACAGCTGGGGGAGGCCCGCCTAGGGGAGGCTCAGAGACCTGGGGCTGGGCCCTGAGAGTGTCCTGGATGAAGTTGGTCCAGGGTTGGAGGCCACAGCAGATCTACCTTCCTGGTGTTTAGGAGATGCAAATGATGGGAACAATGGAGCCCTTGTCCCCAGGCCATTTGTGGCAGATCCTGGGCTCCAGGGAGGCAAAGCTCCTCTGCCTCTGCCATGGTAAGATGTGGTCCCGGGACGGCCTCAGGCATGTAAACCTGCCCACCTGGGAGGCCCAGGACTCGGCCACGGGGGTGGTTGCACTGACCCCTGTACTCCCCACCCTGGCTTTTTCCAGGACAAGCTCAGTGGGAGCAGGCCCCGGTGAGTACTGGGACTCCTCTCTCCCCTGCCCTCCCCTCTTGTCTCTCTCTACCCCTCCTCTCCTGGGCACAGCCATCCCAGGAGCTGTGCTGTCTCTGCCTGGCCCCTCTCTGCCCAGGGAGACCATTCACGCGCCTCCACTTCCTGTCAGCACTAGGGCTCCCTGACTCCCGGCTTCCCCAGGGCACCAGCTCATGCAGTTATGCACCCACGGGCACCAGCTCTGCCCCCAGCCTCCTTCTCTGCTGCCCTGGTACCAGGGTACCTGTCAGTCACACTGTCATGGATGTGAATGTCCCAGAACACAGCGTCTGTCTCATAGAAACTCCAGGGCCCCTTGGGCAGAGTTGACTAGAATGTGCTTGCAGGCTGGGGCCACCGCTCCCACCCCCCAGATGTGTGGGTAAGTGACACAGGGGGTCAGAGGGGCCCAACAGACTGGGATCCCTTGCAAGTCAGGTCCCCCCTGAGTGACTCTGCACACCTCCTGCCTCCCAGAGCCCAGCACTGCTGAGTCACAGGGGCCTAGCTCTCCCATCTGTCTTGGCCAGAGTCAAGGGTGCAGGGGACAGGGGATGGGCATAGGTGGAAGGGCCCCTTGTTTCCAGACTGCCTACCTCAGTGGCCCCGTGGCAGCATTGGGAATGCCTGTGATGAGTGGTTCCTTTGAGTTGAAGCACTGGAGGGCGGGTGGTTTATTATACTGGGGAAAGGTGGGCAGGGAGGAGGTGAGGCCAGCTTGTCTGTCCAGACTCCCCAGGTTGGAGAGAAGATGCTCCCAGCCCTTCCTTCCTGCCTGCCCCAGGGACTTGGAGACACAAGGTGAGTCTGCCTACTGAGGTTGGGGTGGGGAGGCAGCGGCCAGAGCCTGCTTTGAACACCCTCTCCCCTCCATTCCTGCTGTGCTGAGCATCCCTTCCTCCAGGCCCAGGAGGAGGACGAGGAGGAAAATAAGTATGAGCTGCCCCCCTGTGAGGCTCTGCCCCTCAGTCTAGCCCCTGCCCACCTTCCTGGCACTGAGGAGGACTCCTTGTACCTGGGTGAGGGCTAGGAGGTGGGAGGCAGGGAGACCAGGTGCTTGGGCAGGGCAGGAGGGTCCCCACAAGACAAGAGGACATAGGCCTCGCCTCTCCTCCCCTGCCCGCACTAAGGCAGCAAAGGAGGCCTCAGCTGGCAGTCACCAGGGCCTCTTGGCTGGGCAGGGAGAGAGAGAGGGATGAAGGAACGGAGGGAGGGAGGGTGGGAGGGAGGAAGAAGAGTGGGAAGGGAAGAGGAGGGGTGGTGTAACCAAGGCAACAGCAGGGGCCTGGCATTCCCCTTCTGAGATCCCAACACTTCTTCAGGCCAAGGGCGGGGGTGCTGGGAGAGCCCCGGCTGCCGCTGGCATCCCACCCCCACTGCTCAGCTCCTCGGCCAGGTTGGGGCAGGGAAACTGCCCGCCTCCAGTTGCCATGGAGACTGGGCTGTCAGGAAGCCAATGAGCAAGGGGAGCGAGGAAAGGAGGAGGAAATGGAGGCTGGTCGGGGGGAGGCGGGAGGAAAATGGGAACCCACCTGGGAGGAACCCACCAACTCACAACAAATGCGATCTTTTCCAGATCACTCTGGCCCCCTGGGTCCATCAAAGCCATCGCCACCCCTGCCTCAGCCCACCATGGTGAGAGGCCTCTCCAGAAGTCCCTCCTTCCCCACCCGCCCCATCCCAGGCTGCCATTTCCCAGTGAGTGAATCTTAGAGGCATCTCATTTGCAAGATTCCCCCACATTTGCATTCAAGAGGCCCCTGAAAAATCAGATGCCAGATGCATGAGAAGCCAGAGCCCTGCCGCTGTCAGTCACTCCTCCAACTCGCCTGGCCTGGTCCTTCCAGCCTCCCCTTCAGCTTCACCCACGGTGCCCTTCTCATGTCTCTGAGGGGGAGGGGAGGGGCTCAGCTGCCCTTCCCTTGGATTCTGGGGCCTGAGGACCCCTCCCCACCTCCAGAGCAAAGAAATCCCTTCCTCAGCTGTCAGTCACTGCCAGCTCCCATTCCCACCTTTATCCCAGTGGGACTTTATGGATTTTGAAAGCTACTACCTTTATCATACATTTCACTAAAATTTTTGTAAAAAGCAGGGAGCGATTCACAGCAAAGAAAGAGCCACAGGGTAGAAGCAAAGGGAAGAGTCATCCCTTTTGTACATTTTTTAAAGCTACACAGATACAAGTGGTCCCATCCCATCCTATCCCGCCCCATCCTTGCCTCCTGCTCTCACCATCTGCGCTCACCAGCCCCACTGTGCCCACAGCTGAAGGGAGCAGTGAGCCTGCCGGTGGCCGGAAAGCAGGGACCTATCTTTGGGAGGCGAGGTAATGGGGATGTCCTCTCTTTCTGTGGCTCCACCCTGGGACGGGGAGTACTCCCGCCACGGGGTAGAGCTGTGCTTGCCTGACATGGGTCTCATACTCTGCCCCTTCATGGCACTCCCCTGGCTGTGCCCCTTTTTAACCTACCAATCCTCTAAGGTAGGCAGGCAGGTGGCGTTGCCTCTAATGAAATGAATGAGGAGACTGAGGCCCAGAGATATGAAATATTGTGCCTAAGATCACACAGAAGCAGAGTCTGCTCTTTTTTTTTTTTTTGGCTCGGCTGCTCTGATTTTTTTTTTTTTTATTGAGTCGGAGTCTCGCTCTGTTACCCATGCTGGAGTGCAGTGGCACGATCTTGGCTCACTGCAACCTCTGCCTCCCGGGTTCAAGCGATTTCTGGCTAATTTTTGTATTTTTATTTATTTATTTTTTTTGTTTTGTTTTGTTTTGTTTTTTTTTTGAGACGGAGTCTTGCTGTCGCCCAGGCTGGAGTGCAGTGGCGCAATCTCGGCTCACTGCAGGCTCCGCCCCCTGGGGTTCACGCCATTCTCCTGCCTCAGCCTCCCGAGTAGCTGGGACTACAGGCGCCCGCTACCACGCCCGGCTAATTTTTTGTATTTTTAGTAGAGACGGGGTTTCACCGTGTTAGCCAGGATGGTCTCGATCTCCTGACCTCGTGATCCGCCTGCCTCGGCCTCCCAAAGTGCTGGGATTACAGGCGTGAGCCACCGCGCCCGGCCGAATTTTTGTATTTTTAGTAGAGACAAGATTTCACCATGTTGGCCAGGCTGGCCTCGAACTCCTCACCTCAAGTGATCTGCCCGCCTCAGCCTCCCAAAGTGCTGGGAATTACAGGCATGAGCCACTGTGCCCAGCTGCTATGATTTTTTGAACAGTCCAAAGTCATTTGGAGCCAGGCCTGCCAAGTCAGTTGGGAGGTCAGGAAAGGTGACACCATAGGGCTGTGCAGAGAACCATCAGGGGATGAGAAAAGCTTTCTCCTGGGGCTTCAAAGCTGGCTCTGAGATGTCCTCCTCGGAGGCACCCTAAGGAGACTCTGCTTTTTCAGCCTCAGTCCCGCTGAATTCCTTTCTGCTCCCTGCCGTGCATGACAGGTGGTTCTCTCCTTTTCCTTTCAGAGCAGGGTGCATCGTCCAGAGTGGTGAGCAGCCCCTCCATTTCCACCTCAGTTTCCAGGCTTCTGGTTAAGAAACTGGCAGGGGTGGGGTGGGGCCTAGGGAGGGCCAGGAAATATCCCTGAAACCAAGGGAAAAGGCCCAGAGCAGGGCCCCTGCCCCTCAGCCACAGGCCCCTGGCAGGCAATGAGCCAGCTGTCCTGAGGGTGCCGCCCAGGGATCCTCCTCACACTCTCTGAGAGCTGGGGCCCATGGGCGCCTCTGAAGGGGAAGGTGCTCGTGGGATGCCCCCTCTGAGACAGAGGAGAAATTGTAATCATTCAAGCTAGCTCCCAGAAAGAGGGTCACCATGTGAGGAGGGAGTGAGGTGCCTGCCACCCCTTCAAATCGATGGCTCCTCCCCCAAAACCCCAGTCCTAAATGGAGCCTCAGGACTGGTCAAACCCATGGTCTCACACACCCCTCCCTACCTTAGGTGCCAGGCCCTCCAAAGAAACCTGATGAGGACCTCTACTTGGAATGTGAGCCGGATCCAGGTGAGCCCCTCCCTCAGCTCCAGACCCCTCCTGCCCGAGGCCCTCAGCTGCTCACAGCACAACACACTCTCCTGGCTCCATCTGCTTCCCTTGCTGCCTCTCACCACCCCCCACCAACACGCATTTGCCTTCAGTCACCGCATGGACATCACACTCCTGCCTGTGGTCCAGGCTGACCCACACTGTGCCAGCAAGGGAGGTGCTCCCCTTAGAGCATGGGCTGGGTGGGGCTCCCCAGCTGCTGCGGCCAGGACAGCATCTGCCTCTGGTTGGAAGCACTCCCAGAAAGTCCAGGCTGCAGAGAAGCAGCAGGCCCTGCAGCTGTTCTCAGCCCTGCCCTGGTCAGCATGGATTCCCTGCCTGGTGCTCAGCCGAGCCCAGCCTGCCCCTCCCTGTTTCAGTCCTGGCTTTGACTCAGACTCTCAGCTTCCAAGTCCTGATGCCCTCAGGCCCTCTGCCCAGGACATCAGTGGTGCCCAGGTAAGTGCCCCACCAGGTGTGCACCTGTGTGTATGTATGTGAGACACAGAGAGAGACAGCACCCCAGTTCAGGCTTCCCCAGCCCTGACCCTGGGATGGAATCTCCTTGCACTGTCCCATGGTTGTTGGCAGTGGTGGCAGGGGCAGCTTGGAATGCTGGGTTCACTGGCCCTTTCTCTTGAAAAACATAAAGACCCTGAGTTCTGTCCCCCGATTTGCTTCCCACAGGCCTACCACAGCCCCCCAGGAAACTCGGAATGTAAGAGGCTGATGGTCAGGGGAGAAGAGAGGGAGGCAGGGAGGGAGGCTCAGGGTGGGACCTGGGGCCCGGCCTCTTCTGATCAGACCTCCTGTATGCCAGGGAACAGCAGATGCTGCCTCTAAAGGTGAGTAAAGGCTGGTCCAAAGGTAGTGAGTTATCCCAACTGATTGTTCACAGTCAGTTACAGATCAAACTCCTTGTTCTACCCTTTCCCCACTTCTCACTACTGCACTTGACTAGACTTAAAAAAAAAAAAAAAAAACTAGGTGAATGCAGGCATCTTCAGCATGAATGCAGGTGGTCCTGCCAGGGCCTGCCCCAGCCCCAGCCCTGCAGGCCAGACTCCCTCAGGCCCCAAGTTACTGAGGATGTCCCTGAAGCTCTGACTCCAGCTGAGATCAGGCCTGAGGGGACCCTCTTGGGCATTTTCCGGTGCCTGCACCAAATCAGGAAGCTCCTAGTCTGTGCCCCAAGATCACGCCTCATTTGGAGGTCACACGAGGCCTGGCTGGTGGGTCCTGCCAGGGCACTGGATCTGGAGAGTGGAGGAAGCACTGGGTGCCGGGGTTTGGGCTCGGGGCCATGTACGCCTCCTCCTACCCCCCACCCCCGCAGCTGTCCCCTAGAAGCCACCTTTGCCCACCCCCACCCCACCCCACCCCACCCCAGCTCAATAATCTGCTTCTTCTAGAAGGAAGGAAATCGTCTCTTCCCTCTGTAGCCCCCACTGGGAGTGCCTCAGCTGCTGAGGTGAGGAGGGGCTGGGAGCAGGCTGTAGGGAGAGGTTCCGGGAGCAGAGCCTGAGAGTCCTTACCCAGGAACCCTCTTGGGCTGAAGGGTGCACCACTGCAAGAACACATTGAACACACGTGTGCGGCACCCCGCCGTGCCCCAGACAGGGACACCACTTTGTTCTGCCTGAGGGGGACTCAGTTGAGCATAGGAGATGGGAACATAAATAACTGCACCCTGGGTCCTCGGCTCCGCATGCCTGATTGAGTGCCCTGGCATGTTTCTGAGTGACTGTGTGTATGCACAGGACAGTGATCTGCTGACTCAGCCTTGGTACTCGGGGAACTGTGACCGCTATGCTGTTGAGAGTGCCCTGCTCCACTTACAAAAGGTGGGCAGCCACGGACCCCGGGTCTTCTCCAAAACCCCTTTTGCTCACAGGCTGTGGCTGGCCGAGCAGTGGGGAGCAGGAGGGCCAGGAGGGTTCTGGCCCCATCATGGGTCAGGGCAGTGGGAGGGCCATTGGAAGATGAGGTTGATGGCTGGGGTCTCCTCCACAGGATGGGGCCTATACCGTGCGCCCCAGCTCAGGGCCTCATGGCTCCCAGCCCTTCACCCTGGCAGTGCTTCTCCGAGGCCGGGTCTTCAACATTCCCATCCGGCGGCTGGATGGCGGACGCCACTATGCCCTGGGCCGGGAGGGCAGGAACCGTGAGGAGGTGGGAGCTGGAGGAGGCAGGGGCCTAAGGAGGGACCACAGAGCAGTACCCCAGGCCTAGCCAAGAGCATTTGCCTAGGGAAAAATCTTCATTTTGTATCTTTCTGGGGTGGGCAGAAATGACAGAGCCCAGAGCCCTGAACTCCTTCCAGACACCTGGCCCTCTGGTGGGGGAGGTGCCCCTCCTGCCATGGCTCAGTCTGCACAGGGTCGAGGTGGGGCCTTTGTGCCTTTAATGAACCCAGCTGGGAGGAGGGCGGGGTCCAGGATCTTCAGACTCTTGTCTACCTCCCCCAGGACTCAATGTCGCACCCAGCATTTGCTAGGATGCAAACTAGAGACACCCATCACACAGCTCCCCACGCTGGAGGACCAGGGCAGAGGCGCACCCTAGAGTCAGTTTGATCTAGCCTTGGACATAAGAGTCTGGCCAGTGGCGTGCCCATGGGTGCAGCAGCAGGAAAGTTGCCTGAGGCCTGGAACGGGGCAGCAAAATGGCAGTGGAGCGGCATGGGGCAAACAGGAAGGAAGATATCTAGAAAAATGTCAAAAGTCCCCTTGCCAGAGTCCCACAGTTGCCTCAGGAAATTGCTCCCAGCATGAGGCTCATGGGACTCACGGATGCCCTGCCTCCCTGGCCAGCTCTTCTCCTCCGTGGCGGCCATGGTCCAGCACTTCATGTGGCACCCTCTGCCCCTTGTGGACAGACACAGCGGCAGCCGGGAACTCACCTGCCTGCTCTTCCCCACCAAGCCTTGAGGCCACAGCGAAGTACACACCGCCTTTGGCCCCAGTTTGCTTCTTGTCCCGCCCCACCTTGGGCTGTCTTCCTCTCTCCTTCCCCACCCCTCCTCACCCTAGCCTTTCCCAGTGCCCACAAGCAGCATTAATGGGGAAAGCCTGCCTGGAGGCCCAGGGAAGGGTCCTGGAGACCCCACCCCATGCTCACCTAGAGCCTTCCACTGCCCTCTCTGTTGCCTCTCCAAGGCTGACACCCTCTTCCTGGCCTCCAGGAATGCAGGTGTCTGCCCAGTTCACTAGGTCCTGGATGAAGGAACCGTGGTGGCCTAGACCAGTCAGGGGACAGCACAGGCACTGCTGGAACAGCAAAGGATCCTCTCACATCTACTTGTGGGCCTAGGGCACCCTGAGAGGGACTGGCCTACCTTGCACAAGTTCACATTCAATAAACATTTGTTGAATGAATTATTGAATCTGCTAAATGAAGCAGAGGTGTCCTGCACGAGGGAGGCCCCACGGTTCTCAAGTGTCACAGGGCAGACTAGCCTGCAGTTATGGAGATGCAGGAGCTAGGCCCGGGCAGAAAGGGCCAGCCGTTTCTACCCCAGATTGGGGCTTTTACTTTTAGATGCTCTGTGCCGAGCGAGGCCAGGCTGAGTGGCTGATTTTTGTTTTGATTTGTGGGAGTTGGAGTGGGGAAGGGAGGGAGGCGCAGTGCTGTCTCTGACACCCTATTAAATGAGGAGAATGGAGTCCATTACCTACTCCTCCAACACCTACTTACTGTACCTTGCTCCCGGGGGAGTGATGAGCCTGATTTTGGGAGCTTGGTGTTGTCTAGAGGAGGGGAGACAGTGGGCCCCGGGAAACAACTAGATCTGATGCTCCAGTCTAGAGTCAAAGCTAGGGAAAGCTGAACAGTGGCGCTCAGAGAAGACAGGACAGCGGGCGAGAGCTTGGGGGGCGATGGGAGGTGGAGAGGCACTCCAGGTCCCCAGGGGGCCAGGCGGAGCTGCGGGACAGGGCGCAGACCCCGAGGCCCAGGGAGCACCGGGTGGCCGGCGGCCTGCAGGCTGGCGAGGGCGTCGGGCGGCGCAGGGCAGGCCAGGGGGCGGGGGCGTCTGGGGCCCTGGCGTGGCGCCCGGAACACCCCGTGCCGGAAGCTCCATGTGACCGTGACTCCGCAGAAGCCGCGAGCGCAGCGAAACAAAGGGCGGCTCTGCGGCCGCCTCGAGCTCAGGCTGGCACCGAGGGCCCGGACCCCCATCCCACTCCGCACCCCCGGGCCTCCCGGCCCTTCTTGCCCTCCGACCCCGGGCTCTGGCAGGGCCGGGAGGCGCAGGAACCCCGCGGGGGATGGGGCCGGCGGACTGGCACTGAAGACACTGGGATGCAAGCGGGAGGCTGGGGGCGGGGGGCTGGGGGCGGGGGGCGGGGCTGCAGGGCGTGGACGGTCTCCGTCAGTGCCGGCTCCTGCGGATTACCGCCTCGGAACCGTCATTTCTTGCCTGTAATAAGGGGAAGATAATCGTCCCTACGTAATCGTCCTCCGGTTAGGAGGCTTAAGTGAGACATGCCACGTAAAGGGATGCCTGCGTAAAGGGGTGCCTGATGGGGAGAAGGAAACACCAAATTCGGGCCAATTAGCTGCCACTGTCAAAATCGCTGGGAAGACACAGTTATCGGCCAGGGCACCAGGAAGGGGCACGGGCTGGGGCAGCCGTCATAGGGGTGGGGTGCGGGGGGCGGGTGGACACCGGTGTGTGTATGTGAGGAAGGGACCAGCAGCGGAGGCCTCTAGCAGAAACAGGAGAATAGGAGACCGGCAAGACACGCCTTCAGCCCCACTGGCCCAGCCCTGGCTCCCTCCAGAACCTGGCCTCCGTCCTCCACACCCTCCCCAGCATCATCCCGCAGGCCCGCAGGGGCTGTGGAGGCTGGGGAGCTTGGCACCTTGGGCTGGGACTCAGGGTACAGTCAGCCCCCTAGTATCCCCACAACAGCTCTACAGGTTCCACTTCCCTAGAGGAGCTCTCCACTCTGTGGCCACAAAGGCCTCGGGACTCAGGGGCCTGTTGTTACTGAGCCCCGCAGCCATGAGGCATTTGGTGGGGGAGTAGAAGTTACAGCCCAGAGCTCCTGAAGTTAATGGCCCAACAGGGACTCTGATTTTTCCCAGCTTAGGGACTAACTTCAAGGAATTAGCCTCCATTCCTCCCCTCCCTGGGGAGAAAGAGAGGAGGAGCAGCTAGGCAGTGGGACAGTCTGTAACCCGGGCCCTTGAGGGCAAAAAGGAACCTGTTGCCTGCCCAGTACCTCCTCAGCTTGCAGGCCTGAGCAGATGGCCCCTTGTCCAGGGAGCCTTCACCACTCCCCCAGCCTGGGCCCAGGTACTTAGGCCGTCGTCTCTTCACTCCCAGGACAGACCGGCTACTACTGCCCACTATTGGATATTCTGGGCCTGGAATACAGCAGGTGGCGTGTATTTATTGAAAGAGTGATCAAATAGGTCAAGTCTATTCTGGATTCCTCTAAAGCTGATAACATTCTTTTATCAGGGCCTCCTTTGTTAAGTGAAAAGTCCAATCCAGTGCTGTCCAATAGAACTTTCTGTGATGATAGAAACGTTCTGTATCTGCATGGTCGAGTACAGTAGCCACCAGCCACTGGGGGTCATTGAGCACTTGGAATGTGACTAATGTAACTGAGAAACTGAATTGTTCATTCACGATTTAATTACTTTTAAATAGCCACATATGGCCAGGGTTCCAAGTCTCATGCCTTCGCAAGTGTGAGGGGCAGTGGGGAAAGCTGGAGAGGTCGGCAGGGGCTAGGTCTGGAGGAGCCTGGGAGGCCTCCATAAGGCACTGGGGAGCCATGGAGGCTCTGAGCAGGGGTGGATGCAGGAGGGATGATGGTATCCTAGGAGCATCACTCTCGTTGTGTAGTGCTGAATGGGCCAGAGGGGCTGCACAGAGGCCAGGGGAACATTTAGGGGCTACAGGTATTCTGATCATTCAGGCGAGAGATGAGTCCCCTTGATTTTTCACCATGCCAACATCCCTCTAAGCACCCCATCCCCATTTCCTCCCAACCAGCCGGCCAGACTCTAGAAAATTCTAGGCAGGGTCACCGACTAGGGGATTAAGTCTTTGAGAACTGCCGTTTGGAGGCCGGGTGAGGTGGCTCACACCTATGATCCCAGCCTGCTGTGGCGGGCAGATCACTTGAGGTCAGGAGTTCGAGACCAGCCTGGCCAACGTGGTGAAACCTGTCTCTACTAAAAATACAAAAATTACCCAGGCCTGGTGGCACATGCCTGTAATCCCAGCTACTTGAGAGGCTGAGGCAGGAGAATTGCTTGAACCCTGGAGGTGGAGGTTGCAGTGAGCTGACATCACGCCACTGCACTCCAGCCTGAGAGACAGAGCAAGACTCCGTCTCAAAAAGAAAAAAAAAAAAAGTGCCTTTTGGTGAAGAAGCCCGTGTATTACAAACAGACAGTGGGTTACCTGTCTCCAGAGGCCGGGGAGGGTCTGTAGCACAGGGAAGCTGAAGGAGTGTGCAGCTGAGAAGGGCATGAAAGCCTCAGCAAAACCATACCTGCCGGGGCTCAGAGCATGGTCTAAGCAACCTTCTGCCAGGCTTTCAGCTTTGGTTTCTGAAGAGGCAGTCTGATCTTTGGTGAAAACACGGGCAGAAGGACCCAAGTTTCATTCTGGCTCAACCACTCACTTCCTGCGTAACCTTAGCCTCAGTCTCTCCACTTTTATGTTTTTGAAACCGAGTATTACTCTGTCACCCAGGCTGGAGTGCAGTGGCATAATCTTGGCTCACTGCAACCTCCACCTCCCGGGTTCAAGCAATACTCCTGCCTCAGCCTCCTGAGTAGGTGGGATTACAGGTGCCTGCCACCACGCCCAGCTAATTTTTGTATTTTTTTTAGTAGAGACGGGTTTCACCATGTTGGCCAGGCTGGTCTTGAACTCCTGACCTCAAGTGATCCACCCGTCTTGGCCTCCCAAAGTGCTGGGATTACAGGCGTGAGCCACCGTGCCCGGCCAGTCTCTCCACTTTTAAAATGGGGCTAATAATACATATGTCTCAGGATTGTTGTGAGGATGAGAAATGATGTAAATAACATGTATAGGCTGGGCGCAGTGGCTCACACCTGTAATCCCAGCACTTCAGGGGACCAGGGTGGAAGGATCACTTGAGCTCAGGAGTTCGAGAATAACCTGGCCAATAAAAAAATCCCATCACTACAAAAAAATAAAAAAATTAGCTGGGTGTGGTGGTGTGTGCTTATAGTCTGAGCTACTTGAGTCTTCAAGGTTGAGGCTGCAGTGAGCCATGATCACGTCACTGCACCCTAGACTGAGCAACAGAGCAAGATCTTGTCTCAAAAAACAAAACATGGATTTAACATATACTTTGCAGCCATAGAAAAAGAATGAGATCATGCCCTTTGCAGAGACATGGATGGAGCTGGGGGCCGTTATCCTTAGCAAACTAACACGGGAACAGAAAACCAAATACCGCATGTTCTTACCTGTAGGTGCCCGTGCTAAGTGATGAGAACACATAGATATGTAGAGAGAAACAACACGCACTGGGGCCTATCGAAGAGGGGAGGGTGGGAGGAGGGAGAAGATCAGGAAAAATAGCTAATGGGTACAAGGCTTAATACCTGGGTGATGAAATAATCTGTACCACAAACCCCTTTGACACAAGTTTACCTACGTAACAAACCTGCATATGTACCCCTGAACTTAAAAGTTTAAAAGGTCCATATACTGGCTGAGTGTGGTGGCTCACACCGGTAATCCCAGCACTTTGGGAGGCCGAGGCGGGCAGATCACGAGGTCAGGAGATCCAGACCATTCTGGCCAACATGGTGAAACCCCATCTCCACTAAAAATTAAAAAAAATAAAAATAAAAATAAAATTAGCTGGGCGTTGTGGCGTGCACCTGTAGTCCCAGCTACTCGGGAGGCTGAGGCAGGAGAATCACTTGAACCCGGAAGGCAGAGGCTGCAGTGAGCCAAGATCACGCCACTGCACTCCAGCCTGGGTGACAGAGTGAGACTCTGTCTCAAAAAACAAAAACAAAACAAAACAAAAACCTGTATACTTAGCCTAATACAGAGCTTGACATGCAATAAGAGCCATCTGATTGGTACCTAATAATATTAATAACTGTGATTTGGCAAAGCTTGGTTCAGGTCACTTTTTTGCTGCATTTTTAAGGACTCAGTCTTTCCCAATATACACACATACTTATGACGTCTTTAGGCACTATAGGTACTGTAATAATTATTGTTGTTGTTTTTTAAAAAAAATTTTTTTCAGGGGGCTTTCTGGTAAAAACTGGAAAGGCTGCTAGACGAATACTAAAAGAGCTGTAACATTAATAATTATTGTTTTGTCTGCTCACCGGGCTTTCCTGTTCCCCTTCTGGTAGCACAATCCACTTCCCCCACTATAGATCAGGCATGTGACCTAGGTCTGACTGGGACCAAACAGGGCCCATGAAAACCTCTTGATGTTGAGAGAGAGAAGCCAGCCCTCTTTCCAAATCTGAGCTGCAAATGGCCACCTTCCCTGCGATGTGGATAGAGCAGAAGTGAAGCAAAGACAAAGAAAAAGAGTCTTGGAGACTTTGGGTCCTGCCCCAAAGCCGCAGCATTTGCCTTAGTGCCCCTTCCAGTTATGTGAGCTAGAAATTTCCTTTTTGGTTTAAGCTAGTGGGAATATGGCTTCTGATCTTTGTAAAGAAGACTCCAGGCCGGGTGCAGTGGCTCACACCTGTAATCCTAGTGCTTTGGGAGGCCAAGGAGGAAGGATTGCTTGAGCTCAGGAGTTTGAGACCATCTTGGGCAACATAGTGAGACCCCTGTCTCTACAAAAAAATAAAAAGAAAAATATTAGCAGAGGTAGTGATGTGTGCCTGTAGTCCTAATTACTTGGGAGGCTGAGACAAGAGGATTGCTTGAGCCTGGGAGTTCTGGGCTGTAGTGTGCTATGCTGTTCTGGAGTCTGAACTTAGTGGCATCAATATGGTGACCTCCCAAGAGTGGGTGATCACCAGATTGCCTAAGCAGGGGTGAACCTGCCCAGGTAGGAAACAGAGCAGGTTAAAACTCTTGTGCTGATCAATAGTGGGATCATACCTGTGAATAGCCATTGGCGCTACAGCCTGGGCAACATAGTAAGACCCCATCTTTTAAAAAGAGAAGAAGAGGAAGACTCCTGCCAGTACAGGCACACATGTCCTTGAAGTCCAGGGAGGTCAGGAGATTCGTCTGAAGCACAGAGCAGTTAATGGTAGAACGATTAATAGAACTTAGACTTGTCTGGTCATCTCTGAATTTACCATAAACTATACCATACATTCCATTGTTCACTCACAAATAATAATTGAGTGCTTACTATGTGCCAGGCACCAAACCAGCATCTCATTTTTCCTCTACATCTGCTGAAAGATTCTCCCTCCCCAGCTTCACTACCAGTCTCTAGGAACCCTTGAGTCAGGGGAAGACTCAGCCAGGTAGAGAAATAGCCTTTCTCTACCAGGATAGGGCCCAGCACACTCACTGTCTTCCCAGAATCAATACTCCCAGAACTCTTAAGTGCTAACGATGCAAGAGGAGCCAGCGAGCTACCCACCCACCTACCTCGTACTTACCTGCCTACCTACATTCCGTGGTTCTGCCCAGCATGGAGTAAGTCCTAGCCCTGGCCCAGGGACCCCAGCTGGGCCTCTGCCTGCACACCTCTCTGAGCAACTGTGCTCCTGTTGCCCTCATGTCTGCAGTGAACATTTTGGGGGATACTGAAGTTGTTTTCAAAGTGTTTTTGGGCTGGGCACAGTGGCTCGTGCCTGTAATCCCAGCACTTTGAGAGGCTGAGGTGGGCAGATCACTCAAGCTCAGGAGTTCAGGATCTGCCTGGGCAACATAGTGAGACCCTGTCTCTGTAAATAAATAAAAGTACTTTTGATCTAAATTCTCCTGAGTGTTCCCTTTCTTTACTTTGCAAAGCTGGTTGAAGAGAAAGAGAGGTGGCAGCAGCAGAAGGACGTCAGGACAGTAGTTTCCAAATCTGGTCCTCAGAACACCCATGAACCATGATGATGATCACCATGTCATCACTGGTGACAAAAAAAAAAAAAAGAGAGAGAGAAAAACACAACCTGTGGCATGAGCTTTTTTTTTTTTTTTTTTTTTTTGGAAACAGAGTCTTACTGTGTCACCTAGGCTGGAGTGCAGTGGTGCGATCTCAGCTCACTGCAACCAGCATGAGCTTTTTCTGTGCAAAACTATTCCATTTAAGGGC
Source organism: Homo sapiens (assembly GCF_000001405.40). Lineage (NCBI taxonomy): Eukaryota > Metazoa > Chordata > Mammalia > Primates > Hominidae > Homo > Homo sapiens. The sequence goes on from NC_000002.12 coordinate 85,443,903, forward strand.
CATCTTTTAAATGGAAGTCAAGTTCTTCCTCCTTTCTTGATGTTAAACTATATTTTCTTGGCTGGGCGAGGTGGTGGTGGTTGGTATTCTCAACACTTTGGAAGGCCGAGGTGGGTGGGTCACCTGAGGTCAGGAGTTTGAGACCAGCCTGGCCAACATGATGAAACCCCATCTCTACTAAAAATACAAAAAATTAGCTGGGCATGGTGGTGGGCACCTGTAATCCTAGCTACTTGGGAGGCTGAGGCATGAGAATCGCTTGAACCTGGGAGGCAGAGGTTGCAGTGAGCTGAGATCATGCCACTGCACTCCAGCCTGGGCAACAAGAGTGAAACTCCATCTCAAAAATATATATATATATATATACACACACACACACACACACACATATATACGCATATATATGTGTGTATATATATTCTTTCAAGTCACTTGATTTTGCTGGGCCTCAGTTTACTCATCTTTAAAATGGGGTGAGACGGGCAGGGTGGTTGGCCTCAAGGATCCCTAAGGGCCTTTCCAACTCCAGTATTCCTACTGCCTGGGACTATGCCTCTCTCACAGCCTGGGCTGCCTCCCAACTCCCACCCTACTCACCCCAGCACCCTCTCCCCGATGCCCCCCACCAGCCCTTCTACTTAGCTCCACCAGGTGTGCCCTCCTAAGTGTCCTCTGGGGAGAAGTGCCCCTCCACCATGCACTCTGGATTCCCAGGAGATACAGTGGATAAAAGTCAAACATGGGTTTCAGACATTCTAATGTGGATTTGCCCAGCTTCCATGCAGCCGGGAAGTTGGAGGGACAGAAGGTGGGAGATGAGGAGCAAAAGCACAACAGGCACCAGGGTAGGGGCTGGGTGGGGAAAGAGCATTGAAAGAGAGGGAGGTTCTGGCTGAGTCATAATAGCATAGATTCCTAGGACATCTGAGCTGCTGGGCTCTGAGACTGCCTTGTCCTGTCTCCTCACATTATAGATGAGGAAATTAAGGCCCACGGAGGGGAGAGCAGTCTGTGAATGGAGGGGAGAGGGTAACTCCATTTTTCCTCTAGCAGCTCCTCAGCTAAGGGAAAGTCCTGCCTGTGGGAAGGAATCAAGGAAGAGAGATTGGGAAACCGAGGCCAGAGCACTAAGTTAGGACTGACCAGGACAAGGGCCCCAGGCTCCCATGAGCCCGTGTTCCTGCTCCCCCGCCTGCTTTCTGCTCCAGTCCCTTCTCCGGTCTCCCTTCCTTTGCCTGTAGACCTCAGCTCTGCTCTCAGGACATCCCAGATAGCAGCCCTCATGCTCAGAACACACTTTTCTTCCCAGGGTACATCCACTTTTGCACCCCAAGAGGATCCGGAGATAAAGAAGGTACCAGGCAATTCCAAACACTGGGGCTGGGTCCCAGGGAGAACAACTGAGCCAGGTGTCTCACCTGCGAACCTCCTGTCACCTTCAGCCCTGAGATGCAATGGCAATAATCCATGGCCACTTTGGAAGCCTCTCTCATACACTGTCAGCTTGCATCTGCGGCACCTGCAGCTGTTGCTGGGGGCTCATTTTTATATTTAATTTTTTAGAGACGAGGTTTCTCTTGCCCAGACCAGAGTGCAGTACTGCAATCATGACTCACTACAGCCTTGAACTCCTGGCTCAAGCAATCCTCCTGCCTCAGCTTCTTGAGTAGCTGAGACTATAGGGCACACCACCATGTCTGGTTGTTTTTTAAATATTTTGTAGAGACAGAATCTCACTATGTTGTTCAGGTGGGTCTCGAACTTCTTGGCCTCAAGCAATCCTCTTGCCTTGGCCTCCCAAAGTGTTGGGATTACAGGCATGAGGCACTGCACCCAGCTGGAAGATTGTTTTTAAAGCAGTGATGTCATGGCCAGAGAGAAACCAGCCCCACAGTTCCCAGATCAGCCTGGGAGATGTCCACAAACTTAGGAAGGCTTCCAGCAAAGAGGCCTTGGGCAGGCTGGGTGATCTCCCAGGCCCTAGGCTGTGCCTGCCCTTGATTGCACAGAATGTTCACTGCCTGGGAAGCTGGGAGCTGGGACAGCTGGGTGACCTGGAAATGGAGGGGCTGAGGAGCTCCAGGCTGGCCTGCTCCTCCTTGCCACCCTCTTCCTGATAACAACAGACAAGGCTGGGAGGCTCCTGGGAGCCTGCTGCCTAATTCCCAGGGCCTGGCAGCCAGCCCTGCAGCTGATGCAAGGCCAGGGGTGGGTGAGCTCAGCCTGTCCCCAGCACCCAGAGCCTCTTGCACCTGGTATGCCCTTGAAAATGCATCTGTTCATGCCCCCTCTGCCTCAGCCTCCTAGGGTCCAGCTCTATTCCTTCTGAAAGCGTAGGAGGGCCACCTAAGGATCTGGAAGCAGGCCTTGCTTGGGGGATGGGGTGGGAATTAGGCAGCAGGTTCCCAGAAGCCTCCTGGCCTTGCCTGTTGCTATCAGGGAGAGGGTGGCAAGGAGGAACGGGGCAGCCTGGAGCTCCTCAGACCCTCCATTTCCAGGTCATTTCTGAGCATCTCTGAGTCAACCCCGCACCTCTGCATGGGCAGCCTAAGAGCAGTGCGGGGACCACAGCCCCGCCTCCAGGGACCTCTGCAGTGGAATAGAGGGGCAGGGCTCCCTGCGGGCTCTGCCCCTCAGGGTCTGTCCACACCAGCCCACTTCCTCTTCCGGGAGAGGTCAGACAGCCCCTGGGAAGTCTCCAGACCTTCTTATCCCGTGAGAAGATGGACTTTCCTCCTCTGGCTCTCCCCTTTTACTGGACATGCAGGCCCAATGTAGGAAGGCTGGGGCCTGTCACTCTTCAACAGCCCTCAGGTGTCATCAGCTCAGGACCAGGATTCATTCAGCATCTACTTACTAAGAGCTCTGTAATGAGAATGTGACAAATAATAACTCGACGCATATCAAATGCATGCCTCATCTTACAAAGTGCTCTTGCGATTAGTGTTTTGAGGGATCCTAGTGACGATGCTGCAACGTAGGGAGGCCCTAGGTGGAGAAACTGAGGCCCAGGGAGCTGAAGTGGCAGCACCAGGAGTCACACCACAGGGTCTTCCCATATCCTCCTGCTACTTTAGTCCTGCCCCATACACACGCACTGAGCAGGAGGCAGGCTTCCTGCCACATGCTCGACTGTCACAGGACACCAGCTGGGACAGGGAGCAGAGAACAGTGTTTCCCATGGGCAGTGGTAGATGTAGGAGGCTGGGAGACCAGGACTTGTGGATTTAGGGTAGTTGCATGCCAGAGCCACAGCTGTCTGGGAGGGACTGGAGACAGGCTGAGGAGCAGGGAGGGTACCTGGAGCACTGGAGCTGTGCCTCCCTTTACCATAGCTGTTTGCTTAGACAATACTCAACTGTCCTGCTGAGCTCAGGCTGGCATCGGTAGGATTGGGTCTGTTGCCTGGGGATTGAGGCTGGCTACAGGACCGGCTCCTCCAGTTCTGGCCAAGGACCAGTGGCCGTGGCCATCACTGGACTCCTCGCTGATGCCAGGATTGAACAAGGCCTTTCCAGTCTGCCCATTGTATCTGGGGCCTGCCCTTTGTCCTCAACCCAGTCTGACCGTCTCTGGGGGACCACGCACCCACCTTCATGACTCCCGGCCAACCCTCCCAGCGGCTCTTGCAGCATATGCAACTACTGCTGCTGGTGAGCTCAGGCAGCTGGACTCATGGGCAGGCAAGAACATGGTGTCCTGCGCTGGAGGGCAGGCACAGGCTGTGCCAACTGCACCCACCTCTCCCAGACTTAGGCCTGGCAGGGAGGCCTGCAGTGTAGGCAAGGGCTCGCTGGAAAGAGCGATGAGGAGGCCCAGCCTGCTGAGCACTCCAAGTCCTCCTTCTACTCTCCTGTCCTTTCACTGAGAGGAGATCTAAAGAATAAAGTTTAGCTGGGCGTGGTGGCTCACGCCTGTAATCCCAGCACTTTGGGAGGCCGAGGCAGGTGGATCACCTGAGGTTGGGGGTTGGAGACCAGCCTGACCAACATGGTGAAACCCTGTCTCTACTAAACATACATAATTAGCCAGGAGTGGTGGCACTTGCCTGTAATCCCAGCTACTTGGGAGGGTGAGGAAGGAGAATCGCTTGAACCCAGAAGGTGGAGGTTGTGGTGAGCTGAGATCGCACCATTGCACTCCAGCCTGGGCAACATGAGCGAAACTCCATCTCAAAAAAAAAAAAAAGAATAAAGTTTAACTCCTGACTCTGCCCCAACCCTGAACCAATTCCTAGAACCTTGAATTACTTGAATCACTTTTTTCTTTTTTTTTTTTTTTTTGAGACGGAGTTTCACTTTCTGCCCAGGCTGGAGCGCAGTGGCATGATCTTAGCTCATTGCAGCCTCCGCCTCCCGAGTTCAAGTGATTCTTGTGCCTCAGCCTCCCGAGTAGCCGAGATTGCAGGTGCCCGCCACCATGCCCAGCTAATTTTTGTATTTTTAGTAGAGACAGGGTTTCACCATGTTGGCTAGCCTGGTCTTGAACTCCTGACCTCAGGTCATTGGCCCACCTCAGCCACCCAAAGTGCTGGGATTACAGGAATGAGCCACCGCGCCTGGCTCACTTGAATCACTTTTAAGTTTGAATTCTCTTTATTTGTTACTAGATATTACAATCACATTGTATTACATTTAAAAAGTGCAAAAGAGTATAATACAGAGAAAAACAATTCTCCCCCCATGCACCTATGGCTCAGCTGCCCCGTTCTCCACCCTCCAGGGGCAAGCAGTGCTACCAGTCTTTTGTATGTCTTTCCAAAGATAAGGCTTCATTAACCACTGAATTTTTTTATTATCTGAGCTCACACGGCAAGGTCACAACTCGCTTAACTCTTATGCTTGGGATGAGGAAGGACAAACTCCTCTGCTTTGAACATTCCTTGAGAACCAAAAGGCAATGACCAGAGACAGGCTCTTCCCATCACAGGCCCCCGCTCCAGTTCTCTCTCCCCTCACAGCCCTCCACCTGTTACCCCACTGGACGCCCAAGGCAGAAGCGAAGAACAGATGGTATTTTCCTCCTTGTTTCTTAGGAAAGTTGAGGATCCAAGAATTAAGAAGACTCAAGGTCACAGCTAACTGGGGCACCCTCAGTTTTTCATATCATTGCCCCACTTCCCTATTATCTTCTCTTTGCTTTGTAAATGACCTTGAGTTCTTAAATATCTCACCACAACTTGTCTATGGAGATCTCAAGAAGAGGGTCAAGGACTCTTCTTCTTGGGTCGTCTCTTATGAGCTGGATTTCGAGCTGGGCCCTAGAACAGCCCCTCAGCAGTGGCTGAGGATGCTGGCTGAATGCAGTGAGAGAGGGAAGGGGTCTGCTGTTCTTCCAAGGGCACCCCGAGGCCCTGCGGTTTCTCCCAGGACACACACACACATCCCTGGCCACCAGACCCACTGGCCCACGGGCCCTGTGCCTCATGAGTTCTTTTTCGTGCAGTTGGCTCTGTTAATGCCCCTGCTCAGAAGACCAAGGCCGTGGGTTGGCTCCCTGGGGGTGAGGCCTCCTGTGGTGAGACATTCTGTTCCTTGGCCATGAACTGAACAGAGTGTTGCACATTACAACAGGATGACAAAAAGAGACTGTCCCTGCGTGACATGGAAAATGCACAGTTCTCTAGCTGAAAGGGTGACTCCTCCTGCGATCCCCTCCTCCTTCCAGTTCCTTCTCACCCCACCTCTATGATCCGTGGGGATTTTCTGAGATGAGCCCTCATCTATTATATCTTCACATTCTGTCTTTGACGTAAAAGCTAACTTTAGTAAAGCAGGGCTTGGCTGGGCACAGTGGCTCACGCCTGTGATCCCAGCACTTTGGGCGGCCAAGGAAGGTAGATTACCTGAGGTCAGGAGTTCGAGACCAGCCTGGCCAACATGGTGAAACCCCATCTCTAATAAAAATACAAAAAAAAAATAAAAAAAATTAGCCAGGCATGGTGGTACATGCCTGTAATCCCAGCTACTTGGGAGGCTGAAGCAGGAGAATTGCTTGAACCTGGGAGGCAGAGGTTGCAGTGAGCTGAGATCACACCACTGCACTCCAGCCTGAGCAACAGAGCCAGACTCCGTCACGATAAAAATAAAAATAAAAATAAATAAAATAAAGCAGGTATCTCTCTAAACATCACAGAGTGCCTAGAAGAATCAGGTTCTCAGGAAGCAGGATAATAAGAAGGCTTCAGAGGGTATGAGCTGTGGCTGATTAGTAATGCAACAGGGACAAGAGGAGACTTTTATTTATTTCAGAGGACAGAAAGTAGCTGCCACGGCTGTTTTGTGAAACCAGGCTCAGTTCTAGGGTGGATCTGAGGACACCACTGGGGTGAGAGACTCCGGGAAGGGACCCATGAACCAGAGGGGCTCTGACTTGAGAGGATCAGAAGCCCGTGCTGCTGGAGGGAGAAGAACAGGTCAAGTCATGGGGCTGGAATCAGAGAGGGGATTCCCAAGGATGGAGAAGGGTGAGGGGATGGCTAATCTATGGTGTGACAGGCCATGGGTCACAAAGAAGGGATCTGGAGGCTCCATTTGGTGTTTCTACCACCTGAAAATTTGTGTACTCACCAAAGAACTCATCTGTTCTAACACCTGGGACCCCTTCCTGCTTCCTCATTCTGCCCAAAGTGTCACTGTACTGAAGGGCCAGGGTCTCACCTGACACTCACCAGGCTCCCCAGAGACCAAAGCTCTACTGTGGCTGTCAGGCCCCACCTGCCTACCTGGAATTCCATCCATGGTCTCCTGCCAAGTGCTGCTCCCCACGGCACCCTCATTGCCTGTTCCCTCCCGATTTTCACTGCAGGTGGCTGTGTGAGGGGGAAGAAGAAGACTGCTGGATTACACTGGATGGATTGGCCACTAAAAATGGCAGCCTCTGTCAGGTACAGTGGCTCATGCCTGTAATCCCAGCACTTTGGGACACTGAGGCAGGAGGATCGCTTGAGCCCAAGAGTTTGAGACCAGCCTGAGCAACATAGATACCCCATCTCAACAAAAAAAATTTTTAAATATTAATGGCCGGAAGTGGTGGCTGACACCTGTAATGCCAGTGCTTTGGAAGGCCAAGGAAGGCAGATTGCTTGACCTCAGGAGTTCAAGACAGGCCTGGGAAACATAGCAAGACCCCATTTCATTAAAAAAAAAAAAAAGATAAAAGTAAATAAAAAAAAAATTAATCAGCTGTGCTGGTGTGAGCCTGTAATCCCAGCTACCCAGGAGGCTGAGGCAGAAGGATCACTTGAACCTGGAAAGTGGAGGCTGCAGTGAGTCGTGATCATGCCACTGCACTCCAGCCTGGGCAACAGAGTGAGATCCTGTCTCTCAAAAAAAAAAAAAAAAAGGGCAGCCTTTCTTTAATATATCCATAATGACACCAGGCCTCCAGAGTAACTGCTAACAAAGTGCTTGCAGAATCACCCACCTATAGCATGAATTCAGTCTATCAACAACACTAGAAACAGAAACACAAGGGTTCACATTTTATTTTTTTAGAGACAGGATCTTACTATGTAGCCCGGGCTGGCCTTGAGCTCCTGGGCTCGAGTGACCCTCCAGCCTAAGCCTCCCAAGTAGCTGGGATTACAGGTGTGCTCCACCATGCCTGGCTGGGATCATGTTTATTAAACACATCCTTACTTGGCCTCTGAGACACCACCCTTTCTTGGACCTTCTTTTATGTCACTGGCCCCTCCTCCCCCATGTATATTTCTGGTTTCTCTTCATTTTCCTGGTGTCAAAATACTGCACGGCCGCAGGAGTCAGTCCTTCTCTTCTCTGTCCTTGTTCACACTCCAGGTGACCTCATCCAGGCTCATGGCTTTAAGATCAATCTCTCTATGCTGACCTCTCCCAAATTTGTATCTCCAGCCCTGACCTGTCCCCTGAACTCTGGGTTTGAATATCCAACTGCCTAATCAACACCTTGACCTGGGTGTCTAATAGACACAGCTGGCACAATATCCAAAATTAAACTTTTATTTTTACCCTAGACCTGCTCCTTCTGCAGCCTTACCAAACTCAGTAAACGATACCTTCACCTTCTCCATGCTCAGACCAAAACCAGACAAAGGACTCTTCCTTGACCTGTTTCATTTACTCACGATCGACATTAATAACCAGCAAGGCTAGACGTGGTGGCTCCTGCCTGTAATCCCAGCACTTTGGAAGGCCGAGGCGGGAGGATCACTTGAGTACAGGAGTTCAAGGCCAGCTTGGCCAACATGGCAAAACCCCGTCTCTACAAAAAATACAAAAATTAGCCGGGCATGGTGGTGCTTGCATGTACACCCAGCTACTAGGGGGGCTGAGGTGGGAGGATCACCTGAGCCCAGGAGGTCGAGGCTGTAGTGAGCTAAGATTGCAACCACTGCACTCTAACCTGAGTGATAGAGCAAGACCCTGTCTCAAAAAAGAAAAAAAAAAAATCAGCAAACCCTGTTGGCTCTACCTTCAAAATATACCCACCACTGGCCCTGCTGCCACTAATCCTAGCCACTGAAGTCTTGACCACAGCCTACCAGGCCTTGTGTGATCTGGCCCACTGCCACCTCCCTGGCTCCATTTCCTGCCACTGACTTTTCCCTTGACCCCTGCCACACTGGCCTCAGACACTGCAAGCCCACTCTTGCCTTGAGTGTATTGCTGTCTTCTCAGCCTGGAATTCTCTCCCCCAAAACACTCACAAAGCTGGCTGTTCTATTTCCTTCTGGTCTCTGCTCAGATGTCACCCCTCAGTGAGGCCTCCCCACACTACTTTAAGACGAGGAAATCTTCCCACACTCCACATTCTAGATTCCTCCTCTGCATTTTTTTCATATCATATATGTGTGTATGTGTGTGTGTGTGTGCACATGAGTGCACATATATAAAAATAAAATATCACAAATTTCCGAATTTCCTGAATTGGGCGATGATCACTCTAGCTACTTCCCGCTGGATAGGGGCAAAGAAGTCTCACTCCGTCCCTCAGGCTGGAGTGCAGTGCTGCGACCTCGGCTCACTGCAACTTCCACCTCCCGGGTTCAAGCAATTCTCCTGCCTCAGCCTCCTGAGTACCTGGGATTACAGGCATCTGCCACAATGCCTGGCTAACTTTTGTATTTTTAGTAGAGATGGGGTTTTGCCATATTGACCAATCTGGTCTTGAAGTCCTGACCTCAAGTGATCCGCTCACCTTGGCCTCCCAAAGTTCTAAGATTACAGGTGTGAGCCACTGCACCTGGCCTTTTTTTTTTTTTTTTTTTTTTCCCTGAGACAGGGTCTTATGCTCTGTTGCTCAGGCTGGAGTGCAGTGGTGGGATCATGGCTCACTGCAGCCTAAATCTCCCAGGCTCAAACCATCCTCCATCCTCAGCATCCTGAGTAAATGGAACTACAGGTGTGTGCCACCATGCCTGGCTAAATTTTTAATTTTTTGTTGAGATTGGGGGGGGTCTCACTATATTGCCCAGACTGGTTTTAAATGCCTGGGCTCGAGTGATTCTTCTGCCTTAGCCTCCCAAAGTGCTGGGATTACAGGCACGAGTCACTATACTTCTTCTTGGCTATTTATTATGTCCCTCTCCTCTCTAAACTATAAAAACTCCATGAAGATGAAGAATTTGCCTGAATTATTTCCTGCTAGAGCCTAGCAGGTAGAACAGTGTCTGGTACATAGTTCCTGTTAAAAGAAAAGCTTCAGCTGAATTAAATGTAAAAGCTGAGCAAAGAATGATTCCCAAATCAGGCAGCCTCCTGAGCCAGAGTAGGCCCACAGACTGCAGTGTAGCCACATGGTGGAAGAAGATTTATGGACAGAAAAAGGAAAGAGACATACAGCAAACGGAAGCGAGTTACAGAAACAGCTGGATTGGTTGCAGTTTTGCGTTTGCCTTATTTGAACACAGTTTGAACAGTTGGCCACATTTGAATGGCCAAAACTCGGTGATTGGCCCAAGAGTAGATTACAGTCTGTTTACGCTTCCATTTAGGCTGTAGTTCATGATGTACAGAGAAACCTTTAGGCCAAACTTAAAATATATAAGGAGGCCAGGCGCGGTGGCTCATGCTTGTAATCTCAGCACTTTGGGAGGCCGAGGCAAGTGGATCACCTGAGGTCAGGAGTTAAAGACCAGCCTGGCCAACATGGTGAAACCGCATCTCTACTGAAAATACAAAATTTAGCCGGGTGTGGTGGTGTGCACCTGTAATCCCAGCTACTTGGGAGGCTGAGGCAGGAGAATTACTTGAACCCGGGAGGCAGAGGTTACAGTGAACCAAGATCACGCCATTGCACTCCAGCCTGGGCAACAGAATGAGACTCTGTCTCAAATAAATAAATAAATAAATAAATAAATAAATAAATAAATAAATAAGAAAAAATGTAAGGAGGCAGCTTTAGATTAAACTTGATTTAACATTTCCTAGATACTAAAACTGTTGAATGGATGAGGCTTAAAGAGGCTAGATTAGTTTCCTAAGGCCACATAATTTAGTAAATGTTGAAACTCAGTGTTAACTAATTTTCCCAAGGTCACAGATTAAGGAGCAAAGGCAAAGCTGGGGTTCAAGCCCAGGTCTGAATTAAACATGGCATGAAGCCACAGAGCTTTCCACCTCCCCGTCCCCGTCCACCCAAGGCCAACACTAGTCAATGGCTCCCCTCCCAGATGTTCTCAACAGTCACCTTCCTGTCCCGCACCCTGCCCTTCAGCCTCTCCTTAGCGGCAATTCATTCTTCGGAAAGGTTTATGTTCATCCTATAATTATAACATAATACATGTTCAGCCTAGAAAACAAGAAAGAATGTTTAGAAAGCAGGAAGGAGGCCAGGCGTGGTGGCTCATGCCTGTAATCCCAGCACTTTAGGAGGCTGAGGTGGGCGGATCATGAAGTCAGGAGTTCAAGACCACCCTGGCCAATACGGCGAAACCCCGTCTCTAATAAAAATACAAAAATTAGCCGGGAGTGGTGGCGCACGCCTGCAGTCCCAGCTACTCGGGAGGCTAAGGCAGGAGAATTGCTCGAACCCAGGAGGCAGAGATTGCAGTGAACCAAGATCGTGCGACTGCACTCCACCCTGGGCAACAGAGCGAGATTCCGTCTCAAAAAAAAAAAAAAAAAAAAATTAGCCAGGCATGGTAGTGGATGCCTGTGGTCCCAGCTACATGGAATGCTGAAGCAGGAGGATCACTTGACCCCAGGAAGTCGAGGCTGCAGTGAGCCATGTTCATGCCACTGCACTCCCGCCTGGATGACAGAGCAAGACTCAGTTTCAAAAAAAAAAAAAAAATTATAACCTGGCCACTAGTCACAAATCCTGGGTTCTAATCTTCTAATCCCAACAGGAAGGAAGTAAAGGCATGTATATGGGCATAGAAAGACAGGCAGGCTTTGGCCAGAGGAAACAAAGAGGGTTGGTCTCTCCCAGTGTGTCTGGAGTTGGTTCCTTCTGATGGGTTCGTGGTCTCGCTGATTTCAATAATGAAGCCGTGGACCTTCACTGTGAGTGTTACAGCTCTTAAAGGTGGCACGGACCCAAAGAATGAGCAGCAGCAAGATTTATTGTGAAGAGCAAAAGAACAAAGCTTCCACAGCGTGGAAGGGGACCTGAGCGGGTTGCCGCTCCAGGCTGGGGGTGACCAGCTTTTATTCCCTTACTTGTCCCTGCCCATGTCCTGCTGATTGGTCCATTTTACAAACCTCTAGCTAGCCACAGAGTGCTGACTGGTGTGTTTTTACAGAGCACTGATTAGTGCATTTTACAAACCTCTAGCTAGCCACAGAGTGCTGATTGGTGCGTTTTACAAACCTAGCTACAGAGTGCTGACTGGTGCATTTTACAATCCTCTTATAAGACAGAAGAGTTCTCCAAGCCCCCACTCAACCCAGGAAGTCCAGCTGGCTTCACCTCTCACCAGCAGGGGACAGACAAGCAGGAAGGGACAAGGAGATCAAAGGGCAGGAGTGGAGGCAGGGTGGGGAGGAGGGGGAAATGGGACCCTGGGAGCAGTCACAGGTAAGATAAGGTAGGAGGAAGGTGTAGAGAGCTATGAACAATAGCTCAGGCTGAGGAATTTGGACCCAACAAAGGAAGCCTGAGAGTGGGCTGGAGACACTGCAGGTGGGGAGGCTGCTTAGGGATGATGAAGGGTTTTTAGCAGAGATAACTCAAAGAACAATGCAGTGTGGAGGTTACAGGACCAGGAGGAGTCTGAGATCACTCCCAAGGTGAGTGGCCAGTGACTGGGTGAAAAGTGGTGGCTCTTTGGAGGCTCAGGAAGAGGGAAAGGACAGGCTGGGCTCAATTCTGGTTGTTGAGAATTGGCTGGGAGCAGGTCTATGAGCTATGATGTCCCAGAGGAGACTGTCAAGATTATCAAGACAGATGTTTCCATGAGGAGACGCCGGTGAGGGAAACAGGGTGGAGGAAGAGGCACAGGACAGCTCTCCAGCGTAGACTTTCCACTGACCCCAGATCAAGCCTGCACTCCCCAGCCAGGTGTGCAGGGCCCTCCACATCCCAGGCCTACTCACCTCCTCCTGCCTTCTCTCTCACTCAGGAAGACCCTCCACTCCCAGGGGACTGTGCCTCCTCCAGCACTAACTCTTCAGCCACTCCATTTTGCTTGCCTCCATGGGCTGGGCTGCCATCTTCCTTGATGGTCTCCTGCTTCCCAGTCCTCAGCTGCATCATCAGTCCTGGAGCACCTGACGGGTGCTGGAGCACACAGCATAATCCCCACAAACAACCCTTGACTTGACTTCCCTTTTCCACTCTCCTCTCACCGCCCAGTCCCCAGCTCTGTCAGCCTCACTCCCCGCTGATGGCCAAGCTTGTCTCAGAGTTGCAGGTAACCTTGGCATTTGTGCCAAACGTTGCTGACCAGGGGCAGACTTAGCTGTGTAAGGCTGGTCCAGACTCCTCCAGCAGTCACATAGATCAGCTTTAATGTGCCCACGAATCCCTGGGCTTCTTGTTTAAATGCACATTCCAGTGGGTGAGCCTGGGATAAGCGGGCGATCTGTGTTTCTAACAAGCTCCCAGGTGATACTGATGACCACACTTTGAGTAACGAGGATATGGAGGACTTTTGGATCCAGTTTTCTCATTCACCAAAGAGGGCTCTGACCACTTCACTGGGTTACCATGGAATCAAATGAGTTAGAGTTTGTGAAAAGAAAACAAAAACCAAAGGTGCCAGGCAAATGTCAGATTCACCATCTATCCCACGTCTTGCTGCCAGGATGAAGATGATAAAATATGCAAAAGGCCTTGATTGCTTAGCAGATGCCAAACAAATGTTAGGTGCTCCTCCCCCAGAGCCTTCAAGGTTGAACTCAGCCGCTGGGTGGGCTCTCGGCTCATGACTTCATTCCTCTGCTCACTCCACTTACTGGATCTGCTCTCACTCTAGCTTGGCCTTGATCACATCTCCCCATCCCCTCCCGTCAGCCCCATAACACCACTTTTTTTTTTTTTTTTTTTTTTTTGAGACAGGGCCTTGTTCAGTTGCCCAGGCTGGAGCGTGGTAGTATGATCATGGCTCACTGCAGCCTCAAATTCCCACCTCAGCCTCCCGAATGTCTGGGACTACAGGTGCAAGCCACCACACCTGGCTAATTATTTGTGTAATAGAAATGGGGTCTCAGCCAGGCATGGTGGCTCACACCTGGAGTTCGAGACCAGCCTGACCATGATGGTGAAACCCTGTCTCTACTAAATACAAAAAATTAGTCCAGCGTGGTGGCACATGCCTGTAATGCCAGCTACTCTGGAGATTGAGGCAGGAGAATCGCTTGAACCTGGGAGGCGGAGGTTGCAGTGAGCCGAGATCACACCACTGCACTCCCGCCTGGGCAACAGTGAGAGATACTCTGTCTCAAAAACAAATTTAAAAAATTTTTTTAAAATAAATAAATAAAAGAAATGGGGTCTCAATCTGTTGCTCAGGCTGGTCTTGAGCTCCTTGGCTCAAGTGATTCTCCTGCCTCGGCTTCCCAAAGTGCTAGGATTACAGGCATGAGTCAATGCACCCGGCCCACAGACTGCTTTTGATGTTTGTAACAGAGTTCCATGCTGATGCCAGCCTTTTCTGGGTGGGGTTTTATTCTGCTTGATTTGTGTGTCAGCTTGACAGCCACAGCCATCTCACTGCCAGATACAATAGGATAAATGTCACAGTGATTACCAGCAGCGGATGATTAAAATGGTGACTAATTGGGTACCTGTGCCAAGGGAGAGGTAGGAGTTGAAAATAATTCCTAGGTTTCAAGCCTGGGAGGTGCAAGAATGATGAGGTCAATTTGGAGCATTGAAGCTTGGGGCCAACGTGCATGAGACAACACAGTGGAAGAGTTCCTCAGGCGGGTGGAAGTGTGGGACTGAAGGTGAGGGAGAGGTCGGCAGGGGTTTACAGATACCCATAGAGATGTAATCGCTGAATCTGCGTAGAGAGAAAAGAGCAGAAGACTGAGGATTAGACATTTGGAAACGTCTCTGTTTATTCATGTAGCCAAAATAAATTCCAAGAGAGAGTCATTTTGACCAGGTTCTCAAGCAGGGCATGTTTCTTCCCAGGCCCCAAATGGCTCCCATCCTGGCCCTAGCATGGAGGGGTATAGGGCTGCAGGCAGAAGGGCAGTGGGGTCTGGGTCTCACTTTCACAACAGGTCTCAAATTTAGACTCGTGATGTTATTTCTAAATAGGATTATATCATACCTACAGTCACAGACAGAGAGGCCCTGTCGGCTTCCTCGTCCCATCCAGGTGCAGTGAGCATCAGGTTTCCTGTGGACATCAACTCCCACCCAGGAGCTGGGTAGGCTCCCTTTTCTAGGGATTGTCCTTCTCCATCTCTGTGACTGTGCAAGCCACTGTGTGTGTGGAACATGTCTCCACTGTCCCTGCCACACTGATGGTCCCTCTTGGGACAGGGACCTATTCCCACACCAGTCATGGTGCTGTACTCCTCTTGCCAAAATTAACTGGTAGAAGGGAACACCTGACTCAAACTGGACCAACGTGTCACTTAAAGGGGGTCAATGTGTCACTCTCCAGGGGTTTTGTTGCCCCGTTTGAGAGTCAAATGTATTTCTCTACGTAAAAATTAACATAACAACAACAAAAAGGTGGCAGAAATCAATGAATATTTCCCCCTCTGGAATCCACTAACATGCTGGTGGAGGAATTTGTAAATAGACATAAATGAATAAGAACAAAGGGAACCTGTGAGGAGACATAGCAACATGACTTTGGAAGCTAGAAATCAGTGATTACTGAGAAGATCTGAGAATGTTGAATACTGTCAGCTGCAGGAAAAAACAAGTGGTAACCAAGTGTTAACCCATAGAATTCCCTAAAAGGCTCCAGGTACCTCCTGAAGGAAGGTTAAAGATGAGCCTAAAAATGAAGACTCATTAAACGTCTGTTTTAGAAACAGGGCCGGGTGCGGTGGCTCATGCCTGTAATCCCACCACTTTGGGAGGCCAAGGCGGGTGAGTCACCTGAGGTCAGAAGTTCGAGACCAGCCTGGCCAACATGGTGAAACCCAGTCACTACTAAAAGTACAAGAATTAGCTGGACGTGGTGGCGTGCACCTGTAATCCCAGCTACTCAGGAGGCTGAGGCAGGAGAATTGCTTGAACCCAGGAGGCAAATGTTGCAGTGAGCCAAGATCGTGCCACTGCACTCCAGCCTGGGCGACAGAGTGAGACTCTGTCAAAAACAAAAAACAAAAAAAAACGAAGAAGAAGAAGAAGCAGTTAAACCCCAATCCCTCCCCATTGCCCTCCAGTGAGTGACTGTCCCTCCTCCAACCCAGCAAAAGACACTAGCGGCTTCTACTAGGAAAGGATAAAACTGAGGTTTTCTGTACTAGGAGTCATCAGTTACAGGTGAGGGCTCGGATATTTTATTGGAGACAGGGGTTGTAAGTAGGATCACCCTTCACACTAAATGAAGATACTGATATCTCTTGTCCCCCACTCAGTAACCAGAACTCTGGCAGTCACATTTATTCCATCTGGGCAGGAGATTGGAAGAAACATTTCCAGGAAATCTGACCAAACCAATTAAAAAAAAAAAAAAAAAAAAAAAAAAGCCCTGCAGATACTGACATCAGAGGTTTCCCAGAGAACTGGCCCAGCAGGACCATCTACTGTGTGGTCCCCAGTGGACAAGCCTCCATGTGTCCATGGGGCTTCCAACTGGTTTTTCTGCACCCCACTCTTTTCTTTTTTCTAAATTTTATCTTTTTAAAAGACTAGTCAAGTGCAGTAATGAGAAGGGAGAAAAGAGTAGAACAAGGAGTTTGATCTGTGACTGTGAACAATCAATTCAGATAACTCACTACCTTCAGACCAGTCAATGTATCCCACTCTTTAAAAATGTATGCAGACAAGAAGTCCCCAGGATGGTGACCAAATGAGATCCCAAGATCCTCCTAAATAGAAGGCCTAGGCCAGGTGTGGTAGCTCATGCCTGTAATCTCAACACTTTGGGAGGCCGAGGCAGGTGGATCACTTGAGATCAGGAGTTTGAGACCAGCCTGGCCAACATGGTGAAACCCTGTCTCCACAAAAAATACAAAAATTAGCTGGGCATGGTGGTGAGCACCTGTAATCCCAGCTACTCAGCAGGCTAAGACAGGAGAATAGCTTGAAGAGGGGAGGTGGAGGTTGCAGTGAGCCGAGATTGTGCCACTGCACTCCAGCCTGGGTGACAGAGTGAGACTCCATCTCAAAAAACAAAACAAAACAAAACAAAAAAACAAACAAACACAAAGGCCTAAAGAGCCACGCATACAGCTGGGATGAGGTCAAAGACCCTGGGAGAGATTTTGCCTCATGTTTGAGAGTCAAAGGTATTCCTCTATGTAAAAGCAGAGGGAACGGCAGGGCAGAGTAAAAAATAAATAAATAGAAAAAAAAAAAAAAAAAAAAAAAACAGGTGCAGTGGTTCACACCTGTAATCCCATCACTTTGGGAGGCTGAGGCAGGTGGGTGATCTGAGGTCAGAAGTTCGAGACCAGCCTTGCCAACATGGTGAAACCCTCTCTACAAAAAATTTTAAAAATTGCCCTGGTGCGGTGACTCACACCTGTAATCCCAGCACTTTGGGAGGCCAAGGTGGGTGGATCACCTGAGGTCAGGAGTTTGAGACCAGGCTGGCCAACATGGCGAAACCCCATCACCACTAAAAATCCAAAAAATTTAGCCAGGCATGGTGGTGCACACCTGTAATTCCAGCTATTCAGGAGGCTGAGGCAGGAGAATCGATTTAACCCAGAAGGCAGAAGTTGCAGTGAGCAGAGATGGCGCCACTACACTCCAGCCTGGACAATAGTGAGGCTCTGTCTCAAACTAACTAAATAAATAAAAATTAAAATAAAAAAAATTAGCCAAGTGGTGGCCCACCTGTAGTCCCAGCTACTTGGGAGGCTGAGACAGGAGAATTGCTTGGACCTGGGAGGGAGAGGTTGCAGTGAGCTGAGATTGCACCGCTGGACTCCAGCCTGGGAGACAGAGTGAGACTCAGTCAAAAAAGAAAGAAAAGAAAAGAGAAGAAAAGAAAGAAAGGAAGAAAGAAAAAAAGAAAGAAAAGAAAAGAAAAATACAATGTGGGGCCAGATGCAGTGACTCACATCTGTAATCCAAGCCCTTTGGGAGGCTGAGGCAGGAGGACTGCTTGAGCCCAGGAGTGTAAGACCAGCCTGGGCAACATAGTGAGAAGACCCCATCTCTACAAAAATAAAATAAAATAAATAAATAAATAAATAAATACAACATGGGGTCAGGAACAAGCAGGTGCTACAGGGAGGTAACTTTGAGAAGCAGAATTGGAGGGAAACTGGAGATGAGTGGCAGAGCAAAGCATGGGCATCAGGGCTGGACCTGTCCATTCAGTCATTTTTCTGGACAATGGGGTGAACCAAAGCTTCTTTTTTTTTTTTTAGACAGAGTCTTGCTCTTGTTACTCAGGCTGGAGTGCCATGGCGTGATATCGGCTCACTGCAATCTCCACTGCCTGGGTTCAAGCGATTCTCCTGCCTCAGCCTCCCAAGTAGCTGGGATTACAGGCACCCACTACCACACCCAGGTAATTTTTGTACTTTTAGTAGAGACGAGGTTTCACCACATTGGCCGGGGTGGTCTTGAACTCCTGACCTCAGGTGATCCACCTGCCTCAGCCTCCCAAAGTGCTGGGATTACAGGCATAAGCCATCGTGCCTGGCCTTTTTTTTTTTTTTAAGACAAAGTCTCACTCTGTCACCCAGGCTGGAGTGCAGTGGTGCGATCTCAGCTCACTGCAACCTCCACCTCCCGGGTTCAAGTGATTCTTCTGCCTCAGCCTCCGGAGTAGCTGGGACTACAGGCAAGTGCCACCACGCCCAGCTAATTTTTGTATTTTTAGTAGAGACAGGGTTTCACCATATTGGCCAGGCTAGTCTTGAACTCCTGACCCCATGATCTGCCTGTCTCGGCCTCCCAGAGTGCTGAGATTACAGGCATGAGCCACCACGCCTGGCCCCAAGACTTCTTTAGAAGGCCCCAAACCCTGCTCCACCAGCAACTCTCTTGGGGCACACACAACACTCTAAGTCTTTATTAGTAAGGGCATTTCTCCAGGCACCTGAGAAGAAGGTTCAGAGTTCATGTGCCTAGAATAACACCTTGTGATAGTGAGGGTGTAGAGAGGCAAGAACTCTTCCCTGAACTGTCAGTGAGAATGTGTAACTAGATGGGCCTCTCTCTGGCAGGCAACTTGGCAACATACAAAACACTTTTGGGATTTATATTCCCTTTGACACAGCAATTCTTCTAGAAATCTCTATCGAAGAAATAAGGATGCTAGCAAACTGTTTATACTAGCAGAAAAACTAGAAATGACCTTACTATCTAACAATAGAGAATTTGCCAATACATTTATATGATGGAATTACATTCAGCTGGTAGCATCCACTGTAGTAGTTTTAAAACAAATTTTGAGTGGGTGTGTCAATAAGTAAAATTTATTTTTATTATGGAGTAACCATTCTGGTTAAATTTTTTTTTCAGTTTTTTTTTTTTGAGATGGAGTTTCGCTCTGTCACCCAGGCTGGAGTGCAATGGCACGATCTCGGCTCACTGCAACCTCCGCCTCCTGAGTTCAAGCTATTCTACTGCCTCAGCCTCTCGAGTAGCTGGGACTATAGGCATGCACCACCATGCCTGGCTAATTTTTGTACTTGTAGTAGAGATGGGGTTTCACCATGTTGGCCAGGCTGGCCTCGAACTCCTGACCTCAGGTGAGTGCCCACCTCGGCCT
The DNA here is from genome assembly GCF_000001405.40 of Homo sapiens. Taxonomy (NCBI): domain Eukaryota; kingdom Metazoa; phylum Chordata; class Mammalia; order Primates; family Hominidae; genus Homo; species Homo sapiens. The sequence continues at coordinate 85,463,194 of NC_000002.12, forward strand.
CCCAAAGTGCTGGGTGGGATTACAGGCATGAACCACTGCGCCTGGCCTATTTTGGTTAAGTTTTAAGCAGTACAGAAATTTAAGTTAAGTTATTATGCATACTGTGAAAGTTCTTGATAATAAAAGGAAATTTCAGTTTGTCACAAATACAGTAGTTTTTCTAAATCGTTTATAAATATATCTCTTCAAAGATAGAGGCTGTGCTGCCCACAAATCTCCTGCAATGCATTTGTTTCACTTTTCAAATAAACTCCACACAGGTAGTGCATCTACTGTTATATACCAAATTATAATCTGCATTATACATTGTGTTTTCAGGTATTGAATTATTCGTGTGTTTTTACTACAGCCAATTATATTTACAATATCATTCAACTAGAACATACTATTATAGTATAGATGTTACTTAAATCATATTCATAAGGCTACAAACATATTAATGAAGTACATTACACATATATTTGTGAAATTCTGATACCTTGGAATAGCAATAGATTGATACAGAATAAACCAGAAAATCTAATAATCTGGCTTATTCTATACATAACCACAGTGTTGGTCTATGTGTCTGGTCTACACATAGTTATTGAACTTTTACTGTATTATAAAAATTTGAAGCATACCAAAATTTTTCAAGAAAAAAAGTAAAAAACAAAAATAAAATAAATTTGATCTAAATTCCTCCACTCAGAATAATTCACTGTTGACATTTAGTGACTATCATTCCAGATGTTTCTATGTAAATATACAGATAAAAATGAGAATGAAAGATTGTGTGTGTGTCCATGTGTAGGCGACAAAGAGAAACAGTTTACAGAGAATGGAAATACCCATGATAGCAGTACAAAAAAATGAGATCACATTTTCTTTTTTTTTTTTTTTTTTGAGACGGAGTCTCTCTCTGTTGTCCAGGCGGGAGTGCAGTGGCACGATCTTGGCTCGATGCAACCTCCACCTCCTGGGTTCAAGCGATTTCCCTGCCTCACCCTCCCAAGTAGCTGGAATTACAGGTGCTCGCTATCATGCCCAACTAATTTTTGTATTTTTAGTAGAGACAGGGTTTTGCCAAATTGGCCAGGCTAATCTCGAACTCCTGACCTCAGGCGATCCGCCCGCCTCAGCCTTCCAAAGTATTGGGATTACAGGCGTGAGCCACTGCGCCCGGCCCACATATTTTTTTTTTTTTTAGACAGAGTCTCGCTCTGTCGCCCAGGCTGGAGTGCAGTGGCTTGATCTCAGCTCACTGCAACCCCTGCCTCCCGAGTTCAAGCAATTCTCTGCCTCAGCCTCCCGAATAGCTGGGATTACAGGTGCCTGCCACCACGCCCGGCTAATTTTTTGTACTTTTAGTAGAGATGGGGTTTCACCATCTTGGCCAGGCTGGAATTGAACTTCTTATCTCGTGATCCGCCCGCCTTGGCCTCCCAAAGTGCTGGGATTACAGGCGTGAGCCACCACACCTGGCCCTTTTTAATTTTTAAAAATGTTTTGACTCTTTTGTAATAACACTTAGCTTAAAATACGAACACATCGTACAGCTTTACAGAAATATTTTCTTTCTTTTTATCCTCATTTTATAAGCTCTTTTCTTTTCTTTTTTTTTTTTTTTTTGAGACAGAGTCTCCCTCTGTAGCCCAGGCTGGAGTACAATGGCACGATCTCGGCTCACTGCATCCTCCACCTTCCGGTTCAAGCGATTCTACTGCCTCAGCCTCCTGAGTAGCTGGGATTACAGGTGTGCGCCACCATGCCCGGCTAATTTGGGTATTTTTAGTAGAGATGGGGTTTCACCATGTTGGTCAGGCTGGTCTTGAACTCCTGACCTTGTGATCCGCCCGCCTCGGCCTCCCAAAGTGCTGGGATTACAGGCATGAGCCACAGCGCCTGGCCTTCTTTTTTCTTTTTTGAGACAGGGTCTCACTCTGTCATCCAGGCTTCAGTGCAGTCGCATTATCAGGGCTCGCTGCAGCCTCAACCTCCCGGGCTCAGGTGATCCACCCACCTCAGCCCTCTACCTTCCACCCAGTGGCTAGGAGTACAGATGAGTACCGCCATGCTGGCCTAATTTTTAAAGTTTTCTTTGTAGAGATAAGGTCTTGCTATGTTGCCTAGGCTAGTCTCGAACTCCCAGGCTCAAGCGATCCTCTCGCCTCAGACTCCCAAAGTGCTGAGATTACAGGTATGAGCCACCACGCCTAGCCAAAAGTTTTTTGTTTTTTTGGTTTTGTTTTGTTTTTTAAGACAGGCTCTCCCTCTGTTGTTCAGGCTGGAGTGCAGTGGCTCAATATTGGCTCACTACAACCTCGACCTCCTGGGCTCAAGCAATCCTCTCACTTTAGCCACCCAAGTAGTTTGGGACTATAGGCACACACCACCACACCTAGCTAAGCTTGCTTATTTTTTGTAGAGATGAGGTCTCACTGTGTTGCCCAGGCTAGTCTCAAACTCCTGAGCTCAAGAGTAATCCCAAAGTGTTGGGATTACAGGCTCACACCACTGTGCCTAGCCCAAAAGTTTTTAAAAATAAATTTTTTAAAAATAGAAAAAAGTGACCAGGCATGGTGGCTCACACCTGTAATCCCAGCACTTTGGGAGGCTGAGGTGGGAGCATCGTTTGAGCCCAGGAATTTGAGGTTGCAGTGAGCACTCTAGCCTGGGCGGTGACACAGTGAGAACTTGCATAAAACAAACAAACAAACAAAAACAACTAAGACACAAACACCCACATTAGCCTAGGCCTACACAGGGTCAGGATCGTTGATATCCCTGTCTTCCACCTCCACATCCTGTGCCAGGCAATAGGAATTTTTCAGGTCTATTATAATCTTACGGGATCATCATCACATATGCAGTCCATTTTTTATCAAAAACATTGTTATGCAGCACATGACTGTATGTATTAGTCTGTTCTCACATTGCTGTAAAGAAATACCTGAGACTGGGTAATTTATAAAGAAAAGAGGTTTAACTGGCTCCTGGTTCTGCAGGCTGTACAAGAAGCATGGCAGCTTCTGCTTGCCTTCTGGGGAGGTCTCAGGGAGCTTTCAGTCATGGTGGAAGGCGAAGGGGAAGCAGGCATTTTACATTTTACATGGTGGGAGCAAGAGGAAGAGAGAGAAGGGGAAAGGTGCCACAAACTTTTAAACAACCAGATCTCATGATAACTCACTCACTGACTATCACAAGAAGAGCTCTGAGGGAATGGTTCCAAACCATTCATGAGAATTTTGCCCCTATAATCCAATCACCTCCCTCCAGGCCCTACCTCCAACACTGGGAATTACAATTTGACATGGGATTTGTTGGAGACACAGATCCAAATCATATCACTGTACTTCTATCATTTTCATCTTTCATCATCTATACATTCTTTGAAATCATAAAGTATTTACTGGATTCTCTTTTCCACAAAGTAATCCTTATTCTGATGTATGTTTTTCATTTGCTTTTTGCTTATGTGTCTTAGTCCATTTTGTGCTGCTATAAAAGAATACCTAAGACTGGGTAATTTATACAAAGCAAGAAGTTATTGGCTCCTGGTTCTAGTCCAAGAGCATGGTGCTGGCATCTGCTAAGAATTTGATGAGAGTCTTCTTATGGCATCATCCCATGGCAGAAGGTGGAAGGGCAAGAGAGAGCAAGAGAGAGTCGTCAGGAAGGGAACCTAACTTGTCCTTTTATAAGTAGCATATTCCTGAGATAATAGCATTAATTTATTCATGAGAACAGAGCCCTCATGACCTACTCACTTCTTAAAAATCCCACCTCTCAACACTGTTGCATTGGGAATCAAGATCCCAGTACATGAACTTTGGGGGACACATTTAAACTATAGCAGGTGGGGACCACTTATGATCTAGGAGCAAAGTGAAGGAAGGGGCAAAGTGAATGGAAGTTTCACCATTCAGGGAACAAATTTACTTTTTTCCCTGCCATGGTTAACATTTGGTATTTAGCCTTCCAGACAGATACATACATATTTTTTCCTCACAAAATGAGATTACCATATACATGCTATTTTTTTTTTTTTTTTGAGACAGAGTCTCACTCTGTTGCCCAGCCTGGAGTGCAGTGGCACCATCTCGGCTCACTGCAATCTGCGCCTCCCAGGTTCAAGCAATTCTCATGTCTCAGTCTTCTGAGCAGCTGGGATTGCAGGCACACACCACCACACCCAGCTAATTCTTGTATTTTTAGTAGAGATGGGGTTTTGCCATGTTGGCCAGGCTGGTCTCTACCTCCTGACCTCAAGCGATTCACCTGCCTCAGCTTCCCAAAGTGCTGGGATTACAGGCGTGAGTCAGAGTGCCTGGTCTGACATGCTATTTTGTAATCTGCTTTCTTCATGTCATACATGCCATGCATGTTTTTATGTCATCAAATATACTACTCTCACATTATTTAAGTAGCATTCCATTGGCACAATATATCACATTTTGTTTAATCCGATCCCCTATTCATGGACATTTCTGTTGTTTACAGTAATTTATCATTGGAGTCAAACTGCTGCACAATTTTCATTTTCATTTTAATTTTTTTGAGACAGAGTCTCACTCTGTTGCCCAGACTGGAGTGCAGTGGTGCGACCTTGGTTCACCGCAACCTCTGCCTCCCAGGCTCAAGCCATTCTCCTGCCTCAGCCTCCCAAGTAGCTGGGACCACCGGCATGTGGCACCACGCCCAGCTAATTTTTGTATTTTTAGTAGAGATGGGGTTGTACTGTTGGTCAGGCTGGTCTCGAACTCCTGACCTCAAGTGATCTGCACACCTAGGCCTCCCAAAGTGCTGGAATTACAGGCTTGAGCCACCGTGCCCAGCCAGACCTCCTCTTAATCCCTGTGTTTCTAATTCCACATAATTTACTGGCCCCCTTAAGGTCTGTGTCCCCAAGTCAAGAGCCTTTCGGATTTAGTTCCTTCGAGGCCCGAATCCCCAGTTTCCTGCTCAGGCTGGTGGTCACCCTGGCTTTAAGGAGGGGAGGAAGGGGCCTATGATCTAGCAATTCAATATTCAGCTGTTTCCACCCCCACCTTACACACAGTCTCTGGTGCCTTCATGGAGTCTGCAGACGTGTCAAACCATATCTTCCTGCGCTTTGCTACCTTAGTTGCTTCTCTCAGCTACTGATGTTTCCTGACTCACGTGGGTGACGGTGAGGATAGGCCCTTTCTATTCCTTCACTGGCCTTTCAGTAGGGTTTTGGGTGGGGGAGGATAAAAATACCACCTCGTTTAACTGGAAGTTGCATTAATTATACAAAGGTCTTTCTGATCATTGCTCATCTTTGAAAGAGACCAGTTATTGGTTAAAAATTAATCTAGAGAAAGATGAGGCAAGTGACCTGGAACAGACCACAGTTTTCAGCTGACTTTTTTTTTCAAACAACCTATCACCAAATGTGTTTTCTCCTCTGTCTTGGGCCATATCCCTTCTTTTCAGGATGTAGGAGGGCAGTGTAGCAACAGACTCTAAGATAGACTTTCTAATGATTGCTGTTCCCTCAGGCCCTCTCCTCTGGCTCCCTCTCCAGCAGCAGTTTTCTCAGCTGGGAGGCTGAGACATAGATGGTTAACATGGATCTACACATAACTTCTCTGTTAGTTCCACCTCTCCCACTCCCTGCAGCCTGCAGGGTGGAGCTGACTTCTCTGGAGTCATTCCAGCTGCTTGCCTTTTGTGGTTCTAAACAATGGATCGTTAAGTTGGGCCTTCCAGAGCAGTGCCCTTATCTATACGTGGCAGTTTGGAATTGTGCCGCCACCTAGCCTTTGAAGCTAAAGACAGGTACAGGAATGTTCAGCACTGTCTGTAATAGCAAAAAGCTGAAAACATGCAAATGACTGTCACCAGGAGGATGAGTAAATACGTCACATACTCATATCATCGAACACAATTCTTCAGTGAAAATGAGTGAAACTATCACTGCACATGGTAGTAGTTGGGTGTGTGTGTATGTGTGTGTGTGGGGGGGGCAGAGTCTCACTCTGTCCTCCAGGCTGGAGTGCAGTGACGCAATCTCGGCTCACTGTAACAATCGATTCTCCTGCATCAGCCTCCCGAGTAGCTGCGATAACAAGTGCACGCCACCATGCCCGGCTAATTTTTGTATTTTTGGTAGAGATGGAATTTCACCACATTGGCCAGGCTGGTCTTGAACTCCTGATGTCAAGTGATCTGCCTGCCTCGGCCTCTCAAAGTGCTGGGATTACAGGCAGCGTGCCATCACACCCGGCCGCAGTTGAGTCTTAAAAACACAGTTAAGTGAAAAAAGTTAGTCACAGAAGACTATATACTTGACTGAATGATTTCATTTATATAAAATGCAAAAGTTCCCTGGAACTGAAACATATTGTGTGGGAAAATATACACGAAGAATAACACTCAGGAAAAGAAGGGAATTATTATTAAGTCAAATTCAGGATGGTGGTTATCACAGGAGGGAGAGGAAGAGGTGACTGAGGAGGGGCACAAAGCAGTCTTCAAAGTCACCAGTTAAATTCCATTTTCTTTTATTTTGAGACAGGGTGTTGCTATGTTGCTCAAGCTGGCCTTGAACTCCCAGACTTAAGGGATCCTCCCACCTCAGCCTCCCAAGTAGCTGGAACTACAGGAGCACACCACCAAGCCCGGCTTCTATTTTCTTAAAGCTGGTTAATAGGTACATGTTTTCATTTTTGTTATTAGTGAAACTACATACATGTTAAGTATATTCTTTTGTTGGAACAATATTTCAAACTAATAACTGGAGTGATTACTCTCTTTTTTCCTCATCTTTTAAAAGATGGAGTTGTTTCTCTTTTTCATTTTTGGAGAGTTTTAAGGTGAGGAGAAGAGTAAAAAATAAACTACTTTTTTTTTTTTTGAGACAGTGTTTTGTTCTGTCGCCCAAGCTAGAGTGCAGTGGTGTCATCTCAGCTCACTGCAACCTCTGCTTCTCGGGTTCAAGTGATTCTCGTGCCTCAGCCTCCCAGGTAGCTGGGATTATAGGCTCCTGCCACCACGCCCAGCTGATTTTTGTATTTTTAGTAGAGACGGGGTTTCACCATGTTGGCCAGGCTGGTCTTGAACTCCTGACTTCAAGTGATCTGCCCACCTCAGACTCCCAAAGGGCAGGGATTACAGTTGTGAGCCACTGTGCCCGGCATTTTTTGGTTTGCTTGTTTGTTTTTGAAATGGAGTTTTGCTCTTGTCACCCAGGCTGGAGTGCGGTGGCCATGATCTTGGCTCACTGCAACCTCCACGTCCCGGGTTCAAGCGATTCTCCTATCTCAGACTCCCAAGGAGCTGGGATTACAGGTGCCTGCCACCATGCCCGGCTAATTTTTGTATCGTTAGTAGAGACAGGGTTTTGCCATGTTGGCCAGGCTGGTCTCGAACTCCTGATCTCAGGTGATCCGCCCATCTTGGCCTCCCAAAGTGCTGGAATCACAGGTGTGAGCCACCGTGCCCGGCCAAAAAATACTTTTATCACTCCCTCGCTGCAGCTGTCTATGACTTTCTCCAGGGGGTAAATAATTCACATACACAGCCTGTGAAGGCACTGGCATTATGGACCTTGGGTTTCCAAATAACACTGAAGAAAGCGAGTCCATGGAAAACTGATAATCAAGAAGCTTTATTACTTCCAGGATTGCTTATTTTTAAAACCCCTGAAAGGAAAATGGCTTTAATTCAGAAACTGGCTTGTGGAGTGGTGGTGGGGCAGCGGCGAGGCAGGGTTGATACAACGGCAACTGGAGGAAGAAGTTACTGTGAGGGGAGGCCCACCCGCATCCGGTGCCCCAGTGGACTGGTGCCACCTCAGCTGGCATGACACCTGCTAGAGCTGTGGGTATTTCTCCTATTCAGGAGCTCTGGGTCTGTTGATGCCCGCATATGTGAATTGGGCCCCAGGGCTCTATGCCACGGCCTGGAAGAGGCTTCATGTCAGAACTTGATGGATGGGGGTGGGATGGGGGTGGGAGGGAGGTGGGGCAGGCACTATGCCAGGAAAGGTCAACAGAGTCTTGTTGTGCCTGGGAGGGAATTTGGACTTTATCCTGAGACAAATGAGGAACTGTTAAAGGGTTTCAGCCAGGAAAAGGCAGGATAATTTTTTTTTTTTTCTGATAGAGTCTTGCTCGGTCACCCAGGCTGAAGTGCAGTGGTGCAATCGTAGCTCACTGCAGCCTCTGCCTCCTGGGCTCAAGTGATCCTCCAGCCTCAGCTTCTCGAATAGCTGGGACCACAGGTGCATGCCCCCACGTCTGGTTTATTTTTTATTAATATTGTTTTGTAAAGATAGGGTCTCACTGAGTGCCCAGTCTAGTCTCAAACTCCTGGTCTCAAGCAATCCTCCTGCTTCTACCTCCCACAGTACTGGGATTACAGGTATGAGCCACTGCAGCCTGCCCAGGATAAGATTTGACTGAGAAAATACATAATGAAAAAATGCTGGGCACAGTAAAACTTCAGTGACTCATTTAAAGGAAGCTATACTGTATTCATCCCATCAGCAGCTACATAGATTATGACAATGTCCATATGTAGGCAAAAGATATTTTCATTCTACAGACAATACTTAGGACATGTAAGGATTTAGGAACATTTGGCAAAGACTCTGTGCCCTAACCCCCCACTCCCCTAGGACTCAAGACTTACGGGTTAGGCATTGCTGATCCAGTTAATGGCAATGCTAAATTGTTCTTTTTTTTTTTTTTTTTTTTTGAGATGGAGTTTCGCTCTTGTCATCCACCCAGGCTGGAGTGCAGTGGCGCGATCTTGGCTCACTGCAACCTCCACCTCCCGGGTTCAAGCAATTCTCCTGCCTCAGTCTCCGGAGTAGCTGGGATTACAGATGCCTGCCACCACGCCTAGCTAATTTTTTGTATTTTCACCATGTTGGCCAGGCTGGTCTCGAACTTGTGACCTCATGTGATCCACTCTCCTCAGCCTCCCAGAGTGCTGGAATTACAGGTGTGAGCCAGTACCCCCAGCCTGAACTGCTCTTTTTGACAGCAATAAACAAGTTCAGCTTCATCCTTCCTTAGGTTGGTAAGACCGTGTCTCCAACATCAAGGGAAAGCATGCCTTCCTATTTGTTATAAGGGACCCACAACCAAGTTGCCATTTAAATATATGTGAAAAACAAAAGAGGATCTAATACCCAACATGCATTTATACTATTTAGGACTGTTAGCAAGACTCTATTGCCCATGTGATTTTATAAATAGTATTATGACAACAGTTTTGAATGTGTCTGACTGCACATTGACTCATTTAATCCTCACAACGTCTGCTGGGGTAGGTGCTGTTATTGCAGTTGGCATAAACTACAATTAATTATGTAATTTCTTGTTGAATATTCATGTTCTGTGATCAGTTCCATGAGAGCGGGAAGCTCGTCTTGTTTATCCTTGTATCCCTGGTGCCTACAACAGGGCCTGGTATGTGGCAAGCATTCAAAACGTATTTACTGAATAAATTTCGTATTCCCCTTTACAAGTGAGGACAGAAAGGCTTAGAGATGTTAAATAGCTTACCAACCTTTAGGTCACCAGCTAATCCAAACTCACATCTGTTGAACTTTATCTTCTTACCAGCTCTCAAGTAGTCTAAGGTTTTATAAAGATCACATAGCTTGGTCGAGTTCCTAGCTATTAAGTAGAAAGTTATTGAGAGATTAACAAACACTTTTTTAAAGATTCTTCCTTTGTTTTTAACCATTCTGAAAACATAAAACAGAATTCAGAGGAGAGCAGTAGTGGAATGGTTATGTTTAAACTTGCCATGTTTCATAAAGACATTACATTGAGAAATTCACACCTGGCATTTGAGAACAAAAGCTGGCGTAGAACTTGGAGGAAGTATTATTAGGAATTCACCCAACTAAATCTTCCTAAGCTTATTATCTATAAAGCTCATGTTTTATTAAAATATAGCTCATATGGCTTTATAGCTCTTTCTCCTCAACTGAAATCTTTGGTGGGGTGGGGGGCGGCCTCCAGTTTTCATAGGCCACCTGGTATTGATCATTCTTACCTTACTTGGTTAAAACAGTTGGCCAAGGAAGCCTAGGTCCTGATCCCAGCCCCTTCACCATACCCAGCCCTGCCTCGGTACAAATTTCCTTACAAAATGCCCAATACTCCAAGGCCTCTGGAAGAAGCATGGGAAACTAAGATTACTGTTTTCCATAGGAAAGGTATTGAAGTAACTTTCACAAGCTACCTATGGTAAAAGAGGGAATATAAAGATTTGGAGAAAGGGCTCTAGTGGGAGTAAGTGACAAGTCCTGGCCTATTCCCATTCCATCCCATTTCTAGGCAGGAGTCTAGCCAAGCTGCCAATCGGGCCCCCGCCAGACAAGACAAGAGCAACTGATGTGTGAACATGCAGGTGTTACCCTGCCCAAGAGATGAGCCCAGACCTTGTCTTGTCTCTGGGTTCCATCACCCCGAGTGTGAAGAGAATGGGGAACTCCAAGAAACCAGCCTGAGACTTCATACCTTCTCTCTCACTGCAATGTGGGCAGAGGCCCATGTGCAAAGGTCTCAGGAACTTGAATTCCCTGTAGTTTTAGTAACTAATGTTGGTATAGATTTTGATGGTACAACATTTTTTCACATGCATCTTTCCACTGAGGTTGATATACAAATATTACCGTCCCCAAATTAGAGATGAACAAAGAGATTTCATTACTTGTCTAAAGCTGTATCACTCCCTGCATATCCAGCCTCCTGGTGGACTACTGTTCAGTCATGAGTTTGGGTTTTCTCCCTCTTCAAATCAATCATCTGTGACTTTTACATCACTAGTGCTCAATCTTTGGTGGACGCTACGTAGAGAATCTAAGCAACACTTTGGGTTGTCTTTCCAGAAAAAAAGCACATCTATACACACACACACACACACACACACACACACACACACACATCTGTTAGCTCTCAGGACTTTTGGTGATCCCCTGGCGACCATGGACACAGGGCTGAGAATTCTTCTTTTATAAATAATGTATGTGAGACCAAAGGGACATAATAACCAAGCACAATGTGTAAACCATGATTGAATCCTAGTTCAAAAATTCAGCTATGGAACACATTTCAGGGACCACCATAGAAATGTGAATATGGTATATATATTAGGTTTCACTATGGAATTTTCTCAGGTGACTTAAGGGTAATTTTCTTTGATGTGATAATAGTGTTTATTATCAGAATATCCTGATTTTTAGGAGATGCCTAAGTATTTTGGGGTGAAGTAATATGAAGTTCTCAACATATTTTCAAATGGTTCAGAAAAAATATAGAAAGAAACAAGATTGAACCACATGAAAGTTGCCTACATATATTATGTATATATTTATATTTATATATATATATATATTTATATTTATATATATATATATATATATATATTTTTTTTTTTTTTTTTTTTTTTTTTGCGGGGGATGGAGTTTCGCTCTTATTGTCCAGGCTGGAGTACAATGGCAGGATCTCAGCTCACTGCAACCTCCGCCTCCTGGGTTCAAGCGATTCTCTTGCCTCAGCCTCTCGAGTAGCTGGGATTACAGGCATGCACCACCATGCCCGGGGAATTCTGTGTTTTTAGTAGAGACAGGGTTTCTCTATGTTGGTCAGGCTGCTCTTTAGCTCCCAACCTCAGGTGATCCACCCACCTCGGCCTCCCAAAGTGCTGGGATTATAGGCATGAGCCACTGTGCCCGGCCGATTTAACCTAATTTATAAAGGAAATATTGTAAACTATTAAAAGTAGTTTAATCTGGGTGGTGGTATATGGATGTTAATTAAAAAGTTATTTTAACTTTTCTGTGCATTAGAAAATGTTGCATGATACATAAATTTTCATAATAAAATGTGGGGGGAATAGTTTCTGTTTCTTTGTGATAGCTCTCAAATCTGCCACTATATTAGTTACCTATTGTGGTGGAACATAAAAAATTACCCCAAAATTTAGTGGTTTAAAACTACAAACATTTCTGGGTATAATCAAAAGAATTGAGAGCAGGGACTCAAAGAGACATCACACACTCATATATTCATAGCATCATTATTCACAATGTGCAAGAGAGGGAAGGAACCCAAGTGTACCTCCACAGATGAGTGGATAAAGAAAATGTGGTATATACATACAATCAAATACTATTCAGCCATAAAAAGGAACAAAATTCTGACATGTGCTACAATCTGAATGAACCCTGTAGATAAGCCAAGTCACAAAAAGACTAATGCTATATGATTCTATTTATATGAGACAGCTAGAGTAGACACATTCATAGGGACAGAGAGTAGAATGGTCGTTGTCAACAGATGGGGAAGGGGAAACGGGCAGCTATTTTTTAATGGGTAGAGTTTCAGTTGGTAAAGATGAAAAAGTTCTGGAGGTAGATGATGGTGATAGTTGCACAGCAATGTGAATGTATTTAAACCACTGAACTGTGCACTTAACAGTTGTTCAAATGGGCCAGGCACAGCTAGGTGTGGTAGCTCGTGCCTGTAATTCCAGCACTTTTGGAGACCTAAGCGGGAAGATCACTGAGGCCAGGAGTTCAAGACCAGCTTGGGAAACATAGTGAGACCCCATGTTTACAAAAATTAAAATTAAAAAATTAGCTGGGCTTGCTGGCATGCACCTGTAGTCCTGGCTACTCAGGAGACTGAGATGAGAAGATCACTTGAGCCCAGGAGTTAGTGAGCTATGATCATGCTACTGTATTCCAGCCTGGGAGCCTAGGCAACAGAGCAAGTGCATTCCAGCCTGGATGACAGAGCAAGACCCCAGCTCAAACAAACACACACCACCACCAACAACAAAAAACCAAGAAGCCTCAAAATTCCCATCTAGTTACTACATATAGGTCAAAGTTCAGTATCTTTGGGTGGCACAAAGGTCTTCTGAGCTGGTGACTTATAAACTAAAAGACAATCCATCCAAAATAGGGACTGAGAAGAATAGGTTAACATGATTACAGCTCTCATTCGGCAAACGGAGGAGTGGGAAGCATGCAGTTATCACTGCACCAAGTCCAGCTGGGGAGGAGTGGAGGCTTCTAGCCACTGGTGTCACTGGCACCTTGGGTTCTTGTAATCCTCCCAGGATAGAAATAAAGAGAGATCACCAGACACAGCAGCAAAGAAAAAGTTTATTTTAGCTTGTGCACAAGGGAGCCAGCAACAAGAAAGGAGAAGGCACAGGCTCCTCCCCAAGGGTAGTCTGTGGGTTAGTCTTTCTATAAGGAAGGGTCACGTCAGGGCATGTAGAGGAGGGATTTTTCTAGTGCTTGTGCAGTGCTAAACATGCTTCTTCATACATTGTATGTAGCATTAGCATTTTAAATCTCTACCCCTGGGCATTATTTTTAGCATTAAAATAAGAAACAGGTAACTATAGGTTGTAGTTTAAGTCTAACGGCACATACAGGGCCCCAGAGAAATCCCTAGCCCCCTGAAATAGGAGCTTGTGATTAAGGGTTAATGGCTTCTTGAATCTTTTGTTACTGATTGGCTGAGAGTTAGATAAGCTAGAGCTTGAGTGAGAAGCTGTTGTTTGTTTGTTTGTGTTTGTTTGTGTGTTTGTTTTGTAGGGACAGGGTCTCACTAGGTTGCCCAGTCTGGCTTTGAACTCCAGCAATCCTCTGGCTGAGGCCTCCCAAAGTGCTGGGATTACAGGGACCAGTCGCCACACCTGGCCCATGAGACAAGGGCTTTTACCCTCTTCCTCCAGACCATCTTAAAAGAGAGAACCAACCAGCTTGCCTGTCCACTGGCAGTGGGGTAAGCTGCCTGGTAGCCCATCTGGCAGCCCCAGGTTCTCCCATCTGGGAGAAACAACCTAGTCTATCATCCTTTGTGGCCATGCCTCTGCCTTCTCTGAGGTTCCTCCCTGTCCCTTGTGCCCCATGGCCACATCTGAGTGGGCATGGAAAGTATGCTTCTTGGAGCTGCACAGCGTTTACACTCTGTTTACTGCTGGTGCCGATTTAGGGCCTGGGGTATGCTTTAGGGAGCTGAACTGCCACAGATTGTGGCGGACCAGTCTTGAAATTTCTTTGGCAGTCTTGAGATTTATCAAGCTGTACTCTATGGCTTGTGGGCTTTCATGTAAAGATGTTATAATTCAATAAATAATTTAAGCAGAGTGTGTCTTGGAAGCAATGGAATACAGTATGTCAAGGGAATGGCCGAGCGTGGTGGCTCACACTTATAATCCCAGCACTTTGGGAGGCCAAGGCAGGTAGATCACTTGGGGTCAGGAGTTCGAGATCAGCCTGGCCAACATGGTGAAACCCCGTTTCTACTAAAAAAAAATACAAAAATTAGCCAGGCATGGTCGTGGGCACCTGTAGTCCCAGCTACTTGGGAGGCTGAGGTGGGAGAATCACTTGAACCTGGGAGGCAGAGATTGCAGTGAGCCAAAATTGTGCCATGGCATTCCAGCCAGGTGACAGAGTGAGACCTTGTCTCAAAACAAACAAGCAAACAAACAAACAAACAAACAAACAGCATATGAAGAGGAGACAGATGGGCAGAGCAGAGACAGCAACTGCCAGATGAGGGTCTCTAGGGTTAAAACAAATAATCTTGGTTCCAAGCGGAAGCAAAAAGTTTGGGAGCCCAGTCAGTTTTCAAGGAAACTCTTGTTGTGTGTGGTTGTTGTGTGTGCTAAAAACTACATTATTTTAAAACCATCAAAACTAATCTATAATGTTAGAAGTCAGGAAAGTGATTACCCGTGAAGGAAGTAGTGACTAGAAGGCTTATGTTATGGCTGATGTTATGTTTCTTGATCACATGGTGTGATCACTTCATGAAATTTTATCAAGCTGTACTCTATGATTTATGTGTTTTCATGTACATATATCATCCATATTTTTGTGTGTGACTGTGATTTATTTATTCTTATTGCTGTCTAGTATTGCATCATGTTAATATTACCACAAATTATGGATCCATTCCACTGTTTGATGGGTGTTTGGGGTAGTCACCAGTTTAATAAATAGCGCTGCTATGAATATTTTCAGGTTTGTCTGTTGATGAATTTATGTACATGTTTCTGTTGGGTATTGTTCCAGCTACCTATTGCTGCATGACAAAGTGTTCCAAAATGTAATGGCGCCAAACAACACTCATTTTATTATACCCATGGGCTCTGTGGGTGAGGAACTTGAACGGGGCATGGAAGGTATGGTTTGCTCTGCTCCACCTTGCCTGGGGCCTCAGTTGGGAAACCCAGGTGGCTGGGGGTGACTTAAATGGCCAGGGCTGGAGTCATGTGGAGACTTCTTGCTCACAAATCTGGTGTCTGGGCTGGAATAACTCGAAGCCTGCACTCACCTGAGACTAAACCTCAGGGTCTCTCTCCCCAGCCTGCCCCTGTGACTTAGGCATCCTCACAGCAGGGTGGCCTTGATGTGGTCAGACTTCCTACCTGGAGGGTCAGGAATGTAACAGCAAGTATTCTAGAAAGAAAACAGGCCGGGTGCGGTGGCTCACGCCTGTAATCCCAGCACTTTGGGAGGCCGAGGCAGGTGGATCACCTGAGGTCAGGAGTTCGAGACCAGCCTGGCCAACATGGTGAAAACCCTTCTCTACCAAAAATATAAAAAAATTAGCTGGGCATGGCAGTGGGCGCCTGTAAACAAAACTGCACATACCCAGCACTGTAATTTCTGGGCCACAAAATTTCACATGCTCAGCTTTAGTGCTGCCAATCAATTTTACAAAGCAATTATATCGGCGTTACCGCCGTGAGCAGTGTGTGAGCATTTTGGTTGGACTACATTCCTTCGTTTTTCATTTTAGCTATTCTGGTGGCTGTGCAGTAGCAGCACACTGTGACCTTAATTTGCATTTCCTTTGGATTTTCCTGATGCCTAATGATACAAGCTATAGTGGGCTGAATGGTGGCTCTAAAAGATATCAGGTGCTCAAACTTCAGGAAGTTGTGAATGTTGCCTTACATGGTAAAGTTTTTGCAGATGTGATTAAATTAAAGATTTTGAGATGAGATTATTCTGGATTATCTGATGAGCCCTAAATGCCATCACAGGTGTTCTTATAAGAGAGAGTCAGAGGGAGATTAGACATTCACATAGAAGGTGAGGGCAAGGCTGGGTGTGGTGGCTCACACTTGTAAGCCCAGCTCTTTGGGAGGCTGAGGCAGGTGGATCACTTCAGGCCAGGAGTTCAAAACCAGCCTGATCAACATGGCAAAACCCCATCTCTTCTAAAAATACAAAAATTAGCCAGGCATGGTAGTGTGCACCTGTAGTCCCAGCTACTTGGGAGGCTAAAGCATGAGAATCGCTTGAACCCGGGAGGTGGAGGTTGCAGTGAGCCGAGATCACACCACTGCACTCCAGGCTGGGTGACAGCGAGACTCCCGAGACTCCATCTCAAAAGAAAAAAAGAAGTTGAGGGCAAGATGGAGGAGTAGTGCAGCCACAAACCAAAGGAAGCCAGGAACTACCAGCAGCCCCCAGAAGTTAAAAATGCCAAGGAATGGATCTTCCTCCGAGCCTCCAGAGGGAGCACGGCCTTGCCAATACCTTGATTTTGGACTCCTTGTCTCCAGAACTTTGAGAATAAATTTCTGTTGTTTTTAAGCCACCATGATTGTGGGAATTTGTTACAGCAGCCCCAGGAAACTAACACAAGCATATTTTTATTTGTTTTTTCACCGTTATTTTATCTTCCTTTATGAAGATAAAATATACTTACTCATGTGTATTGCCTATTTTTTACTGGGTTGTCTGCCATTTGTTTATTGATTTTTAGGGTTTTAAAAATATATATTCTGGATATAAATTGAACTCGTTTAAGCTCTCTGGGAAGCAGAGATTGAGGTGGAGTTAGATGTGTCAAAGGAGCCAGGTGTGGTGGCATGGCCCTGTAGTCCCAGCTACTCGGGAGGCTAAGGCAGGAGGATCGCTTGGGCCCAGGAGGTGAAGGCTACAGTGACCTATGATTGTGCACTGCGCTCCATGCTGGGCAACAGAGCAAGACTCTGTCTCTTTTAAAAAAATGTTTTTCAGGCCAGGCGCAGTAGCTCACGCCTGTATTTCCAGCACTTTGGGAGGCCGAGGCAAGCAGATCACCTGAGGTCAGGAGTTCGAGACTGGCCTGGCCAATATGGTGAAACCCCATCTCTACTATAAATACAAAAATTAGCCGGGTATGGTGGTGAGCGCCTGTAATCCCAGCTACTTGGGAGGCTGAGGCAGGAGAATCACTTGAACCCAGGAGGCAGAGGTTGCAGTGAGCCGAGATCATGCCGCTGCCCTCCAGCCTGGACAATAGAGTGGGAATCAGTCTCAAAATAAAAAAAAATTAAACCTGGAAGCCAGGAGCGGTGGTACATGCCTATAGTCCCAGCTACTCAGGAGGCTGAGGCAGGAGGATCACTTGAGCCCAGGATTTTGAGTTCAATCTGAGCAACATAGCAAGACCCCACCACTAAAAAATAAAAAATTAATAAAGAAGAAATTAAAGCAGAGAAATGTTAAAGAATATTCATTAATTCATTAAAAAACCAAACTCATTACATGTTAACATCAGAGTGATGAGGCAAGGTATGGTGGCCCACGCCTGTAATCCCTGCACTCTGGGAGGCTGAGGCAGGTGGATCACTTGAGGTCAGGAGTTCAAGACCAGCTTGGCCAACATGGTGAAACCCCATCTCTACTAAAAATACAAAAAATTATCCGGCAATGGTGGCAGGCACCTGTAATCCCAGCTACTTGGGAGGTTAAGGCAGAAGAATCACTTGAATCCAGGAGGCGGAGGTTGCATTGAGCCAAGATCGCACCACTGCACTCCAGCCTGGGCAACAGAGCAAGACTCCATCTCAAAAAAAAAAAAAAACATCAAAGTGATGATGCCATCTGAAATCATGTAGCCTCTGGAAAATTCCACTGCACAATCTTAACAGCATGGGCAGAGTAAAGAATGCCAATAATATCTATCTTAGTGTTATTAAGAAAATGGCTTTGAACTCATGAACCTCCTAGAAGGGTCTTGGGTTCCCAAAGTACATTTTGGGCACTGCCATCTAGTTCATTCTCCTCAAAGCACTGGCTTCTTATCCCTTCAGGATTAAGTTTCAGTCTCTTGGCCTTTTACACCCGTGTCCTCTTCATCTGTGCTCTAGCCCACTAGGACTCACCAGTCTGAGCCCTCCAGCCCAGAAATTGTCTGCCATACCCTGCCTGCCATCCTTCCCCAGCCTCACCCCCACTCCTCTTGCCTCCTTTTCCACCTGCCCCATGGCTCACGACCATTCCTACCACCAGACTCCTGAGACATTGCGATTAACACACATATTTACATATGTCATATATAATTTTCTTTTTATTCTTTTTATTGTACAGAAAAAGATAAAATGCATATATTCTGGAATTTTTTGCTAAAACTATCATGGATATTTTTTATATAGATCCTGCATCCTTTTCAATTTTTTTTTTTTTTTTTTGAGATGGAATTTCGCTCTTGTTGCCCAGGCTGGAGTGCAATGGCATGATCTCAGCTCACTGCAACCTCTGCCTCCCGGGTTCAAGTGATTCTCCTGCCTCAGCCTCCTGAGTAGGTGGGATTACAGGTGCCCACCACCATACCCAGTTAATGTTTTGATTTCAGGTAGAGACAGGGTTTCACCATGTTGGCCCTTGGCCTCCCAAAGTGCTGGGATTACAGGCATAAGCCACCACGCCCAGCCCTTTTACAATTTCATCCAACAAAAATAATCATAGTTATTTAAGCAGTTTCATTAAATAAATCCACAAAGGTGACAAACATCAAGACAAAGCACATGTAGACAAAAAATCCAGTGTCAAGTCAGCATTAAATGTCTAATTAACAATTGGACAAAAACTTCTAATATTTGAATTCATTTTACTGTTTACTGTAAATAGTAAAAATAACATAAAGAAAAATAATATAAATAAAAACTATGATTCAGAAAAAAATGGCTAGTTGCAGTTGCTCATACCTGTAATCCCAGCACTTTGAGAGGCCAAAGTGGTAGGATTCCTTGAACCCAGGAGTTTGAGACCAGCTTAGGCAACACATATGAAGAGTTCATCTCATTTGGCCGGGCACGGTGGCTCACGCTTGTAATCCCAGCACTTTGGGAGGCTGAGGCGGGTGGATCACGAGGTCAGGAGATTGAGACCATCCTGGTTAACACGGTGAAACCCCGTCTCTACTAAGAATACAAAGCATTAGCCAGGCGTGGTGGCAGGTGCCTGTAGTCCCAGCTACTCGGGAGACTGAGGCAGGAGAATAGCTTGAACCCAGGAGGTAGAGGTTGTGCTGAGCCGAGATCGTGCCACTGTACTCCAGCAACAGAGTGAGACTCTGCCTCAACAACAACAACAAAAAAGGTTGCAACAGAAACTGGAATGGGTCCGGAATCAAATTGGATCTGACAATTAACTGGCTTGGATCCAGTTAGAGGCCTTGGATGTTTAACTTGGATCAGATAGAAACTGGCAATAAATGGCAATACTGCAAGTGTACAATCTTTGGCTTTCAGAAATTCATAGGAATTTTTGTGTTCTGTCCCATTTGTTTCTTTTTCTTGTGTGCTTAGGTAGAGAAAAATCGCTGGCTAAGTTGTTCAAGAGGATCTGAGAGCCAAAGCCAAGATTCAATGTAAAAATGAGATCCTTAATTTCTGAATAACTGAGTGCTCCATTTTCCAGCTATGCCTACCTATACGTGAATAAGTATTACGACCTGGAAGCAGCAAACGCTTATAGAAATGGTAAAATCTTACTAAAGGTAATTTAAAGTTATAGTGGGACATTCCAAATGAACAACATTGCACTTTAAGAAGTGCATTTAAAAATGAGGGCTTCCACATTCCCTTTGAAAACTGGCACAAGACAGGGATGCCCTCTCTCACCACTCCTGTTCAACATAGTGTTGGAAGTTCTGGCCAGGGCAATTAGGCAGGAGAAGGAAATAAAGGGTATTCAATTAGGAAAAGAGGAAGTCAAATTGTCCCTGTTTGCAGACGACATGATTGTATATCTAGAAAACCCCATTGTCTCAGCCCAAAATCTCCTTAAGCTGATAAGCAACTTCAGCAAAGTCTCAGGATACAAAATCAACGTACAAAAATCACAAGCATTCTTATACACTAACAATAGACAAACAGAGAGCCAAATCATGAGTGAACTCCCATTCACAATTGCTTCAAAGAGAATAAAATACCTAGGAATCCAACTTACAAGGGATGTGAAGGACCTCTTCAAGGAGAACTACAAACCACTGCTCAAGGAAATAAAAGAGGATACAAACAAATGGAAGAACATTCCATGCTCATGGGTAGGAAGAATCAATATCGTGAAAATGGCCATACTGCCCAAGGTAATTTACAGATTCAATGCCATCCCCATCAAGCTACCAATGCCTTTCTTCACAGAATTGGAAAAAACTACTTTAAAGTTCATATGGAACCAAAAAAGAGCCCGCATCGCCAAGTCAATCCTAAGCCAAAAGAACAAAGCTGGAGGCATCACACTACCTGACTTCAAACTATACTACAAGGCTACAGTAACCAAAACAGCATGGTACTGGTACCAAAACAGAGATATAGATCAATGGAACAGAACAGAGCCCTCAGAAGTAACACCGTATATCTACAACTATCTGATCTTTGACAAACCTGAGAAAAACAAGCAATGGGGAAAGGATTCCCTATTTAATAAATGGTGCTGGGAAACCTGGCTAGCCATATGTAGAAAGCTGAAACTGGATCCCTTCCTTACACCTTATACAAAAATCAATTCAAGATGGATTAAAGACTTAAACGTTAGACCTAAAACCATAAAAACCCTAGAAGAAAACCTAGGCATTACCATTCAGGACATAGGCATGGGCAAGGACTTCATGTCTAAAACACCAAAAGCAATGGCAACAAAAGCCAAAATTGACAAATGGGATCTAATTAAACTAAAGAGCTTCTGCACAGCAAAAGAAACTACCATCAGAGTGAACAGGCAACCTACAGAATGGGAGAAAATTTTCGCAACCTACTCATCTGACAAAGGGCTAATATCCAGAATCTACAATGAACTCAAACAAATTTACAAGAAAAAAACAAACAACCCCATCAAAAAGTGGGCGAAGGACATGAACAGACACTTCTCAAAAGAAGACATTTATGCAGCCAAAAAACACATGAAAAAATGCTCATCATCACTGGCCATCAGAGAAATGCAAATCAAAACCACAATGAGATACCATCTCACACCAGTTAGAATGGCAATCATTAAAAAGTCAGGAAACGACAGGTGCTGGAGAGGATGTGGAGAAATAGGAACACTTTTACACTGTTGGTGGGACTGTAAACTAGTTCAACCATTGTGGAAGTCAGTGTGGCGATTCCTCAGGGATCTAGAACTAGAAATACCATTTGACCCAGCCATCCCATTACTGGGTATATACCCAAAGGACTATAAATCATGCTGCTATAAAGACACATGCACACATATGTTTGTTGCGGCATTATTCACAATAGCAAAGACTTGGAACCAACCCAAATGTCCAACAATGATAGACTGGATTAAGAAAATGTGGCACATATACACCATGGAATACTATGCAGCCATAAAAAATGATGAGTTCATGTCCTTTGTAGGGACATGGATGAAATTGGAAAACATCATTCTCAGTAAACTATCGCAAGAACAAAAAACCAAACACCACATATTCTCACTCATAGGTGGAATTGAACAATGAGAACACATGGACACAGGAAGGGGAATATCACACTGGGGACTGTTGTGGGGTGGGGGGAGGGGGGAGGGATAGCATTGGGAGATATACCTAATGCTAAATGACGAGTTAGTGGGTGCAGTGCACCAGCATGGCACATGTATACATATGTAACTAACCTGCACAATGTGCACATGTACCCTAAAACTTAAAGTAAAATAAAAAATAAAAAAAATAAAAAAAAAATGAGGGCTTCCAATTTAATCTCATTCAGGGATGTCTATTGATGTGCAGAAGTTTTGAAAAAGATTTCAGGCTGGGCATGGTCACTCACACCTGTAATCCCAGCACTTTGGGAGGCCAAGGTGGGCAGATCACCTGAGGTCAGGAAGTCGAGAACAGCCTGGCCAACATGGCAAAACCCCACCTCTAATAAAACTAAAAAAATTAGCCAGGCATGGTGGTGGACACCTGTAGTCTCAGCTTCTCGGGAGGGTGAGGCAGGAGAATCGCTTCAACCTGGAAGGTGGAGGCTGCAGTGAGCTGAGATCAAGCCACTGCACTCCAGCCTGGGCAACAGAGCAAGACTCCATCTCTAAATAAATAAAAGGGCCGGGCACGGTGGCTCACGCCTGTAATCCCAGCACTTTGAGAGGCCAAGGTGGGCAGATCATATGAGGTCAGGAGTTTGAGACCAGCCTGGCCAACATGGTGAAACCCCATCTCTACTAAAAATACAAAAATTAGCTGGGCATGGTGGTGGGTGCCTGTAATCCCAGCTACTCGGGAGGCTGGGGCAGAAGAATCACTTGAACTTGGGAGGTGGAGTTTGCAGTGAGCCGACTTGCACCATTGCACTCCAGCCTGGGCAACAAGAGTGAAACTCCATCTCAAAAAAATAAATAAATAAAATTACATAACAAGTCTTACCTTTGTTCACTGCCATCTTGTTTTAACTGGGTCTTCACATTCTTCTTCCTTGGTTTGGGCAAATGATGCTACAGTATTTAGATCTGAAGTCTCAGCTTGATGCTTTTTTTTTTTTGAGACACAGTCTTGCTCTGTCACCCTTTCTGTAGTGCAGTGATGCAATCTCAGCTCACTGCAACCTCTGCCTCCTGGATTCATATGATTCTTGTGCCTCAGCCTCCCACGTAGCTGGGATTACAGGCATACATCACCACGCCCAGCTAAATTTTTGTATTTTTAGTAAAGATGGGATTCGCCATGTTGGTCAGGCTGCTCTCAAACTTCTGGCTTCAAGTGATCTACCAGCCTTGGCCTCCCAAAGTGCTGGGATTACAGGCATGAGCCACCACCCCCAACTAGCTCTGTGCTTTTGAGATATAAATTTTCTACCTTGTTCCACCTAAGAGTCATCCCTTTAGACATGCAAGTTTAGGGCTGCTTAGCTAACAATTGTTTAGGGCATTGAAATAGGTAATTGAAAGACTGATAGTTTGAATGGGGAAAAGAAAAACTACTTGAAAGCTGGCAAATGAGTATTTGTTAAGGAAGTTATAAGTTCTGCTTCTGTCTGTGTGTCTCTATGTCTATATGTGCTGTGCATATGTGATAATATTTGGTAAATAAAGCTAGTTTTTAAATTATTAGTAAAATGAAATTGGAAGGCCGGATGTGGTGGTTCACACTTGTAATCTCAGCATTTTGGGAGGCTGAAGTGGGCAGATTGCTTGAGTCCAGGCGTTCAAGACCAGCCTGGGCAATATGGCAAAACTCTGTCTCTGTAAAAAATACAAAAATTAGCCAAGCATGGTGGTATGTGCCTGTAGTCCCAGCTATTCAGGAGGCTGAGGTGGAAGAATCACCTGAGTCTGGGGAGGTTGAGGCTGCAGTGAGCCATGATCACTCCACTGCATAACATCCTGGGCAACAGAGTGAGACTCTATCTCCAGAAGAAAGAAAGAAAGGGAAGGGAAGGGGAGGGGACGGGAGGGGAGGGGAGGGGAAGGGAAGGGAGGAGGGAGGGAGGAAGGAAGGAAGGAAGGAAGGAAGGAAGGAAGGAAGGAAGGAAGGAAGGCAGGCAGGCAGGCAAGAAAATTGGAAAGGCTCCTCCTCTCCCTCTCCCTCCTCTCCCTCTCCCTCCTCTCCCTCTCCCTCTCCCTCTCCCTCTCCCCACGGTCTCCCTCTCCCCACGGTCTCCCTCTCCCTCTCTTTCCACGGTCTCCCCCTGATGCTGAGCCAAAGCTGGACTGTACTGCTGCCATCTCGGCTCACTGCAAACTCCCTGCCTGATTCTCCTGCCTCAGCCTGCCGAGTGCCTGCGATTGCAGGCGTGCGCCGCCACGCCTGACTGGTTTTCGTATTTTTTTGGTGGAGACGGGGTTTCGCTGTGTTGGCCGGGCTGGTCTCCAGCTCCTAACCGCAAGTGATCCGCCAGCCTCGGCCTCCCGAGGTGCCGGGATGGCAGACGGAGTCGCGTTCACTCAGTGCTCAATGGTGCCCAGGCTGGAGTGCAGTGGCGTGATCTCGGCTGGCTACAACCTCCACTTCCCAGCTGCCTGCCTTGGCCCCGCAAAGTGCCGAGATTGCAGCCTCTGCCCGGCCGCCACCCCGTCTGGGAAGTGAGGAGCGTCTCTGCCTGGCCGCCCATCGTCTGGGATGTGAGGAGCCCCTCTGCCTGGCTGCCCAGTCTGGAAAGTAAGGAGCGTCTCTGCCCGGCCGCCATCCCATCTAGGAAGTGAGGAGCGTCTCTGCCAGGCCGCCCATCGTCTGAGATGTGGGGAGCGCCTCTGCCCTGCCGCCCCGTCTGGGATGTGAGGAGCGTCTCTGCCTGGCCGCCCCGTCTGAGAAGTGAGGAGACCCTCTGCCTGGCAACCACCCCGTCTGAGAAGTGAGGAGCCCCTCCGCCTGGCAGCCACACCCTCTGAGAAGTGAGGAGCGTCTCCGCCTGGCAGCCACCCCGTCTGGGAGGGAGGTGGGGGGGTTAGCCCCCCGCCCGGCCAGCCGCCCCATCCAGGAGGGAGGTGGGGGGGTCATCCCCCTGCCCGGCCAGCTGCCCGTCCGGGAGGGAGGTGGGGGGGTCAGCCCCCCGCTCGGCCAGCTGCCCTGTCGGGGAGGTGAGGGGCGCCTCTGCCCGGCCGCCCCTACTGGGAAGTGAGGAGCCCCTCTGCCTGGCCAGCCGCCCCATCCGGGAAGGATGTGGGGGGGTCAGCCCCCCGCCCGGCCAGCCGCCCCATCCGGGAGGTGAGGGGCGCCTTTGCCCGGCTGCCCCTACTGGGAAGAGAGGAGCCCCTCTGCCGGGCCAGCCGCCCCGTCCGGGAGGGAGGTGGGAGAGTCAGCCCCTGGCCCGGCCAGACGCCCCATCCGGGAGGGAGGCAGGGAGGTCAGCCCCCCGCCCGGCCAGCCGCCCTGTCCGGGAGGAGGCGGGGGGGTCAGCCCCCCGCCCGGCCAGCCGCCCCGTCCGGGAGGTGAGGGGCGCCTCTGCCCGGCCGCCCCTACTGGGAAGAGAGGAGCCCCTCTGCCCGGCCAGCCACCCCATCCGGGAGGGAGGCAGGGGGGTCAGCCCCCCGCCCGGCCAGCCACCCCGTCCAGGAGGTGAGGGGCGCCTCTGCCCGGCCGCCCCTACTGGGAAGTGAGGAGCCCCTCTGCCCGGCCACCACCCCGTCTGGGAGGTGTACTCAACAGCTCATTGAGAACGGGCCATGATGACAATGGCGGTTTTGTGGAATAGAAAGGGGGGAAAGGTGGGGAAAAGATTGAGAAATCGGATGGTTGCCATGTCTGTGTAGAAAGAGGTAGACATGGGAGACTTTTCATTTTGTTCTGTATAAGAAAAATTCTTCTGCCTTGGGATCCTGTTGATCTGTGACCTTACCCCCAACCCTGTGCTCTCTGAAACATGTGCTGTGTCCACTCAGGGTTGAATGGATTAAGGGTAGTGCAAGATGTGCTTTGTTAAACAGATGCTTGAAGGCAGCATGCTCGTTAAGAGTCATCACCACTCCCTAATCTCAAGTACCCAGGGACACAAACACTGCGGAAGGCCGCAGGGTCCTCTGCCTAGGAAAACCAGAGACCTTTGTTCACTTATCTGCTGACCTTCCCTCCACTATTGTCCTGTGACCCTGCCAAATCCCCCTCTGCGAGAAACACCCAAGAATGATCAATTAAAAAAAAAAAAAAAAGAAAGAAAGTTGGAAAGGCTTCAGGATTGTCAGTTAAATCTAATTGTTTTTGCCTGGGTCTACTGACAGACAGGTTTACATCGTCTCTATTACCTTTTTTTTTTTTTTTTTTTTAATTTGTTTTTTGTTTTTGAGCTGGAGTTCTGCTCTCATTGCCCAGGCTGGAGTGCAGTGGTGAGATCTCAGCTCACCACAACTTCCGTCTCCCAGGTTCAAGTGATTCTCCTGCCTCAGCCTTCCGAATAGCTAAACTACACATGTATGCCACCATACTTGGCTAATTTTTGTATTTGTAGTAGAAACAGGATTTCACCATGTTGGCCAGGCTGGTCTCGAACTCCTGACCTCAAGTGATCTGCCCACCTTGGCCTCCCAAAGTGCTGGGATTACAGGCATGGGCCACCGTGCCCAGCCTATTACATGTTTTAAGGTCATAAAACTGCTACTTCTGGAATATTTCTTAAACTTGCTTGATTTGTCTAAATTGAGCTAAAGCTGTAAGGTCTGGCTGCTGGGCTCCCTGAAACCTTGCACATATCTTACTGTATGACTGTATTTCGTTTTGAGTCTCTGGATTCTGGGGTTTGGACAGATGACCATAGTGAGGCCTGCAGAAATATGCATGTCCTCAGTGTTTGGACTGCCAGCTGCAAGGCAGAGCCAAACCCAATATGGCCCCATCATCCCTGGCTCAGCTGTGCTACCTGGCCATGCTGGAAGGGGTTTGATCTTCCAGGAATTTGCTTCACAGCTCTTTCCTGTCCCAAGATCTATGCCTGATGTGTAAATTCAGGACCCAAAAGGGCACAAAAAAGCAATAACTACTAAATATAAGGAAAACAACTCTGTATACAGCATGTATAAAGAAAAGCAAGATGTATTTGGGGAGATAAAAGTTGTAAAGGCATTAAGATGTGTGTTTGTTGAGAAAAAATAAATTTGTGCATTTAAGAAGTTACTTAAAAGTTGTTTTTTTGTTTGTTTGTTTGTTTGTTTGTTTTTTGAGACAGGGTCTCACTCTGACACCCAGTCTAGAGTGCAGTGGAGCAATCATGGCTGACTGCAGCCTTGACCTGACAGGCCCAAGCAATCCTCTCACCTCAGCCTCTTGAGTATCTGGACTACAGGTGTGTGCTGCCAACCCAGCTGATTTTCTTTTTCTTTTTTCTTTTTTTTTTTTTTTGAGATGGAGTTTTGCTCTTGTTGCCCAGTCTAGAGTGCAATGGTGTGATCTCAACTCACCACAACCTGCACCTCCTGGGCTCAAGTGACTCTCCTGCCTCAGCCTCCCAAGTGGGATTACAGGCATGCGCCACCATGCCCAGCTAATTTTGTATTTTTTAATAGAGACGAGGTTTCTCCATGTTGGTTAGGCTGGTCTTGAACTCTCGACTTTAGGTGATCCACCTACCTCAGCCTCCCAAAGTGCTGGGATTACAGGCGTGAGCCACCGTGCCTGGCTTACCCAGCTGATTTTCAAACTTTTTTTGTAAAGATGGGGTCTCACAATGTTTCCCAGGCTGATCTCAAATTCCTGGGCTCAAGTGATCCTCCTACCTCAGCCTCCCAAAGTGCTGGGGTTACAGGCATGAGCCACTGTGCCCAGCCTTAAAGGTTGTTTTTAAATGAAGAAAAAAGATATCAATAACATTAAATGAATGTAGAAAGTTGGGAAGAGAAAGAGAATAGAAAAAAATGTGTAAGAGATTATAAAATGTTTATGAAAATCTTGTGGGTCAAAAGCTGACTGAAACTGGATGGATTTATTTATAAGCTTTTAATTATTTATTTATTTTTAGAAAACTGATGTTTATTTTCCATGAACCTTATTTCCACATTGCTTAAGAGACTGTGGAAGAATAGCTTAAGCCCACTCAGTGGTTGTTCCTACCCATTTAGTGGCCTGTGCAGTGGGAGCTGCCTACCAGTCTTTTGTGGAAGGCTGAGCACTCCAGTCTTCAGTAGGAACCTGCTAAACAGGCACAGAGGGCACCTGCATGCCTTCAGACCAGTGTGCAACTTCAGGCTGAGCAGCGGTGAATACAGGAGGTGGAGCAGTCTATTTACTCTGAAGTTCCTTCTTGATCACAGCTTTTTCAGCAGCTCTTCCTTCTCAATCTTCCTTCTCAATCTCTTCAGGATCTCTATAGAATTAGAGATCAGGTATAACCTCCCTTGGGTGTCCAATGGAGATGGTGCCACGCATGCTCAGAACTTCCCAGGCCAGCCTCCACCACATCAGACCCACTGAATGAGCTCTCTTCTTGTTGCATGTAATGGCAATGTCCATACAGTGCAGAGGAGAATCTGTGTTACACAGAGCTATGGTAGGCAGGTTAACATAAAAGGCCTATGTAGGAGGCCAGTGGTCAGCCCTGGGACCAGTAACCACCAGAAGACATGGCCCCCAGGAGGCTGTCTGGATCTGGTTAGTGTAAGTTCCAGGAATGAAACAGCCAGCAATAGGAGTGGCTCCAATGGCAGCAGCAAACTTCAGCACAGCCAACCAGCTAGTATTCCTGGAGGATGATGCTGACATCAGCAGGGTTTTCAATAGCACAAGCTGCCAATAGAAGCTTCTCCAGATTTATGATGTCGATGCCATTACTTTTCCTTTTATAGATGTGCTGTTCCATTTGGAAGTCAAGGTTGGTGCTACCTAAGTGGCTTCCTGCTGCAAGGAACTTGAGGACACCCTCCTCCTTAATTTCCAGAACATCAGTGCTCCAAATATCGTAAAAGTTTCCCTTTAAGTTATGACAGGGCTGGACACAGTGTTTCATGCCTGTGATCCCGGCACTTTGAGAGGCTGAGGTGTGAGGATTGCTCAAACCCAGGAGTTTGAGACCAGCCCTGGCAACACAGTGAGACCCTATCTCTATTTTAAATAAATAAATAAAAAGTTGGCCAGGCGCGGTGGCTCACGCCTATAATCTCAGCACTTTGGGAGGCCAAGGCGGGCAGATCACCTGAGGTTGGGAGTTCAAGACCAGCTTGACCAACATGGAGAAACCCCATCTCTACTAAAAATACAAAAATTAGCCAGGTGTGGTGGCGCATTCCTGTAATCCCAGCTACTCAGGAGGCTGAGGCAGGAGAATCGCTTGAACCCGAGAGGCGGAGGTTGCGGTGAGCCGAGATCGTGCCATTGCACTCCAGCTTGGGCAACAAGAGTGAAACTCGGTCTCAAAAAAAAAAAAGTTATGATGGGAATCCAGAACAATGGATCTATGGACCCTTCTCTAAGAAGTGAGGAAAGGTAAGGTTTCATTAAAGTTAGCTTTAGTATTGATAATACACTATATGGAACTAAAATTTGATTTTCTCTTTTGAGTAAGAATTTTGTATAGTTTGTTTTTTTTTTTTTTACAGAGTCTTGCTCTGTTGCCAAGGCTGGAGTGCCATGGCATGATCTCAGCTCACTGCAACCTGCACCCCCTGGGTTCAAGCGATTCTCCTGCCTCAGTCTCCCAAGTAGCTGGGATTACAGGCATGCACCACCATGCTCAGCTAATTTTTGGTAGAGATGGGGTTTCACCACATTGGCCAGGCTGGTCTTGAACTCCTGACCTCAAGTGATCTGCCTGCCTCGGCCTCCCAAAGTGCTGGGATTACAGGTGTGAGCCACCAAACCCAGCCTGTGTAGGATTAATAAGAGATAGTAAAATATTTTTGTTTATCTTTGAGTAAACTGCAAAAAAAAAAAAAAAAAAAGGAAGAGAAGAGACAGATTCTATCTCAGGCTGTCTTTATTAGGTCTTTTGATTGTTAGAAAAACAGACTTTTCTATCAAAGAATAAAGGTTTTTGCTTTTTAAAACCTTTTAATTATCACTTTGGCTAAATAAATATTATTTTACAGTGATCTGTGATCCTATTTTTGTTGCTTGTTTGTTTGTTTTTGAGATGGAGTCTCACTCTGTCGCCCAGACTGGAGTGCAGTGGCAAGAACTCAGCTTACTGCAAACTGCCTCCCAGGCTCAGCTATTCTCCCACCTCAGCCTCCCAAGTATCTGGGATTACAGGCACTCACCACCACACCTAGCTAATTTTTGTATTTTTAGTAGAGATGAGTTTTCACCATGTTGGCCAGGCTGGTCTCGAACTCCCCCTCAGCCTCCCAAAGTGCTTGGATTACAGGCGTAATCCACCATGCCCAGCCTCCTATTTTGGTTGTTTTAAATTTTTGACAGGCTTCTCAAAATCAAATTTTAAATTCAAAATTAAGTCTTTTAGGCCACAAACTAACTTTGCAATGCTACAGGAGGCCCCTGCAGCATCCAAAAGAGAGACAATAAGCAGGCTTATTTAATATTTTAAGTGACATGGGAAGCATTGTCAAATAAGAAATGATGTTTAACTTTCTTTTTTTGTTGTTTTGCTTTTCTGCTTTTTTGAGATTGAGTTTTGCTCTTGTTGCCCAGGCTGGAGTGCAATGACACAATCTCGGCTCCCTGCAACCTCCACCTCCCAAGTTCAAGCAATTCTCCTGCCTCAGCCTCCTGAGTGGCTGGGATTACAGGCATGCACCACCACACCTGGCTAATTTTGTATTTTTAGTAGAGATGGGGTTTCTCCATGTTGGTCAGGCTGGTCTCGAACTCCCGACCTCAGGTGATCCGCCTTCCTCAGCCTCCCAAAGTGCTGGGATTACAGGTGTGAGCCACCGTGCCTGGCCTGATGTTTAACTTTCAAATTACATTTTGGATATGTTATTAATGTATGTTCCAAAATTGGCTGGGCACAGTGGCTCATGCCTGTAATCCCAGCACTTTGGGAGGCGAAGGCAAGAGGATCCTTGAGCCCAGGAGATTGAAATCAGACTGGGCAACATAGGAATCTCTTCTCTACAAAAATAAAAAATTTAGCCAAGTATGTTGGCATGCCCTGTGGTCCCAGCTACTCTGAAGGCTAAGGCAGGGGGATTGCCTGAGCCCAGGAGGTCAAGGCTGAGCCATGATCATGCCACTGCACTCCAGTGTGGGCGACAGAGCAAGATCCTGTCTCAAACAAACAAAAAAAAAACAAAAAAAACAAGGCATGGTGTGGTGGCTCATGCCTGTAATCCCAGCACTTTGGGAGGCTGAGGTGGGTGGATTGCCAGAGGTCAGGAGTTTGAGACCAGACTTGCCAACATGGTGAAAACCCATCTCTACTAAAAATACAAAAAAAAGTAGCTGAGCATGGTGGCGGGCACCTGTAATCCCAGCTACTAGGGAGGCTGAGGCAGGAGAATAGCTTGAACCTGGGAGATGGAGGTTTCAGTGAGCCAAGATCGCACCATTGCACTCCAGCCTGGGCAACAAGAGCAAAACTTAGTCTCAAAAACAAACAAACAAACAAACAAAAACAAAATAAGACTGTATGAGATTCCTAAAATTCTGATATGTCTTGGTATAAGTCACAGTTATGGCTATTATGTTAAATTATTACAGTCCACAGAAATAACCAAATTTCCTTGTCAATTGGGTCTTTAACTATGACGATTTTAAATTGTTTCCACAGTTAATTACTTAATTCTGATGCATTTTCTGAAAGCTCTTTACGAGCAAGTAAAATCATAGAGTGTTGTGTCTTCAAGGAGGTTCATGGAAAGAATATAAAGGACCCTGACAAGCACATCTTTTTTTTTTTAAAGACAGAGTCTCATTCTGTCACCCAGGCTGGAGTGCAATAGCATGATCTCGGCTCATTGAAACCTCTGCTTCCTAAGTAGCTGGGACGACAGGCATGTGCCACCATGCCCAGCTAATTTTTGTATTTTTTTGTAGAGACAGGATTTTACCATGTTGCCCATGCTGGTCTTGAACTCCTGGACTCAAGTGATCTGCCCGCCTCAGATTCCCAAAGTGATGGGATTACAGGTGTGAGCCACCATGACCGGCCATTGCCAGATTTTCATGCTAAATCAGCCAGTACTGAAATTGTTAGGATATGCAGTTTGAATGAACTCCATGGTCCAAGTCAGATTACCTGTGATAACCCAGTTTTTACCTATTTATTTATTTTGAGACAAGGTCTGGCTCTATCACCCAGGCTGGAGTGCAGTGGTGCAATCTCGTTTCACTGTAACCTCCTTCGCCACCCCTTCCCCATCCCCCACCTAAGCCCCGCAAGTAGCTGAGACTACAGACATGCACCACCACACCTGGCTGGTTTTTGTATTTTTTGTAGAGATGGGGTTTCACCATGTTGCCCAGGCTGGTCTTGATCTGTGAACTCAAAGATCCATCTGTCTTGGCCTCCCAAAGTGCTGGGATTACAGGTGTGAGCCACTGCACCAGGCCAACCCAGTTATTAAACAGTACTATTCACCTGAATTGGAAAAACAAAATTGGTATTGAAGAAGATATACATCCAATGTTAAGCATAAACTCATGGAGAGCCTGGACAGCTGCCTCATCCTTCCTGAATCCTTAAAGCTTCCACTCTTAGAAGCTCTGTACTCCATGACACATTATGGTAGAGATTAAATGATCCAAATAGAAAATGTGTGTGTGTGTGTGTGTGTGTGTGTGGTGTGACCGTTTTAAATTGCTAAAATGGTTTTTGACCAATGCTTAGTTTGTCAAATCCATAATCCTGGGGAAACAATAAAAACTTCAGGTACACTTCTGCTACCTGATTGGCCATTTGAACATTTATAGAGGGAGTTCATTCAATTGTCATTCGGAATGCATATTTTCTGGTTGTATAGAAGCTTTCCCACGAAAGAAGTCTGATGATATAACAGTAGCTAAAAGTTTATTAGGAAGTGTGTTTTTTTCAGGGGGCATTCCTGGAGAAATCTCCAGTGATAAATGTATTTGTTTCATTGAACAAATTGTAAAACAGTTAAATAAGAAACTACAGACAAAATAGTACTAGGCAAAGCTAAGTAAATCAACTGGATTGTCTTGGTCAAAGGTATTGCAGATTGATGACAATTAGATCCACTTTCAGCAGAAAACATCAGTTGACCCTTTATAAAACAGTCACTGGAAGGCCTATGCCCCTAATAATAGAAACTCATGACTAGGCGCTGTGGCTCACGCCTGTAACCCCAGCACTTTGGGAGGCCGAGGCGGGTGGATCACCTGAGGTCAGGAGTTCCAAGCCAGTCTGGCTAACATGGTGAAACCCCGTCTCTACAAAAATACAAAAATTAGCCAGGCATGGTGGTGCATGTCTGTAATCCCAGCTGCTCGAGAGGCTGAGGCAGGAGAATCCCGTGAACCCGGGATGTGGAGGTTGCAGTGAGCTAAGACTGAGCCACTGCACTCCAGCCTGGGTGACAGAGCGAGACTCTGTCACACACACAATAAAACCACACACACACACAAACAAAACAAAACAAAACAAAAACTCATGTATCTTCTGCTCCTAAACTTTGATATGGCTAACTGTGGCTTTAATGCATTATGCCAAAGTGCATTTTCACCAGGTAAGGAAGGTTTTCATGATCCACTGACTGAGGACAATTAAATCCTTCATGATCAAGAACATAGAGATTGGGTCTTCTAGAAACAACACACCTTGCCACCCACACTGCAGCAAAACTTTAGGACTTTGAACCTTGGGTCTGTAATCTCACAACTCAGAAGGGCCCCTCCAGACTCTTAGAACTGTATATCTGTTGGAGACCTCAAGATAAAGCTAACCAGGGAAGTTTCTCACCAGAAGCAGATGGAATCCTAGATGTGGAAAGCTTTCTCAAGATGACAGATCAAGACTTCTTTGCCATCATGAGACTCTTACCTCTCTTAATTTTTTCCTCGCTTATGCCTTTATGAAGACTAGAACTAGAAAAAGTCTTGTGTGGACCCATGGGGTATACTTTTATTTGTGGAGGATTTCACCGCTAACCTTATGCATGAGCAACCTTATGCCTTGATGGATAGAAGATGAAGGGCCAAAGTGGGTGAGGAATTTTCACGGTACCTTTGTAGCTCCATAATCAGTCAGAAACAGAACATTGGTCTATTTCTTTTAACCTACATTATAGGTTGAAGCAAACGTTGCCAGGAGGCCTTCACCCTTCTGAATGGGCATAATTCGTTAGGTTGCTTTTTCCATGATTTGGGGTAAATGAGGCAATGATTAGAAATTTGTCCCTCATAGTAGACTCTATAGCAGATTCAACTATAAACACTATGCTAAAGACTTCTTTAAACTTTTTGCTAAAGTTGTGCTACATAATAGAACTGCTCTAGGCTACTTACTGGCTGAACAGAGAAGAATCTGTGCAGTTGCTGACTACATATATATATATATATATACATACACACACACACACACACACACAGAGAGAGAGAGAGAGAGAGAGAGAGAGAGAGAGAGAGAGAGAGAGAGGAGAGAGAGAGAGACAGGATCTCACTACGTTGCCCGAGCTGGTTTCGAACTCCTGGGCTCAAACAATCCTCTTGCCTGGGCCTCCCAAAGTGCTGGGTTATAGGTGTAAGCCACCATGCCCAGCCAATTGCTGACACTTCTTGTTGCACATGGATGAATATGTCAGGTACTATAGAGATTCATTTGCAGGGGATTAAAAAACTGGCTGCTTGGTCGAAACTCGTAGACCATTTATCAAGCTTATTCTTTAATCTATTTAATTTTAGTTGGTTCAGTTCATGGGGACCCTGGCTAAGCAGCATACTCCAAACTCTTGGTATTGTCCTTCTGGTAGTCATAATAGTCATCTCCCTGGTGAAATATATCCTCTCAAAAATTGTAAATGTTTAATGCAGCCATGCATAGAATGTCAAATGGTCTCTCTTCAACTGGGATGACAAAATCTCAAAGAAATACATAATCATGAGGACACTATAACCTATGAAAGACATGTTGAGACCAGAAACCCAAAATGATCATAACTGAGAGTAGCAATTAGCGATGTTTTGGTCACACTCTCACTTAAGTGACAACATGATCAAAAGGGGAGAATTGTTCAACAAAATTATGGGAGGCCATTGTTTTGGACTGAACTCATGCACTAGGCCCCAACAGACTAGATTGGATCTAACCAAATGGAGTCAACTCATGCTAAATGCAGCACAATCAAACTAAAACTTTAAGGAAGCATATGGATCCCCAAAGAGACCAGATTTTTTTTCTCCAGAAAAGAGGGGATTATAGTATAATAAGGAAGTCGTCTCTGCTCTACCCTTTACAAAAAGGGAATCTAAATTCCTCGTTTCCACCTTATAAAACACAGTGTTCCACTATTTCTCAGTGGGATTTGAAACCAAGTAAGTCTATTTGCTATGGTGACAAAGTGACAGCAATACATAAAGTTTGGTCAACCTCTTCATTTTAAGAGGTTGACTAAAAGGAAGAAATTGTTCAATTAAGTTTAGCCTAAAGCTGCCTGCTTACATATTTTAAGTTTAGTCTGTAAACATATTAAACTGTAACCTAACTGGATGTGTAAACAGACAGTACCAATCACTGAGTTTTAGCAAATCACAGGTGGTCAACTGTTCAAACTATGTTCAAATAAAATAAACACCGATCTGTAACCAATATGGCTATTTCTATACATCACTTCCATTTTCTTTTTTAATTTTATTTATTTACTTATTTATCTATTTCGAGACGAAATCTTACTCTGTTGTCCAGGCTGGAGAGCAGTGGTGCAATCTTGGCTCACTGCAACCTCCACCTCCCAGGTTCAAGAGATTCTCTTGCCTTGGCCTCCTGAGTAGCTGGGATTACAGATGTGCGCCACCACACCCGGCTAATTTTTGTATTTTTAGTAGAGAAGGGGTTTCACCATCTGGCCAGCCTGGTCTCAAACTCCCGACCTCAAGTGATCCACCCACCTTGGCCTCCCAAACTGCTGGGATTACAGGCATAAGCCACCACGCCCAGCCTGACTTCCATTTTCTGTATGTCATTTTCCTTTTTTTGTTTTTGTTTTGTTTTGTTTTGTTTGAGACCAAGTCCTGCTCTATCATCCCCCAGACTGGAGTGCAGTGGGATGATCGTGGCTCACTGCAACCACCACCTCCTGGCCTCGAGTCATCCTCCCACCTCACCCTCCTGATTAGCCAGAACTATAGGTGCACACCACCACGCCTGGCTAATTTTTGTATTTTTTTGTAGAGACAGGGTTTCAACATACTGCCCAAGCTGGTCTTGAACTCCTGGGCTCAAATGATCCGCTCTCCTTGGCCTGCCAAAGTGCAGGGATTAGAGGCGTGAGTCACCACGCCCAGCCCATTTTCCTTTTCCTGTCCATAAATTCCTCTCTGACCACATGGCAGCATCAGAGTCCCTCTGGTTCAGGGAGTTACCGGATTCATGAATCATTCTTTGCTCAATTAAACTCTGTTAACTTTAATATGTCTAAAATTTTTCTGGCTGGGCATGGTGGCTCATGCCTGTAATCCCAGGCGGGTGGATCACCTGAGGTCAGAAGTTCAAGACCAGCCTGGCCAACATGGTGAAACCCTGTCTCTACTAAAAATACAAAAATCAGCTGGATATGGTGGTGGTGCCTGTAATTCCAGCTACTTAGGAGGCTGAGGCAAGAGAAACACTTGAACCCGGGAGGCGGGGGTTGCAGTGAGCCGAGATCGCGCCACTCCACTCCAGCCTGGGCGACAGAGGGAGACTCTGTCTCAAAAAAATAAATAAAATTTTCTTTTAACATGTGTAAGAGGCTGGGCGCCGTGGCTCATGCCTATAATCCCAGCACTTTGGGAGGCCAAGGCGAGTGGATCACCTGAGGTCAGGAGTTTGAGACCAGCCTGACCAGCATGGAGAAACCCCATCTCTATTAAAAATACAAAAATTAGCCAGGCGTGGTGGCAGGCGCCTGTAATCCCAGCTACTTGGGAGGCTGAGGCAGGAGAATCACTTGAACCCAAGAGGAGGAGGTTGCAGTGAGCCGAGATCGTGCCATTGCACTCCAGCCTGGGCAACAAAGCAAGACTCTATCTGAAAAAATAAAACAAAAACAAAACGTGTAAGAGGAAAGGTCTCATACTTACTAATATAAACGAATTGAGAACCAAATGCTCCATTCGCCTGTCCTGCTGCTCTGGAGATATCACCTCTCCCCTACTGCTTTTGAGGCCCAGGTTTTCAGTTATTCCCAGTCTTCTTTGTCCTGTCGTCCTTGCCTTCCCTCAAGCACTCATGACCAAAGAATAAGTAGGCCAAATAGATAACGTTCTTTAAAAAGAGTACAGAGTTCCTGACCTATTCATCTCCACTTTCCAAATACCTTTTGGCTTCAGCTTATCTCATTTTTGCAGCTTTAGCACCGAATGAAAACTGTGCATGAAGGAGCAGGCAGGTTCTCGCTTTGTGAAGCGTCTCCTTGTGCCTCGAGCTGGGGGAAGGGCTAGAATTGCAGTAACAGCAAGAGCACCCAAGAAATCGGTCTCAGTTTCCTTCCCCATTTTCAGAGGACAGTGGAGATCTCAAACAAAGCCAGCTAGGCACAGATTTCTTTAGAGCTTTGGGTTCTTTCCTCTACCAAACATTTTAAATTGTCATGTAAATTATACATTTGTCAGCTTTATCCTTTATGGCTTTTGGTTTTTCAGTCTTGCTTGGAAAGAAGTTTCCTAATCCCAAGACTTAGTTCTTCTTTATTTATTTCTGGTACTTTCATGTTGCTTAACTCTTCAATCCATTTGAAATTTATTCTGGGACTCTCCCCCAAATTAATGGCTTAATCCCTCTAATAGCATTTCTCCACTTCTTTGAAATGCCCCCTTTAAGAAGAAAATATTCTTCTATTCCCATAGTTGTTTCTGAATTGGATTCTGTTCCATTGATTTATTCCACTGATTCAGGGTCAGCACCACATTGTTTTTATTCTTATAGCTTCAAGGTATCTTTTGATATCTAAAAGGACATCCTCTTGTTTTTCTGATTTTCCAAATTTTTCTTGGTTGTTTTATACTTTAGTTTTGCAACCTAGAGCAAGTTATATAAGTCTGTGTCTATTTTCTCACCTGAAAAGGTTAAGATTGTGGGCTCTGCAGCCATATTGTCTGGGTACAAGTAAGGGTCCACCCAGGGAAACAGAGTCTTCTAGGTCTCTCTGGCAGAAGGAATTTAATACAGGGAATTGGCAGCACTGGAAATGGAAGGACTGAGAAGTCTAATGGAAGCACAAGACGCTACTATACAGGGAGTTACGTAGGAGGAGGTAGTGCAGCTAGAGCCCAGAGTGGGGGCCATCTGGTGGGATCTGAAACCCCATAGAGGCTGCCTGATGGGAGCTGAGATCATGGAGGGAGGGCCTGTAGAGTAGATGTGAGAGCCACCTAAGGACATAACTGTTGCCAGAGACACTACAGGAAGAAGAGAAAGAGAGAGAGATACCTTGGCTTCTCTCCACCTCCTCCCTCTCTCCCAGCTTTCCATTGGCTGAACCAACCTGGAAGCCAGAGAGCAAGGGAGCCTGGGAAACGCAGTTCTCTGTGATATAGCACAAAGGCTCAGAAAGGCAGAGAATTACTCCGAGAGGAAAAGGCAGTTGACCACAGCCGTTTATTAGTTGTGTGACCTTGAGGAAGTTAGTTAACCTCAGTTGCCTTAGCTTCCTCCTCCAAAAAGTGGAGATGAATAATAGTAGTACTTTCCTCACAAGGCCACTGCGAGGATTAAATGCATTAGTACGTGTTACATATTTTGTATTATTTAACTTAGTAAGTGTTATTTATTATTATTGTATAAAATGAAGATAGCAATACCTATCTTGCAGAGTACTATAAGATGTTTGCCGGCCAGGCGTGGTGGCTCATGCCTGTAGTCCCAACACTTTGTGAGGTCAAGACAGGAGGATCACTTGAGGCCAGGAGTTTAAGACTAGCCTGGGCAACACAGTGAGACCCAGTCCCTACAAACAAATTTAAAACTGGGGCAAGGGGGAGGGTTTCAAATTTAAAAAAATTTAAAATTAGCCTTGGCCGGGCATGGTGGCTCATGCCTCCCAGCTACCTGGGAGGCCGAGGCAGGCCAATCACCTGAGGTCGGAAGTTCGAGACCAGCTTGACCAATATGGAGAAACCTCATCTCTACTAAAACTACAAAATTAGCTGGGCATGGTGGTTCATGGCTGTAATCTCAGCTACTTGGGAGGCTGAGGCAGGAGAATCGCTTGAACCCGGGAGGTGGAGGTTGCAGTGAGCTGAGATCGCACCATTGCACTCCAGCCTGGGCAACAAGAGTGAAACTCCGTTTCAAAAAAAAAAAAATCAGCCATGCATGGTGATGCATGCCTGTAGTCCTAGTTACTCAGGAGGCTGAGATGGGAGGATCACTTGGGCCTAGGAGTTCGAGGCTGCTGTGAGCCCTGATTGCACCACTGCACTCCATCCTGGCTGCCCAAAAAGAAAGGTTTGCACCGTGTTGTGCACATAGTACTGGGTACTTCATAAATGTTAGTCCCCCTTGTAGCCCAGTGTGCTCACTAATATCTGTAGCCGATAATAACAATGGCTTTGACCTGGGGAGGAAGCAGCCTCCCCAGAGTAGGGAGGGACATTCTTCTTGCATTACCAGAGATCTAGGAGGACTCTGGAGGGCTGGGACTTCAGTAGTCCAGGCAGTGCACACCCCTACATCAGCCAATATGAACACACAGAGATGCATTTGGAGTAACATCTGCATTCTTTTCTGGACCTTCTCTTCTTGATCCCATTGGTGTCCCTTCTTTGATTTTAGCCTGATTTTTTTTTTTTTTTTTTTGGCTCATGCTGATAATTATCTGTTTTTGCACTCACATACATGCTGCCAACGTTCATGAGCATACAACTTCCTGTGCGCATTAAATACTTTACCACTTATTGCCCCAACTGATCCTCCCAACAAACCCCCTGATGCAGCCAGGGAAGCTTCACTATCCCCATTGAGCAGTAGCAGAAGCCAACACTTTGAGAGGACACGTGTCTGACCCAAAGGCCCACAGGGAGTAGGCTAAGTAGTCAGGACTTGGGACAAGGCCTTCTCACTCTAGCTCAGGACTCTTCCTGCTAATATCCCAGGCTGCCTCCACAGCATGTGTGAGTTAATGCACACACACACACTCACACTCACACTAATACACCCACCCCTAAACACACACATAATAGATTCAATATCTCTGAAGGAAGGGTTCATGCCTTATCAATTTCCTGCTACAGATAAACTACCTGGCAGCTGAAATATAATAAATGATTGTGGAATTGAGTTGACATTGACTGCTACACTGCACCCCCTTGGGGGACTAACAGGGAGCACACAGATGAGGACCACAGCCAGAGCCAGAGCCAGAGTCCAAGTCCATCTTGACAACTCAGAGAAGACTTTGGCCCTTGCTTCTGGCTCTGTCCACGCCCTTCGTAGCACCCACGGAGCAGAGGGGCCTGGTCACAGGG
The DNA here is from genome assembly GCF_000001405.40 of Homo sapiens. Classification (NCBI taxonomy): domain Eukaryota; kingdom Metazoa; phylum Chordata; class Mammalia; order Primates; family Hominidae; genus Homo; species Homo sapiens. The sequence goes on from NC_000002.12 coordinate 85,503,417, forward strand.
AGAGGCTGAGATGCCCAGAGAAATGGATCTGGCCACCTGAGCTGAGGCTTCTCTGAAGGTGAGTCTTCACCGACCCCGCCCTAGTAGTGGTGAATCGCGTGTCCTGCCCTGTTCTCTGCTGCCCCTGAGCAGTGTCTGAACCAGGGGCGCCTTTTAACGCCACAGATTCTGCCTCAGGGCGTGGAACACCTTCTTCTAGAGGGGCGCGTGAGAACTCTGGTAGGCAGGAGCTTGCTCTGAAACTACTGTGCTAGTCAACCAATTGCCTCAGCTGGCCACCCAGGGCCTGGCATCCACACTGGTCCCTGGCAAGCCGTTCTGCACAGAGGTTTTCACACACGTGGGTACGGAGCACTGGCAGGAAGTACGAGACATTAGAAATTAGAAGCCCAAGCTAATAACACAGATCACCATCGGGGCTTCACTTTTTGCCAGCCACTTCTACGTAAATATATCTGGTTCTACCCTTCACTCAGCCAAGGCATGGGCGCTACTGGCCTCTGACTCAGCGCTCTTCATTGGCCTCAGCTGTTAAACTTGCTCCCTTCTGATATTTTGCAGATGCTAAGCACTCAACTGGTTTGTTGTGGCTTTGCATCGTGCTCTTTCTCATAATCCTGAGATGAGAGGCCACTATGTCCTCTGGGTCTGCGGGACTTCTGGGGCAAGGGTGCGGGGCAGGCCCAGCACAGGTGTCCAGGGAGCTGCCCACACTGCCGCTGTGTGCTCTTGGGAGTCCTGTTGGCTGTTCCATTCTCCTCTCTGCCCACAGAGGTCACAGTGCCCTTGCGAGTAAGCAGGAGAAGGCAGAGTCATGAATTAGCAACTGGAAAGGATAAATGCCAAAGGCCTTGCTATGAAATCGAGGACCCCGCACCAGCTGCCCCGAGGTCCCTCTGGCTCATTTCCTCCTGTTCTCTCCTCACGTCACTCCTCATTTTTCCTGGAACATGCCAGGCCCACTCCTGCCCCAGGGCCTTTGCATCACATGCCATCCAGATAACCTGGTGCTCCCTTCCGGATTCCTGCTTAGCTTTTTGTTCTAATGTCTTTTTTCTTTTTATTTTTTATTTTTATTTTTTTGAATCGTGGTCTTGCTTTGTCACCCAAGCGAGGCTGCAGTGGTGTGATCATGGCTCACTGTGGCTTTGAATTCCTGACCTCAAGTGATCCTCCAGCCTTAGCCTACCAAAAGCTGGGATTACAGGCATATGCCACGGTGCCCAGCCCTAATGTTACTTACTCATTGAGGCCTTCCTTAGCTGCTGTCTCTACAATTGCAAGCCCCCACCCCTCCCCACCCCCCACCATCTGCTTTTTCCTTGGTGCCTCTCACCGTCTATCTTATCTCGTTAATGTTTGGTCTCCCCACCTCAGTGTTTTCATCTGTTTGCCTGCTGCTGCATCACCAGCACTGCAACAGTGCCTGACACATAGCATGTGCTCAGTGATATCTGTTATATGCATGAATGAGTGGGGCTGGACTGTGAGCTGATGAGGTTCTTGCCATGGCTAACTCCAGGCAGTCATGTCATTTGGCCCAGTTCCACTCCCTTCTGGGCCTGACTCAATTCATCTGGGTAATGAGGAGGGCACAGGAGCTGCTGCGTAAGCTGCCCTCCAGCAGTAATAATTGATGAGTCCAGGCAGTATCCACTTACCACGCCAAAGAGGTCCAAGCAGCAGGCAACAGGGGAAGGGAGGCAGGAAGCAGCTGCCAGGATGACTAATTGGGATCTCATGTCATTGGCTCCACGTGCCAATCCTTACAGACCTCAGCAAAGCTCAGGACTATTAGCTCCTGAGACTCATGCAGTCTCCTGGTCTGACCTGTCCCTCAGTGACACTCGAAAAATAACTCAGCCAGGCGTGATGGCACACGTCTCTATTTCCAGTTACTTGGGAGGCTGAGGTGGGAAGATCACTTATGCCCAGGAGGTTGAGGCTGCAGTGAGCCCTGATCACTCTGCTGCATTCCAGCCTGGGCAACAGAGCAAGATTCTGACTCAAAAAAAAGAAGAAAAAGAAAGAAAAAGAAAAAATAACTAATAACTTCATCTTACAGTGGTGACACGGAGACCTGGAGCAGGAATACAGAGATGTGCCAAACTTTGTACAGAAATTTTGCAAAACTAGATTCAGCTCTCATTCCACAAATACCAGGACCTCCCCTGCACCAGGCACTGTTCTAGGCAAGGACAGAGCAATGAAGAGGGGAAGCTCCTCACCTGTGTTTCCTCGTGAGGCCTGAAGCGCCTGCTTTCCCTTCCACCTCCTGCTCTCCAGCCTCTTAAGTCCCCTCACTCTGTGGTCAATCTAATTGGATAGAACCCTTTCATCTCAAAACCAAAACAACAGCGACCCATGCACACTCCTAGTAGACCAATGGGACTGTAGCACTGATTTCACCATATGCCCCTCCTGCATCCCAGGGACGTCAACTCTGCACTTCAGTCCAGCTTTCAGGAAACTCCAAATCTCTCCCCCATTCCCACCTCTTCCTGTCTATGGTCCCACTGTGAGCCGATAGAGTTCTCACCACGGCTGACACCAGGCAGCCATGTGGTTGGGGCCAGTCCCATTCCCTTCTGGGCCTGATTCAGTTCATCTGGCTAATGAGGAGGGCACATGAGCCTTCTGTGCCTGTTGGGCCGGCTGCCTCAGTGACCACTGCCAATTGTGTGTTCCCCTTATTCAGCACCTTCATACCTTCTTCCGGTTTTGCCCATCTGAGCTGAATCAATTCCTCCATCTTCACAGGGAGGTAGCCTTCTCTCAGTCCCCAAACCCTTGATAAGGGAACGCACCACCACCTCGCAGGCCTGCCTGACTTGAGTGCATCACAGTTCTCCACCTAATTATTTGTTGTCCCGGATTGTTTCATGTATGTATGTCTGATCTCTCCATAAGACTGTAAACTTACTGAGGGCAGAGATGACGCTTACCTTTCCATATCCTACATGCTTTAGCCTGGTGCCTACTCACTGGGCAATCCATCAGTGATGAGTTTACCTGGATTTACTAATTCGTGATATTTACAAAGAATACATTTGGGAAAATGTGTATTTGTTTACAGATGTTAAAAGGAAAACGTAAAATACAAGATTGTATGTACAGCTTGATAATCACAGTGTCAATTACGTGTTCATATGGGTAAAACTGGAAGGCAATTGGTAAAAATAAAGAGTAGTGTGAGGGCTGTTAGATTATGAGTGATTTGTTTAAATAATCTGTGAATATTGTTACTGCACTGTTTATGCATTTGAAAAGCCTTTTTTTTTTATCCTAACCAGTAGACCACCAGGGATAAAATGATTTTTAAAAATACATAGAGGGCTTTAAGAGTCATTGAAACATTCCACTCTTGGATGTAAGCTCATTAAGTCTTTCTTAGTCAGCAACTACTAGGGAATGGGAACAGGGTGGGTGGGGGGCTTGGCAGTCTTTTAGAGACTTTACTCACGGAATATTTATACACAAATAGCTGAGCAAAGGAGGAAAACTTCTCAAAGTTGATTTTTTTGCCTGCAAACGTTAATTCCGTGGGGAAAGGACAGAAAGATAAACAGTTTAAAATAACCAAATGAAATCATGTGAGCTTGTAAAGATTTTTTTTCTCTCTCTCTCAACAAGGATGGGATGTCCATGAAGTCCTCTCGGAGCTTCCCGGATTTTTTGTGCTCTGAAGCTCCAGCAGTGGGGAGCGGGGCTGAGAGAGGGAGATGGGTGATGTGGCGCCCATCCCTCCAGGCAAGGACTGCCCTGGCACAGCTTTCCTCTTGATTCCCTAACCGCTCTTTACATGTTTATTTTATCTCTATCAGACTATGGGCTCTCACAGATGAAGACCATACTCTTCCTGCAAAACACTCGGTCCCACAGCACATGTAATATCTAAGAGGAACCTGAGAGGTCACTGGTCTAATCCCCTCATCAGACAAAAGAGGACCAGACTCAGAGAGAGAGGCACGTGCCATAGCGACACAGCCAGTTTCTTTGGAGGCCTGGTCTCAGCTCTGGACTGCTCAAGCCTATCCTTGACAGTGGCACTGCTCAGCCTGGACATTTAGAGTGTCCTTCTGATACAAATGTATTGAGTCTCTGCCCCTGAGCTAGAAAGATGGCAAAACAAAGATAAGAAAAGGCCAAAAAACCAAGCTCCCTAACATTAAGGATATTATAATTCAGAGGGAAAGATAGGGCACTCTCACAGACAACTAGAATACAAGCAGAAAGTGAGGATGAGTTGCAAGAGGCATACACCTAGTTGGGAAAGAGCCTGCTGGGGAGATGGACCAAAAAGGGCTCCACTGGGATTAAGCCAGCCCTTGAATGGGGATCAAAATAATGCAAATGAAGTCAGAGGCACTGAATCAGTTCATTTATTTAACAAACACTGACTACCATGTGCCAAACAAGGATCTAGATACTCAGGAAACACATCTCTACTAGCCTCATGGAGCTTACATTCAAAGAAGGGTAGGGGACAGGCACTAAACAAAATATATAAGTAAAAGTAGGTTAGATAGGCTGGTGGGAATGTAAAATGATGCAGCCATTATGGAAAGCAGTATGGTGGTTCCTCAAAAAATTAAACATAAAATTACCACTTGATCCACCAATTCCACTTCTGGGTATATACACAAAAGAATTGGCCGGGTGCAGTGGCTCATACTTGTAATCCCAGCACTTTGGGAGTCCGCGGCGGGCGGATCAGGAGGTCCGGAGTTCAAGACCAGCCTGACCAACATGGTGAAACCCCATCTCTACTAAAAATACAAAAATTAGCTGAGCGTGGTGGCGCACGCCTGTAGTCCCAGCTACTTGGGAGGCTGAGGCAGGAGAATCGCTTGAACCTGGGAGGCGGAGGTTGCAGTGAGCTGAGATCTTACCCCGGCACTCCAGCCTGGACAACAGAGCGAGATTCCATCTCAAAAAAAAAAGAATTGAAAGCAGGGACTCAAAGAGATATTTGTATACTCATGTTCATAGCAGTATTATTCACAATAGCCAAAAAGTGGAAGCAACTCAAATGTCCTTTGACAGATGAATGGATAAACAAACTATGGCATATACAGACCATGCAATATTATTCAGTCTTTTTTTTTTTTTTTTTTTTTTTGAGATGGGGTTTTGCTCTTGTTGCCCAGGCTGGAGTGCAATGGCGCAATCTCGGCTCACTGCAACCTCCGGCTCCCAGGTTCAAGCAATTCTCCTGTCTTAGCCTCCAGAGTAGCTGGGATTACAGGCGTGCACCACCACGCCCAGCTAATTTTGTATTTTTAGTAGAGGTGGGGTTTCACCATGTTAGTCAGGGTGGTTCAAACTCCTGACCTCAGGTGATCCACCCGCCTGGGCCTCCCAAAGTGCTGAGATTACAGGCGTGAGCCACCACGCCTGGCTAGTCAATCTTAAAAAAGGAACAGAATTCTGGCTGGACATGGTGACTCATGCCTGTAATCCCAGCACTTTGGGAGGCTGAGGCGGGTGGATCACCTGAGGTCAGGAGTTCAAGACCAGCCTGGTCAACATAGTGAAACCCTGTCTGTACTAAAAATACAAAAATTAGCCACGTGTGGTAGCATGCACCTGTAGTCCCAGCTACTCAGGAGGCTGAGAAAGGACAATTGCTTGAACCTGGGAGGCGGAGGTTGCAGTGAGCCGAGAGATTGCGCTACTGCATTCCAGAATGGGTGACAGAGTGAGACTCCACCTTAAAAAAAAAAAAAAAAAAAGGAATGAAATTCTGACACAAGCTACCACATGGATAAACCCTCAAAGACACTGTGCTAAGTGAAATAAACCAGACATAAAAGGACAAAGATTGGCCAGGCTTGGTGGCTGGCCGGGCGCAGTGGCTCATGCCTGTAATCCCAGCACTTTGGGAGGCTGAGGCGGGCAGATCGCCTGAGGTCAGGAGTTCGAGACCAGCCTGGCTAACATGGTGAAACCTCGTCTCTACAAAAATTAGCAAGGTGTGGTGGCAGGTGCCTGTGATACCAGCTACTTGGGAGGCTGAGGCAGGAGAATCGCTTGAACCCAAGAGGCGGAGGTTGCAGTGACCCAAGATCGCACCACTGCACTCCAACCTGGGCGACAGAGCAAGAATCCATCTCAAAAAAAAAAAAAAAAAAAGAGAGAGAGAGAAAGATCCTAGTGTTACAGTTACATGAGGCACCTAGTGTAGTCAAATTCATAGAGACAGAAAGTAGAATGGTGGTTACCAAGGGCTGGGGGGAGTGGGGAATGGGGAGGTAGCGTTCAAAGAGTATAGAGCTTCAACAGTTGAGGAAGATGCAAAAGGTCTGGAGATGGATAGTGGTGATGGTTGCACAACAATGTGAATGTAATTAATGCCACCGAACTGAAAACTTACAAACTATTAAAATGGTAATTTTTGTGTGGTGTATATTTTACCACAGTGAAATAAGTAAATAAAATAATAGGGAAGGGAGTAGGTTAGATGGTTTAAGTGTTACAGGAAAAAAATGAATAAATCAGGGAAGAGGGATGGGGTACCGGAGTGAAGCATCAATGTTAAACAGGGCATCCAGGGTGGCCAGGGAAAGTCTCACTGAGAAAGCAGCATATGAATAAAGATCTGAAGGAGGTGAGGGAGTGAGCCATATACGGCAATCTGGGGGAAGAGTGGTCCAAACAGAGGAATCAGCAAGTGCAAAATTCCTGAGGCAGGAATGGCAATAGGGCCACTGTGCTAGAGCCATTTTCTTTATTTTATTTTATTTATTTATTTATTTATTTATTTATTTATTTATTTATTTATTTTTGAGACGGAGTCTCGCACTGTAGCCCAGGCTGGAGGGCAGTAGCAGGATCTCGGCTCACTGCAAGCTCCGCCTCCCGGGTTCACCCCATTCTCCTGCCTCAGCCTCCGAAGCAGCTGGGACTACAGGCGCCCGCCGCCACGCTCGGCTAACTTTTTTGTATTTTTAGTAGAGACAGGGTTTCCCCATGTTACCAGGATGGTCTCGATCTCCTGACCTTGTGATCCGCCCACCTCGGCTTCCCAGGGTGCTGGGATTACAGGCGTGAGCCACCGCGCCAGGCCATTTTATTTTATTTTATTTTATTTTATTTTATTTTATTTTATTTTATTTTATTTTATTTTTTAGATGAAGTCTTGCTCTATCGCCAGGCTAGAGTGCAGTGGTGTGATCTCGGCTCACTGCAACCTCCGCCTCCCGGGTTCAAGCGATTCTCCTGCCTCAGCCTCCCGAGTAGCTGGGATTACAAGCATGTGTCACCATGCATGGCTAATTTTGTATTTTTAGTAGAGACAGGGTTTCTCTAGGTTGGTCTTGTCTCAAACTCCTGACCTCAGGTGATCCACCCACCTCGGCCTCCCAAAGTGCTGGGATTACAGCACTTCACCATGTTGGCCAGGATGGTCTCGATCTCTCGACCTCGTGATCCGCCCACCTCGGCCTCCCAAAGTGCTGGGATTACAGGCGTGAGCCACCACGCCCGGCCAACTCTGTGCCTCTTTGATCAATTCCAGTGGTACCAGGTAAACTGCTTATGAGTGAAATTTAGAAAAACCTCCCCCAGCAGTGGGGGAAAATGCACAGTGCATAAGGCCTTATTTGGGTGAGGAGTTGGGGGAGTGAATGTATTAACCTTGTAGTGAAGTCACCTTAGATTCTAGTAGTTATGCTTCTTTCAGGAATATGACCACTCAGACCATAAAAGCTGGATGTGACCATGGTTTCATTTCTTTGGAAATGATTCTGCCAGAACAGGAACTGAGAATTTTTTCTCTGTGACCTCTGGGTGAGTTTGTGTTCCATGAGAACATTGGGCTTTGCATTTCTCAGTACACTGCTCTCATAGCTCTTGGGTTTGGAAGAGGTCACTGTCATCAAACTTTTTATGACTTTAGCCCTCAGAGAACCAAGGATAAAGGTGAATAAAGAACGCATCCAAGGTAGAAAGCTCCAACACCCCCGAGATGTTTACTTTCTATAAAACCTGGAGTCTCATGCCAGAGGGATTATATAAAAATAAAGCCAGGGTAGCCAAGTGCAAACCGTAGAGTTATCAACAGTGCTGTGAGATGAAGTCTTTTGTTCAAGGTCCTTTAATTGCCAGATGCAAAAGATAGTAAAATGGATTCTTTTATTCTTGAAACTTTGCCAGCCTCGTGGCTAATGCCCACTACAGCTGCATTAAAGGCTCTGAGGATCTCTGCCAAGATGTGATGATGGCCAAGAACCAGTGATGACTTCAGGGGACCTTTCTCAACCTGCCAGCCCTGCCATCTTGGCCTAGCCCACAGGCCACTGCCTGACCCAGTCTGATTTATAGCTCCCATGGGATCGCTGTCAAAAAAGGATCCTATGGGATCCTTCCATAGAGGCTAATATTCACAGAACGCTTTAGAAAACGAGCTTAAAGTTTAATGTTGAGGGATGTTGTGGGCCAAAGGGTGGTCCTGAAGGGAACTTCTCTGAAATTCTGTGCTAGGAGCTAGGACTCAGGCACAGTGTTATGTGTCTCAGGCACAGTGTTATGGAAAGAGCATAGGATCAAGGGACAAGAAGTCCGAGATCAGTTTTTTTTTTCAGCTTTATTTCAGTATAACTGGCAAATAACAACTGTACATATTTAAGGTGTACAACTTAACGGTTTTTTTTTTTTGGAGGGGGTGGGGTTGTTTTTTTTTTTTTTCTTTTATTTTGTTTTGAGACAGAGTTTTGCTCTTGTTGCCCAGGCTGGAGTGCAATGGCGCGATCTTGGCTCACTGCAACGTCTGCCTCCCGGATTCCACCAATTCTTGTGCCTCAGCCTCCCGAATAGCTGGGATTACAGGCGCCTGCCACCACACCCGGCTAATTTTTGTATTTTTAGTAGAGATGGGGTTTCACCACATTGGCCAGGTTGGTCTCAAACTCCTGACCTCAGGTGATCCACCCACCTCTGCCTCCCAAAGTGCTGGGATTACAGGCATAAGCCACTGTGCCCAGCCCCTGTTTTTCATTTTTTTAGAGACAGGGCCTCTCTCTGCTGCCCAGGCTGACTGCAGTGGCACAATCTCGGTTACACTGCAAACTCCACCTCCCAGGCTCAAGTGATCCTCCTGCCTCAGCCTCCCAAGTAGCTGGGACTATAGGTGCATGCCCCACACCTGGCTATTTTTTGATTTTTTGTAGAGATGAGGTCTTACTATGTTGCCCAGGCTGGTCTCGAAATCCTAGGCTCAAGTGATCCTCCCACCTCAGCCTTGAAAAGTGCTGGGATTGCAGGCATCAACCATCATGCTGGTCCAACTTAATGTTTTGATATAGGTATACATTATGAAACAATCACAATCAAGACCATTAACATATTCATCACCTCACATAATTATCTATTCATTATTATCATATTATTATTATTATTTTGAGACCGAGTCTTCCTCTGTCACCCATGCTGGAGTGCAGTAGCATGATCTTGGCTCACTGCAGCCTCTATCCCCGGGTTCAAGTGATTCTTGTGCCTCAGCCTCCCAAGTAGCTAGGATGACATGCATGTGCCACCATGCCTGGCTAATTTTTGTATTTTTAGTAGAGTCGAGCTTTCGCTATGTTGCCTAGGCTGGTCTCGAACACCTGGCCTCAAGTGATCCGCCTGCCTCGGCCTTTCAAATTGTTGAGATTACAGGCATGAGCCACCATGCCTGACCTATTATTTTTTATTTTGTTTTGTTTTGCTTTGTTAGAGTCTCACTCTGTCGCCCAGGATGGGGTAAAGTGGTATGATCTCAGCTCACTGTAACCTCTGCCTCCCGGGTTCAAGTGATTCTCCAGCCTTGGTTTCCCAAGTAGCTGGGACTACAGGCGTGCACCACCATGCCCAGCTAATTTTTGTATTTTTTAGTAGAGACGGGGTTTCACTATACGTTGGCCAGGCTGGCCTCGAACTCCTGACCTCAGGTGATCCACCTGCCTCGGCCTCCCAAAGTGCTGGGATTACAGGCATGAGCCACCACGCCCGGCCCTACTATTATTTTTTTAAAGGAAGTCTGAGGTTTACTCATGGATTCACCTCTGTGCTGGATATCTTCTGTTGCCTACTCCATCCGGGAGCCACTCCCTACTCTCTCTCTTCAGTGCCCAGGAGACTGACCTGTGTAGAAACCTCAGCAGGCTCCCTTGCCCTCTGGCTTCCAATAAGGCCAACGAGGGTCTCCTTTAGGGGATCAGAAGGAGGGAGGACAGAGGGGTTGGGTGTTAATTATCCTGAGTTCTTAGACCTAGGAGGTCTCTGTGCACTGACACTGCAGGCCTCTCCAGTTCTGGTGACCTGGCCCTCCTTCCTCCCTCCATGGCAAGCCTATGTAGCTCCCCACAACAACACACTGTCCCTGTGGCTTCCCTGCACCCTGCCCCTATTTTTGTAAAGAGTTCCTTTATTAGGTTCTGCTGAAATTACCCAACTGGAGTGTGCCCTCTGTTTCTTGCCAAGACCCTGACCAATGCAGCCACCAATGAGTCCAGTGACCCTGGTCACACCACTTAGGCCCCGTGGCTTTGGTTTCTTCATCTTTATTTATTTTTAATTTTTTTATTTTTTAAAATTTTATTTTTATTTTTATTATTTTTGGGTTTTTTTGAGATGGAGTCTCGCTCTGTGACCCAGGCTGGAGTGCAGTGGCAAGATCTCGGCTCACTGCAACCTCCACCCTCCAGGTTCAAGTGATTCTCTGGCCTCAGCCTCCCCAGTAGCTGGGATTACAGGCACCTGCCACCATGCCCGGCTAATTTTTGTATTTTTAGTAGAGACGGGGTTTCACCATGTAGGCCAGGCTGCTCTTGAACTCCTGACCTCAAGTGATCTGCCCACCTTGGCCTCCCAAAGTGCTGGGATTACAGGCATGAGCCACCGTGCCCAGCCTAAAATGCCAGTTCTTACACACTTGCTTCACGGGGCTTTCATAAGGATTATAATAGATATAAAGCACTAAACAAACATAATCTTTAAAAAAAAAAACATAATGTGCTTTCTAAGTTTCACAATTCCAGAATGCGTAAAAATAACAAGTTGTCTTTTATATCAAGATGCTGCTGCCAATACGCAACTGCTCAAATATGAACTCTGAGCAGTTTTTCTAAAATTCACGATGGTTTTTATTGAGTACGCAAAAGGCTAAACTAGATTTCACTCTGATAAACATAATGATATTACGTGACCCAATAATATTAAATCCTAAAATCTATCCCAAACCCAGGCAGATAAGACAGCTAAGATAAAAACATTTTTAATATGTTGTACCCAACAGGGTAGTAATGATTTGTATTTTATTAGAAAAACTCTAAATAAAGACATTAGTATATTTTTCATTTTAGAAAAACAAAAACAGCTTTGTTATCACCATTGGCTACCAAGATATGGTGCTGGAAAAAATATATTGCTAGATTTAAAAGATAGGTCCCCACTTTAAGTGCAAGTTTTGATGCATTCTGTGTGACCTTAAGCAAAGCATTTAATCCTTCTAATGTTTTTTATCAGGTCTGTATTCAGGTGAGAGTCTCTCACTTAAATATTAGATCAAAGTGAAAGTCCTTTGTAACTGAAATTGGGCTATTTGTAATTGATCCCCCAAGGCTTCTTTAAATACTGTCATCTCTGATTATTCGTATCTGATTAAGATATGGAGAGGAGGCACTGAGGGCTGCCCTGATTTGAGATTCACAGGGGAATGGCCCTAAGTCTTTGAGGAAGACAGTGAGGGGACCAGGCAGAGGGCCAGAAGTCCCAATTGAATTGACCTAGCAATTTTTTTTTTTTTAAGAACCGAGTCTCACTCTGTCATCTAGACTGGAGTGCAGTGGCGAGATCTTCGCTCACTGCAACCTCCGCCTCTTGGGTTCAAGCGATTCTCCTGCCTCATCCTCCTGAGTAGCTGAGACTACTGGTGTGCGCTACCACACCCAGCTAATTTTTGTATTTTTCGTAGAGATGAGGTTTCACCATGTTGGCCAGGCTGGTCTCGAACTCCTGACCTCAGGTGATCCGCTCACCTCGACCTCCCAAAGTGCTGGGATTATAGGCATGAGCCACCCTGACCTAGCTTTTAAGAGGTTTCAGCCATGCTATGTTGGCTACGGTCCAGACACAGAAGTGAGCTCAGGGGCGAGTAAGACAAAGGTCTTGCCTTCAAGGACTTTACTCTATAGCTAGGGAGCTCGGTGTAACATGAGGAAAATTAGTGCAGTTCACACAAAAAGCTTTTCAGGATGCAAGGGAGAGGCTGAGCCTCAAGTGGAGCCTGGGTCCGAGACAGGACATGGCACCTGTGCAGGGGGAAGGCTGGTTGTGGGGTGGGGCAAATGACCCTAGGAAGTTAGGACTGGGTGGGCTGCCCAGGTCTTCAAAGTCAAGCTTGATAAAGTTTGCATTCAATGCATTAAGAAATAGAAGACTACTGTGCATTTTTTAGCAAAACAATACCAAGGTAAGACCAGGCAAGTTTGCTCAGCCTGTAATCCCAGCACTTTGGGAGACTGAGGCGGGGGGTGGATCACCTGAGGTCAGGAGTTCGAGACCAGACTGGCCAACATGGTGAAACCCCATCTCTACTAAAAATACAAAAATTAGCTGGGTGTGGTGGTGTGCGCCTGTAGTCCCAGCTACTCAGGAGGCTGAGGCAGGAGAATCGCTCGAATCCAGGAGGCAGAGGTTGCAGTGGCCTGAAATAGTGCCACTGCACTCCAGCCTGGGCGACAAAGCCAGTCTCTGTTTACAAAAAAAAAAAAAAAAAGGGCGGTGGGGGGCGGAATAGGTTTTGCAGAGATAGGCAGGATGAAGGGGCAAGAATATAGGGGAAAAAAATAACACGAAGCAGATTTTTTTTCACTCCTTTAAAGACAACTAGATACTTGCGGTGTAGCCCAGGATGGGTGGTTTTACTCCTCTCACAGAAAAGTCCTTCCCACAATAATATTTGTTCTCCCTTTATCATATTTTTTTAAAACAAAGGTGTAAAATCAAGCAATGCTCTCCCTTTAAACATCGTTTATCTACCCTTCAGAGCAAGAAGCTTGTGCTATTGTGAGGTGAGTGTCGTGGCACTACAGGTCCCAAATCATATGGGGACTCTGCTCAGCACCCTATGGATTCACAACCACAGATTCCCACTCCTCACACTCCAGCTACAAAAAAATATATTGTATAGACATATATATGTGTGTGTATGTGCATTTTTTAAAAAGCATTCGTGCTTATGCAATATTAACCCACTGGTATTTCAGAGATGGTGACAGAGGTCCCATCTGGCACCCTTAGTTTCTTTGGGAATCAGCATTCCTTTATCAACTCACCCTGCAGACTTGGTTTAGCAGCAGAAACCTATCCGGCTCTCCCAGGCACCGGCTTTGGCCCTTCCTGCACAGCCTCGGAAGTGCCTGGATCACCTCCATCAGCAGCTATCGACCTCTGTCTGAAGTCCAAGTTGTTTGCTTACCTTTCCTGGGCTGAGTCATTAAAGGAAATGTATTAGTTTACTTTTTCAACTTCTCTATTCTCTAGAATTTAGCTTCCTTATTTTACACACGAAAGGATAAAGGAGTTATACTGGATATTTTGTAGCAGATTGGGGGTGGGGGGGCGAGGGTCGGGGGAGACAGAAGGAGGGCCTAATCTGCAATAGAAAAAGAGAGAATGATTCTTGTATTAATGTTTGTTTTTCATTTATTTATTTTTCCTGCATGATCATGTTCACCATCATGTCCTGAAAGGCAACACCTACAGGCAAAGAAGATGTGGAAGGGCCTGCACCACCTGATCGCCATCATCCCTGCCCTCTGGGGCCTGGCAATCCAGTTGGGCAGCCTGCACAGAATGACCTGTATTTTCTGGGCCAGGACAGAAGTCAAGAGGAAGGGGAGATGCACAAAGGCCAAGGTAGTCAGAGAAGGTTTAGATGAGAAGAGGCCCTGAAAGGTGGTTGGGACCTGGAAACAGCAGAGTGGTGGGTTCTGGGCAGGGAGATGCCCAAAGTGCAGCTGTGGCAGGGCATGATGGCTCACGCCTGTAATCCCAGCACTTTGGGAGGCTGAGATGGGTGGATAACCTGAGGTCAGGAGTTCAAGACCAGCCTGGCCAATATGGTAAAATCTTGTCACTACTAAAAATACAAAAATTAGCGGGGCATGCTGGCGCGTCCCTGTAATCTCAGCTACTCCGAAGGCTGAGGCAGAAGAATCGCTTGAATCCAGGAGGCGGAGGTTGCAGTGAGCCGAGATCATGCGGCTGCCCTCCAGCCTGGGCAACAGAGAGACTCCGTCTCAAAGAAAAAAAAAAAAAAAAAAGAAACAAAAAGAAAATGAAGCTGTGGAGGCCAAGACAGGCTGGATGTGTCTGAAGAACGTGGCATGTTGCGGGGCTGGGAGTGCAGAGAGGGGATGATAACCTGGGAAGGCAAAGCCTTGTCACAGAGCAGGCACTTGAAACCCATGGTCTTTCGCCAGCTGCAGGGGTCCTGAGCCCTGAAACTGTCCTTCAAATGGGGTGTGTTTGTGTAAGCTTCTGCAGAGATGGCCATAGGAGTCAAAGGAGTTTGGGGAGAGATTCATGTGCCTTGGCTAAATGATCTGAATTTTACTCTGTGGAAGCCAATGAGTTTGAGAGTGGAGAAGAAGCGAGGTATCATGAGAAAAACAGTTTTTAGATGTGGGTTTTGTTGTTGCTATTCTTTTAGTTTTTATTTTTATTTATTTATTTTTTTCTGAGATGGAGTCTTGCTCTATCAGCCGGGCTGGAGTGCAGTGGCGCGATCTCAGCTCACTCCAACCTCTGCCCCCAGGTTTAAGCAATTCTCCTGCCTCAGTCCCTGGAGCAGCTGGAACTACAGGCGCATGCCACAACGCCTGGCTAATTTTTGTATTTTTAGTAGAGACAGGGTTTCGGCATGTTGGCCAGGCTGGTCTCGAACTCCTGACCTCAGGTGATCCGCCCGCCTCAGCCTCCCAAGGTGCTAGGATTACAGGCGTGAGCCACCCCGCCCAGCCTAGTTTTTATTTTTTAAAGATTAATCCAGGAATGGTGAGTTAGAATGGGGAGGAACTCAGACAGGGAACTTTTAAGTTTCAGTCCCTTTTGGTATAGGCATGACGTGGAAAAGGCCCCAAAACAATGAAGGAATGGGCAGGAGAAACATCAGAAAAGATGAATTGGCAAGATTTTATGACTGCATGTGATCGGAGAAAAAGAGTGTGCTAGTGACCCAAAGGTGACTAAGATTTTAGCTTAGGCAAGGTGTAACTAGGTTTCTGCACAATACTAGCTTATTTCTATAAGTTACTGTTTTGGGTTTTTTTGTTTTTGTTCTTTTTTTGAGACAGAGTCTCGCTCTGTCACCCAGGCTGGAGTATGGTGGTATGATCTTGGCTCACTGCAACCTCCATATCCCAGATTCAAGCGGTTCTTGTGCCTCAGCCTCCTGAGTAGCTGGAATTACAGACATGGGCCAACTCGCCCGACTAATTTTTGTATTAGTAGAGATGGAGTTTTTTCATGTTGCCAGGCTGGTCTTGAACTCTTGGCCTCAAGTGATCCATCTGCTTCAGCCTCCTAAAGTACTGGGATTAGAGGCATAAGCCACCGCTCTCGGCCTAACTTACTGATTTTAACAAGAGGTTTTGCTTACAAATTGTACCAATCACAATTTCTGGAGGATCATTTTCTTGAAGGATCAATGTGCCTTCTCAAAAAGATGTATGAGTGGTCAATAAACTGAGCTCCTTCCTAGACAGAAAAGTTATGCCAGGATACCCTATCGAGCTGACAGTATCAAAATAGGTCAGTTTCCAGGAGAAAGTCACGAAAGGCCTTAGGGATTCACTCACTAGTTTTCACTATTACATCCTTCTTTTAAATTATTATTATAAAGACAATGTGTAGAGTAGAAAAAAATAGAAGAAAGGATTCTACTTTTGGCTTTGGCAAATAGATCCCTGAACAATCCTACTGACTGAAGTAACAAAATGCTCAAAAAAGTTTAATATTTATTGAAAGCCTACTACCATCAAAACAATTTTGAATTTTAAAACAATGAGGTGTTTTTCTTTTTTTTTTTTTTTGAGACGGAGTCTTGCTCTGACTCCCAGGCTGAAGTACAGTGGTGCAATCTTGGCTCACTGCAACCTCCAGGTCCCAGCAACTCCTGTCTCAGCCTCCCAAGTAGCTGGGATTACAGGCACAAGCCACCATGCCCAGTTAAACAATGACTTTTAAAAAAATTGAGACGAGGGTCTCACTATGTTGCCCAGGCCGGTCTCAAGCTCCTGGGTTCAAGTGATCCTCCCACCTTGGCCTTCCAAAGTGCTGAGATTACAGGCATGAGCCACTGTGCCCAGCCAAAGCAATGATTTTTAAAGGCAAGCTATAATAAGGAAATTAATTTTTTAAAATTCCAATTTCACTTAGTTGAGGAAATATTAAAACCTTTATTAGCTTGAAAAGAAAATAAGTGGATTAGTAAAAAACACTGCTTGTTTCCAGATACCTGTTTAGTTTTCACTGGGATGTTTTGGCTTTGGGTCAACAGAGTTTGCTCTTGTCTGTATGGCTCTGAGTGGTGCCTGTGAGATGGAGAGAACACCACAGAGGAGATCCCCCTAATCACCTAGGCCAAGTTGTCACCTTTTGCTCCCAGAAGTGTGGCCACTGTGGTACAAGCTGACAAGCTTCTCCCTGGCCCTGCCTCAGAGTCCCTTTCCAACAGGTCTAATAGACCCCAAAGATGAATGCAGCAGGGCCTGAGGCTTGGGACTACATGGGAAGGTGGAGAACTCCTCCGGAAAATCAATCGAACATCATAAAGATAAGCTGATAATGTGCAAACTTTAGGACCCAGAAATATCCCCAGAGAAACTCTTGACCATGGACCCCAGTAGTCACACACAAAAATGTTCATAGCAGCATTTGTGTGGCCAGGCATGGTGGCTCATGCCTGTAATCCCAGCACTCTGGGAGGCCGAGGCGGGTGGATCACGAGGTCAGGAGTTCCAGACCAGTCTGGCCAACATGGTGAAACCCCGTCTCTAGTAAAAATACAAAAATTAGCCGGTCGTGGTGGCAGGTGCCTATAATCCCAGCTACTCGGGAGGCTGAGGCAGGAGAATCATTTGAACCCAGGGGTGGAGGTTACAGTGAGCCAACATTGTGCCACTGCACTCCAGCCTGGGTGACAGAGCGAGACTCCATCTCAAAAAAAACAAACAAATAAACAAAAAAAACATAGCAGCACTTGCCAGTAATAGCAAAAAATCTCAAGGCCAGGTATGGTGGCTCACGCCTGTAATCCCAGCACTTTGGGAGGCCAAGGTAGGTGGATCACTGAGTCCAGGAGTTTGAGACCAGCCTGGGCAACATGGTGAAACCCTGCGTCTAGAAAAAAAAAAGAAAAATTAGCCGGGCATAGTGGCACACGCCTGGGGTCCCAGCTACTTGGGAGGCTGAGGTGGGAGGATTGCTTGAACCCAGGAGGCAGAGGTTGCAGTGAGTCATGATCCTGCCACTGCACTCCAGCCTGAATGACAGAGCAAGACCCTGTCTCAAAAAAAAAAAAAAAAAAAGGCAAACAACCCAAATGTCCATTGATAGGAGAACGGAGAAGAAAACAGCAGAAGGGTCACACAGTGGAATATTAGAGAGCTACAGCTGCAGCAAAGAGATGTCACATACATCATGTGGAGAGGTGAGAATAGCAAACTGAAGAATACATGCAGTATGATTTATTTTATATAATGTTCAAAAGCTTGCAAAAACAGCATATTGTTTACAGATGCATATTTTGGAGGTAAAATTATGAAGAAAAGCGAGATCATTATAAACAAAATTTAGGAGGGGGCTGGGATGGAGAAGGGCATGCAAAAGGGCTTTAACGGTGTTGGTTGTAATCTGTATCTTAAACTGGGTGTGGGTAGTAGGGTGTCCAGTTTTTATACTCTGTTCATGTGATCTCTTCTTTTGCAAGCATTTAATATTTAATTAAATTTTGAAAAACTAGATGTGGCAGAGGTCTCCTGCAAAAAAAAAAATTACAAAACGTTATCCTCCTAATCCCAGAACTCAAAACTCATCAACTCTCTCTGTTTAACAGTCAGACAAACAAACAAACAAAAGGACCAAGTTTACATATAGAGCAAATATAGATGGAGAAAAATGACCCAAGTGCCCGAGTTTCTCTCTCTTCTGGATCACATTTGTCTTTTAGCAATTTTTTTTTTTTTTTTTTTTTTGAGATGGAGTCTCACTCTGTCACCTAGGCTGGAGTGCAGTGGCTCCATCTCAGCTCACTGCAACCTCCACCCTCCAGGTTCGAGCAATTCTCCTGCCTCAGTCTCCCGAGTAGCCAGGACTACAGGTGCGCACTACTGTGCCCAGCTAATTTTTGCATTTTTAGTAGAGATGGGGTTTCACCATGTTAGCCAGGATGGTCTCGAACTCTGACCTCAGGCGATCCACCTACCTCAGTCTCCCAAAGTGCTGGGATTGCAGGTGTGAGCCACCATACCCAGCCTAGCAATTTTTAAAAATATTTCATTTAGGCCAGGCACAGTGGCTCACGCCTGTAATCCCACCACTTTGGGAGGCCAAGGCGGGCAGATCGCCTGAAGTCAGGAGTACAAGACCAGCCTGGCCAAAATGGTGAAACCCCATCTCTACAAAAAATGCAAAAATTAGCTGGGCATGGTGGCAGGCATCTGTAATCCCAGCTACGTGGGAGGCTGAGGCAGGAGAATCGCTTGAACCCAGGAGACAGAGGTTGCAGTGAGATCATGCCACTGGCACTCCAGCCAAACTCTGTCTCAAAAAAAGAAAAAAAAATCATTCATTATTGTAGTCACAAATACTTCTTCAGCATCTCATAAACCAGGCAATAAAGATAAACAAGGACAGATGCTGCACAGCAAAAGCACTGGAGGCTGGAGGAGCACAGGGCAGCCACAGGCAACTGGGCCTTGGGACATGTACTTCATTTATTTATTGTATTTTTTGTACAGATGGGGTCTCGCTGTATTGCCCAGGCTGGTCTTGGACTCCTGGACTCAAGTGATCCCACCTCGGCCTCCCAAAGTGCTTGGATTACAGGCGTGAGCCACCACTACCACTGGGATACGTACTTTAGAGCAAGCAGTGGTCCCTAAACTTTTTGGCACCAGGAACCAGTTTTGTGGAAGATAATTTCTCCATAGACAGTTTGGTAAGGGGGATGGTTTGTGGATGATTCAAGCACATTACACTTATTGTGCACTTTCTTTCTTTCTTTCTTTTTTTTTTTTTTTTTTTTGAGATGGACTCTCGCTCTGTCGCCAGGCTGGAGTGCAGTGCCGTGATCTTGGCTCACTGCAATCTCCACCTCCCGGGTTCAAGCGATTCTCCTGCCTCAGCCACCCGAGTAGCTAGGACTACAGTTGCATGCCACCACACCCAGCTAATTTTTGTATTTTTAGTAGAGATGCGGTTTTACCATGTTGGCCAGGCTGGTCTCGATCTCTTGACCTTGTGATCCACGCGCCTCAGCCTCCCAAAGTGCTGGGATTACAGGCGTGAGCCACCACGCCCAGCCTGGGCACTTTATTTCTATCATTATTACATTGTACTATGTAATGAAATAATATACAACTCACCATAATGTTGAATCAGTGGGAGCCCTGAGCTTATTTTCTTGCAACTGGATGGTCCCATATGGGGAGGATGGGAGACAGTGATAGATCATCAGGCATTAGATTCTCATAAGGAGCACACAACCTGGATCCCTCACGTGCTCAGTTCACAATAGGGTTCCAGCTCCTATGAGAATCCAGTGCTGCTGCTGAGCTGACAAAAAGCAGAGATCAGGTGGTAACGCAAACTCTGTTTGCGTACTGGGAGTGGCTGTAAATACAGATAAAGCTTTACTTACTGGCCTGTGCTCACCTCCCAATGTGCAGCCTGGTTCCTAACAGGGCACAGACTGGTATTGGGGTGACGGATTGGGGACCCCCTGCTTTAGAGAGTAGTAAGAGCAGATGTTTGTTGCATGGCAGGCCATATTCTAAGCATTTTACATATTCCATACAACATGTAGGAATTCACTGGATCCTCACCGTGCAACAATCCTAATGAGGTAGGTGTTATCATGATCCCCATTTCACAGAAGAGGAAATTGATAGGCACAGAGGGGTCGAGTGACCATCCATAAGGTCACACAGCTTGTAAGTGCTGAACCAGGATTCAAAGCCTGACACACTGGTGTTCCTGACCACCACACTCTGCTGCCCCTCATGCTTCCCTGAGAAGGTGACACTCTGGCTGAGACCTGAGCGATGAACACCAGTCAGGCAGCAATAGAGGAAGGAGATGGATGAAAGTTCAGGCAGATGGGGATGGATGAAAGGTCACCTGAAGGTCATACAAGGAACTAAAATAAACATTTAGCTGCACAGAGTGTGAAAGATCCATCCAGCTGAGAACAGTCCTCCTTCGTTTCTTTCTTTTGGACCTTGGCTGAGAAGGGCAGTGCAGGGATGAGGCGAGGTTTGGGGGAGGTGGTTCGAGCTCTGTGATCATTTTCTCTGGGTGAGAGGCAGACCTCGGTGCCAGGATCTGAGGGCTTCTAAAGGCCCTGGCAACAGCTACCAGGGCTCCTGAGAAAGTCCCCAGGCATCCAGGACCCTGCAGGCTTGGCAGCCCCTCAATCCCCTCTTGGCCTTGTTTCCCAAAGGACCCAACATCAATCAGGCACAAGAGCCTAAAACACGACCTAGCAAACAGCTGGCAAACTATTTTTAAAATCCAATTTAAAGTTGTATATGTATAAGCTCCAGTGGATTTCTCTGGGGAATTCTATCTTTCAAGTGGAAATTTTTTTTTAAGTCAAATAAGGTAATCTCTATTTTGATTCCCATCAAACCCCAGTGCGGGGCCCTGCAGCCAACGGTAAGTGCTAATCCACTTTAAGCACAAGCAACTCAGAGCTTGGGAGTCAGCGAGCCTCCAGGATCCACAGAGAAAGGTCAGGACTGCTGATATTTATCGTGTTAACGCTGTTAGTGTGTGTTTGGCTCTGTCCAGCACAGGAAAAGAAAGAAAAGACATGAATTTTGCCTGCTGGAGTGGAGAAGAGCCAGGCTTCTGGGATCTGCCCATGAGTTGTGCAGCTCCCTAAACCTTAGATTCCCTCTAGCCCTCTTCCAAAAACATAAATGTATAAATAGAGGAACCAAAAGAGACAAGAGCAGAGAGCAGGGTTCTGAGGCAGGAAATGGAGCAGAGAGAGCGAGAGGCAGGGCAGAGGGATGGGGAGGCAGCAGGCCCAGCACTCCACAGCCTTCTAGGCTAAGCTCAGCCACTGCCTTTTTTGTGATTCTGCAGCCACCAAGCTTAGGCCTCAGGCGCTGATGGAGAGATAAAGCATCGTGTGACAGGGCCAGCAGCACAGTGTACCCTGCAAGGTCGGCAGCTCTTTGCTTCTCCCAACAAACACCTTTTTCTGCATTCAGCCACCCAGATTTATTTGTCTCGGCTTTTCATCTTTCTGAGATCTAAAGTTACAAATTGGACAGACAGAGCTAGAGAAGGATTTCTCCTGCATTTTCTTCCCTACAGTGTGCTCTGCAAATGTCATTGCTCCTGCCTCACGGTTTTTGTCTAAACACAAACAAAACACAAACTTTAGGGTAATCTAAACGGACCCTTGGCTACCTAGGGGGTCGGATCTGCCGTGGCTACCCTTTCCCCCACCCTGCCCCCACCAGAGGCATGTTCCAAGCAGGCCAAGGTATTGAGACATTGGGAGGAGAGAGCAATGCTGGACAGACATCCTGGGGTGGAGGGGAGAGGGTCCCAGAGTGAAGGGAGAGAACTGGAAGGAAGCTCCCGACAGAAATGCTTTGTAATTTGCCTACTGTGGAGGGGCCCACAGAGGTTACAGGAGGCTGCTTTCAAGAAGGAAGGCAGTTCCACTGGGAGGGGAGAAGGGCAGGGAGCCCTACCTGCCCCTTCTGTCTGCAGTCATGATGTATGTGACCATAGTTTCACCAGGAAGTTCATGTTCAAGTCTAACCATTTAAAAAGCCATTCTTGGCTGGGCACAGTGGCCCATGCCTGTAATCCCACACTTTAGAAGGCTGAGGCAGGCGGATTGCTTGAGTCCAGGCTTTCAAGACCAGCCTAGGCAACATGGCAAGACCCCCATCTCTACAGAAAAATACAAAAATTAGCTGGGTTTGGTGGCACACACCTGTAGTCCCAGTGTCCAGCCAGGAGCACAGAACAGTCATCTGTGACCCCACTCCCTCCTGGTTTTCCTCTCCCAGGTCTGATCACTCCTTCTCAGCCTTACTGCCGGGTTCCTCTTCTTCCGCCCAACCCTTAAGGGTAGGTGATCTCTAGAGTCCCACTCATTTGGCCTACACAATTTCCTCATATCGAGTTTCAACTGCCACTTTCTCTGATGTTGCTGTCTTCAAAAGCAAACTGCTCTACGTCTCATCTACCTCATCCATCTTCAACCCAGAATTCTTGAGCACTAGATCCATAGATCTACTCAATGTGTTCACATGCAGCATGTTCCTCAACTCACCATTTTCTTTTTTTATTTTTATTTATTTATTTATTATTTTTATTTTTATTTGAAATGGAGTTTCGCTCTTGTTGCCCAGGCTGGAGTGCAATGGTGCAATCTCGGCTCACTGCAACCTCCGCCTCCTAGGTTCAAGTGATTCCCCTGCCTCAGCCTCCCGAGCAGCTGGGATTACAGGCATACACCACCACATCTGGCTAATTTTGTATTTTTAGTACAGACGGGGTTTCTCCATGTTGGTCAGGCTGGTCTCAAACTCCCGACCTCAGGTGATCCACCTGCCTCGCCTCCCAAAGTGCTGGGATTACAGGTGTGAGCCACCACGCCCGGGATTTTTTGTTCGGTTTTGGTTTGTTTGTTTTTTTTTTGAGACAGAGTCTTGCCCTTGTCACCCAAGCTAGAGTGCAATGCGTGATCTTGGCTCACTGCAACCTCCGCCTCCCGGGTTCAAGCGATTCTCCTGCCCCAGTCTCCCGAGTAGCTGGGATTACAGGCTCGTGCCACCACGGCTGGCTAATTTTTTGTATTTTTAGTAGAAACACGGTTTCACCATGTTGGTCTGGCTGGTCTCAAACTCATGACCTCAGGTGATCTGCCTGCCTCGGCCTCCCAAAGTGCTGAGATTACAGGTGTGAGCCACCGTGCCTGGCCTCAACTTATTATTCTCAAAGCTGAACTCATTATTTTCTTCCCCATCCTTTTCTGGTCTTGAACTCTCTCTCTCCTTCTGAGTGTTCCCTTGGGCAGAATTGCCATCCACTCAGTCACCCAAGGCAAACGCCTGCACTGTCTCCTTAATCCCTCCTTCTTTCTCATTCGTCTCATCCAATCAGGCACCAACGCTGTCAGTTTGTCTTTTCAATAACTTTTCCTATCTGGGGCTGCCCCTCCACCCCCACCATCACCTCTTAAATTTGAGCCCTGCTCTGTTGCAGAAATCTTCTTACTGGTCCCCTCGACTCTAGTCTCTTATCTCCTCTCCATCTTCCAGGATGCTTCCCTGGTGGTCTTCAGAAAAAACAAATGATTTGGTCACAATGCTTTCATTAATGCAGCTAAAAAACAAGGTTGTCCTATGTCAGAACAAACCATAATCTCCCATCTGAGGGATTCCTCTTCTCTCTCTTCGTTGTCTGTCCATGTTCCTTGTCTGCTTTCAAAATATTTATTTATTTTCGCTGGGTTCGGTGGCTCACGCCTGTAATCCCAGCACTTTGGGAGGCCAAAGCGGGCGGATCACCTGAGGTCAGGAGTTCGAGACCAGCCTCACCAACACGGAGAAACCCCGTCTCTACTAAAAATACAAAAATTAGCCAGGCATGGTGGTGCATGCCTGTAATACCAGCTACTCGGGAGGCTGAGGCAGGAGAATCGCTTGAACCCGGAAGGCAGAGGTTGCAGTGAGCCGAGATCTCACCACTGCACTCCAGCCTGGGCAATAAGAGCGAAACTCTGTCTCAAAAAAAAAATTTTTTATTTTAAAAATACGTTTTTAAAAATTAGACTTACATTCACCTAGTATAGAAAATTCAAATAATATAGAAAAGTGTCAAACAAAAAGCAAAATTTACCTTCTCCCTCCAGTCCCCAGAGCCACTCTCCAAACGCTACCACCATTTGTTTTGAATCGTTCCTGAAAAGTCTACATATACCTGTATACCTCTTTTTAATCTAACACAAATGAGATCATATTACCTTGCATATTGTTTTCTGGCATAACGTATTTAGAAGTTTCCCTATCAACATATATACTTCTACCTCCTATTTCAGTGATTGCATACTTTTCCATTACATGGATATATTTAACCAGTCTCCTGCTGATGGATGTCTAAGTGTTTTCCAGTTTTTTGTTATTATAATGTTGCAGTGAACATCCTTGTACATGATTTTGGCATAATTTTGCCAGCAAAATTACCACTAGGGCAAATTCCTAGTAGTAGAATTGCTGAATCAACCAGTACCTGCACTCAAAATGTTGACAGACACTGCTAAATTACCCTCCAGAAGACCTGAATCTGTTTGTACACTCCCAGCAACAAAGTATGAGGGTGTCTATTTCTCCATAGTTTTGTAAATACTGGGCATTACAAAATTTTTATTTGTTTTCCAATATGATGAAAAGTGGAAACTCATTCTGCTTTACATTTCTTTGACTATGAGTGAGGTTGAATATCTTTTCACATACTTATTGGCTATTTGTATTTCTTGTAATCTGTTCACATCCTCTGCCTGTATGGTGGTTACTTTATGAGTCCAGGTGTCTGAACCATTGTCTATTGTCCTAGGGAAGTTAATAGAGTGATAGAACCCCATGAATTTCACCTTTTCACAAGTAGGAGCCTCAATCAATCAAAGAAGATTGAACAGCCCTAAAATGCTCAAGTAAGGGATCGCTCCCGGTGCTTTCTGTCCATTGGTGCTTGGCTGACCATCTGACTGCTTGAAACTCCTTGATCATCCAGAGCTTTCAAGTTGGAGCAGTCACCATCTTCTCCCTTCTCCCATTTGGTGCATAACATCAGGAACAGGTGGCAAGGGAACTGACCAGGTCCAAAGCCACTTGTCTCTTTGGGAAATAACTGCAGCAGCACAAATCAATAAGCTTTGACCCAGTACTTCTACTCTGACCTATTACTCTACTTTGGGAAATCTTTCCTAAAGAAAGAATTCCAAATATAAAAAAAACTTCTATGCACAAGAAGTTCATTTACAGTGTTGTTTAAGTAATGGAAAACTAACTTCAAACAGCCTGTATGTCCAACACTCAGGAATTGCTCAGAAAATCCTTTGAATTTATTATCACGGAGTGCTTAATGATCACGAATATAAAGACAAGGTGATGACAGAAAAATGCTAATAATACAATGATTTAACTTTTGATGAAACTAATACATTTACACTATTTACCTATAAATATATTTAAATTATACTTTTTAAAAACCCAAAAGGGATGTTAACAGTAGTTTTGCTAACGAGCTGGCAGTATAGGTCGTTTTCTCTTATTTTTCCAAACATAAAAAGACAATTTTTGTAATTGAGATATAATTCACATACCATAAAACGCACCTTTTTGATGTGTATCAGTGATGTTTAGTATATTCATAGCGTTTTGTAACCATTACCACTATCTAATTCCAGAATATTTTTATCTTTCCAAAAAGAAACTCCATACCCATTAGCAGTTACTCTCCACTCCCTTCTTCCACCAGCCCCTGGCCACCACGAATCTACTTTTTGTTTCTATGGATTTGATTTGCCTATTCTGCCTTTTTTTTTGAAACAGGGTCTCACTCTGTAACCCAGGCTGGAGTGCTGTGGCACAATCACAGCTCACTGCAGCCTCAACCTCCCAGGCTCAGGTGATCCTCCCACCTCAGCCTCCCTAGTAGCTGGGACTACAGGTGTGTGCCAACCATCCCTGGCTAATTTGTGTATTTTTTGTAGAGACAGGTTCTCACCATGTTGCCCAGGCTGGACTCAAACTCCTGAGTTCAAGTGATCCTCCCATCTTGGTCTCCCGAAGTTCTGGGATGACAAGATGAGCTACTGCACCCAGCCTGGACATTTCATACAAATGGAACTATACAGTGTATGCTTTTTGTCACTGATTTCTTTCACTTAGCATAATGTCTTCAAGATTCATCTATGTTGGCCGGGCACGGCGGCTCATGCCTGTAATCCCAGCACTTTGGGAGGCCAAGGCGGGTAGATCACCGGAGGTCAGGAGTTCCAGACCAGCCTGGCCAACATGGTGAAACCCCGTCTCTACTAAAAATACAAAAAACTAGCCAGGCATGGTGGCAGGCACCTGTAATCCCAGCTACTTGGGAGGCTGAGGCAGGAGAATTGCTTCAACCCGGGAGGCAGAATTTTGCAGTGAGCCAAGTTCATGCCAGTGCACTCCAGCCTGGGCAACAGAGGGAGACTCTGTCTCAGAAAAAAAAAAGATTCATTCATGTTGTGGCATGTATCAGTACTTTATTCCTTTCTATGGCCAAATAATATTCCATTATATGGATATACCACATTATATTTATCCATTCATCAGTTGATGGACATTTGGTTGCTTCTACCTTTTGACTACAATGAAAAGTTGCTATGAACATTTGTGTACAAGTTTTTGTGTAAACATGTGTTGCAGCTCTCTTGAGCATACACCTAGGAGTGGGCCTGCTGGGTCATATAGTAACTATGTTGAACTTTTTGAGAAACTACAGAACTGTTTTCCAATGCGGCAGCACCAGTTTACATTCCCACCAGCGGTGTACATGTGTTCCAATTTCTCCACATCCTTGTTAACCCTTGTTAGATTCAGGATTTGTCAACATTTTCTCTCATTCTGTGGGTTGTCTTTTCACTTTCTTGACAGTGTCCTTTAACACAGTTTTTAATTTTGATGAGATCCAATTTAGCTCATCTTTCTTTGGCTGCTTATGTTTTTGGTGTCATTTCTAAGAAACCAAGATCATGGGCTGGGTGCAGTAGCTCACGCCTGTAATCTTAGCACTCTGGGAGGCCAAGGCAGCCCAATCACCTGAGGTAAGGAGTTCACCTGTCTGGCCAACATGGGAAAATCCCATCTCTATTAAAAATAATACAAAAATTAGCCTGGCATGGTGGTGGGTGCCTGTAATCCCAGCTACTCGGAAGGCTGAGGCAGGAGAATTGCTTGAACCCAGGAGGCAGAGGTTGCAGTGAGCCGAGACTGCACCACTGTACTCCAGCCTAAGTGACAGAGTGAGACTCCATCACAAAAAAAAAATCACAGGCCGGGCACGGTGGCTCACACCTATAATCCCAGCACTTTGGGAGGCTGAGGCGAGTGGATCACGAGGTCAGGAGATCGAGACCATCCTGGCTAACATGGTGAAACCCCGTCTCTACTAAAAATACAAAAAATTAGCCAGGCATGGTGGCGGGCGCCTGTAGTCCCAGCTACTCGGGAGGCTGAGGCAGGAGAATGGCGTGAACCCAGGAGGCAGAGCTTGCAGTGAGCCGAGATGGCGCCACTGCACTCCAGCCTGGGCAACAGAGAGAGACTCCATCTTAAAAAAAAAAAAATCATGGCAGGAGGCCAAGGGGCAGAGCCTGGCAGTGCCAGTGTTGGTGGCAGCAGTAGGCCTGGCATGGGCAGGATTCCAGGGAGAGCGCAGAGTCTGTACACACCAGGCCACGCCCACAAGGGCTACCCATCAGGTAACTTATGACACGTAGTTCCCAAGGCCCAGCCAGACTGCAGACACCATGAGTGTAGTCCAATCTCCAAGTAAGATTCTCAAACTAAAGGAATGCCTAGGACAGTATTGCCCCTGCATATAGAGTATCTCAGGACACTGAAGCTTAGGCTGGGACTGTGACAGTATCCACGATATGTGTGGGGGTGGGGGTGTCTATTGTGTATACTTTGCATATTTATAAAATAAAAAGTTCAGTGGTCCATCAGGTGACAAATGACTTCAGAAGAATGAACACAATGAAGCATGGGTTGGCTGTCCTTCTTTTCACAGAGGGCTCTGCAGTGGTGATGGCACCTCTGAGGCAGGTTACCTGGTATTTGGGAGCTTCCCCATAGAAGGTGTGCCATAGAAAATGCTTGCTTTGGCCAGGCATGATGGCTCATGCCTATAGTCCCAGCACTTTGGGAGGCCGAGGTAGGCAGCTCACCTGAGCTCAGTTGTTCGAGACCAACCTGAGTAATATGGTGAAACCCCCTATCTACAAAAAATATAAAAATTAGCCAGGTGTGGTGGCATGCACCTGTGGTTCCAGCTACCTGGCAAGATGAGGTGGGAGGATTGCTTAAGCCTAGGAGGTTGCAGTAAGCCAAGATTGCAACACTACATACAGAAAGACCATGTCTCAAAAAAAAAAAAAAAAAAAAAAGCCTGCTTTCCTTGCACTGGGGGAGCTCACTAGAATGAACCACTACTGCCTGGCTCCTATAGCCTGTTTATTCACCACACTCCATACCCTAGAGATAACTCACATTTGCTGCTAATCTTTTTTGGTTAACTTGCTGAAATAATTCTTACAAATTTTTACAATTTCAAATGACACGAGTTAGTACAGGAAAAGTATAAATCCCACCCACAGAGATACTCATTGTAAAGTTTGGCGTGCAGATTCCCAGAATTTATTCTATGAACCAAAAAAATATACACCTGTGGCTGGGCATGGTGGCTCATGCCTGTAATCCCAGCACTTTGTGAGGCTGAGGCGAGCAGATCACTTGAGATCAGAAGTTTGAGACCAGCCTGGCCAACATAGTGAAACCCCATCTCTACTAAAAATACAAAAAATTAGTCGGTCGTGGTGCCGGGCGTCTGTAATCCCAGCTACTTGGGAGGCTGAGGCACCAAAATCGCTTGAACCTGGGAGGCAAAGCTTGCAGTAAGCTGAGATTGCACCACTGTACTCCAGCCTGGGTGACAAAACGAGACTCCATATCCAAAATATATAAATTTGTTTTTTTCGTTTTTTTTTTTTTTTTTTTGAGGCAGAGTTTCGCTCTTGTTGCCCAGGCTGGAGTACAATGGCACAAAATCAGCCCACCACAACCTCTGCCTCCCAGGTTCAAGCGATTCTCCTGCCTCAGCCTCCCAAGTAGCTGGGATTACAGGCATGTGCCACCACGCCCGGCTAATTTTTTGTATTTTCAGTAGAGATGGGGTTTCACCATGTTGGCCGGGCTGGTCTCAATCTCTTGACCTCGCGATCCACCCACCTTGGCCTCCCAAAGTGCTGGGATTACAGGCGTGAGCCACCGCGCCAGGCTTTCCTTTCCTCCCCTCCCCTCCTCTTTTCTCCTCCCTCCCTCCCTCCCTCTCTTTATCTTTTGACAGAGTTTCACTCTTGTTGTTCAGGCGAGAGCGCAGTGGCACGATCTCGGCTCACTGCAACCTTCACCTCCGGGTTTCAAGTGATTCTCCTGCCTCAGCCTCCCAAGTATCTGGGATTACAGGCACCACCACCACGCCCAGCTAATTCTTGTATTTTTAGTAGAGACGGGGTTTCACCATGTTGGTCCAGGCTGGTCCCGAGCTCCTGACCTCAAGTGATCCACCCACCTTGGCCACCCAAAGTGCTGGAATTACAGGCGTGAGCCACCGTGCCTGGACTAGAATAGCTTTCTAGAGGTGGGACTGCAGATACTAGGGAATGTGAATTTAAATTTATGAGAGATACCAAAGGATTTAAAAAAAAATTTTTTTTTGAGACGGAGTCTCACTCTGTCGTCCCGACAGACTGGAGTACAGTGGTGTGATCTCAGCTCCACTGCAACCTCCGCCTCCCAGGTTCAAGTGATTCTCCTGCCTCAGCCCCCTGAGTAGCTGGAATTATAGGCATGCACCACCATGCCCAGCTAATTTTTGTATTTTTAGTAGAGACGGGGTTTCACCATGTTGGTCAGGCTGGTGTCAAACTCCTGACCTCAGGTGATCCACCTTGGCCGCCCAAAGTGCTGGGATTACAGGCGTGAGCCACCGCACCGGCCCTAGCAAGGATTCTTAACTTGCAATATATGGTTAAGTTTCAGAAATTATACATAAAATGTTTGTCCATGTGTGTGTGTGATTTCTAGGGAGATCCATAGATTTTGTCAGATATTTAAAAAGTTTCAAGTCACTGGGGTACAGGGGGCCGGCACTTCACTACAGCAGTGGACCATGTGTAGTATATTTGCAGGTTTTGAGCAATTTTATCAACCAGGTACTTGTCCAGCAAGGGTCACTGTCTGTGCAGCTACCGGACCACCTGCAAGGAGAGCAGATGACAGCATTCCCACGTATCTCCTGCCCCTAGAGTAAAGGTGAAGATCCATACAGACCACAGTCATGGTACCACCTCCTCTTTAGGTCTGATTAATTTGCTAGAGTGTGCCGGGCACGGTGGCTCATACCTGTAATCCCAGCACTTTGGGAGGCGGAGGTGGGCAGATTACCTGAGGTCAGGAATTCAAGACCAGCCTGGCCAACATGGCAAAACCCGGTCTCTACTAAAAATACAAAAATTAGCAGGGCATGGTGGCAGGCGCCTATAATCCCAGCTACTCGTAGGCTGAGGCAGCAGAATCACTTGAACTCAGGGGTGGAGGCTGCAGTGAGCTGAGATCTCGCCACTTCACTCCAGCCTGGGTGGAAGAGCAAAACTCTGTCTCAAAAAAAAAAAATTTTTTTTTTCCGCTAGAGTGGCTCATAGAACTTAGGGAAGCACTTGCTCATTTTTACTGGTTATTTTAAAGGATACAAACAAACAGCCAGATGAAGAGATACATAGGGTGAGGTCTGGGAGGGTCCCAAGTGTAGGAGCTTCTGTTACCATGGAGTTGGGGTGTGCCACCCTCCTGGCACGTGGATGAGTTCTTATTCACTTTCCTGTCAGCCTCCACCTGTTCAGCTCTCCAGAAACTCTCTGAACCCAGTCCTCTCAGCATTCTTTGTCCCAGGGTATGGGGTAGGACCCTCTCTGGAATGAGGGTCTTATGACCCATGATCAGAAGGGCAGGGCAAGATTAGAGTCCTGCCTTGGGGCAGGTGAAAGAGAAGCAGGAAAAAGTCAGAGAGATTCTGTTTCCTGAGGCCTGCTCCTGAGTCCTAACACTCTCAACATTATAACGAAACACTGTATAACAAGGGCTATGGGAGTTATGAGCCAGGAACCATGGATAAAAACATATATAAATTCACACATATATTAACATCACATCTATCAACGAGGTTGAGCATTTTTTTCATATGTTTATTGCAATTTGCATTTTCTCCTTGGTGAGCTACCTATTTTATGTTGTATATATTTTCCCACAGTAAAAGAGAAGGAAATGATTTACAGCTCTACATAGTATCCTGGAGAGACAGTCATGAAAATTGTTAAGAAAAAAAAAATCCATGTTTCTCTGAATAGTAAGATGTGTGCGTGTGTGTGTTCACAGAAAAAGGAAAGGGAGGATATAAACCAAATTGTTAATATTAACGACCTCAGGGAGTATGCAGTATTTATTGTTTGGCTATAAGAAGGGGCATGAATTTAGAGGTCAGACCAGGCTCAAGGCCCTAGCTCCACTACTGATTTGATGTGTGACATGGACGAATAACATGCCAGTTTCTTCATCTGTAAAACAGGAAGAGAAATAGAGCTGTTGTGAGTAGTAGATATTACAACAGTGCCTGTCACAATAAAGTGTAGCTATTGTCATCATATTATTATCTCCTTCAGTGTCTTCTTCACTGTACCATATCTATTCTTCCATTCAGGACTTCTTTATTGGGACTGTAAAAAGATTTAAGTATCAAAAGAGAAAAACATAGAAATAAAAACAAAATACAAAAAGCCTAATAATGAGGGGGTTCACATAGTACTTGTTTCTGATCCCACTAGAACTAGCTTGCCTCTGAGGCCATCCGAGATATCTAAGCTTTGGCCCTAAAGAACTGCCACAAATTTGGAGACGTGGCCTACATTTCTTTCTTCTTGGTCTGTCTTCACATAGAAGGTGCTCTTAAGACACACAGCCTAGGAACCTCCTTCTCAACACCTCCACACCTTCACTTGCTCTTTGCTATCCCTACTGTCACCCTCCTCTTTTCTCCTGCCACATCAACAGCTTCTTGCACTGCAAATGTTTTCTGGAACTCTCCCCATGACTGACAGGCTAATAAGGAGTTATTTTATTTGCTGTTTGAGTCACAAATACCATTTTTATCCAATCCCAACTTTGCCTTTTTTGTAGGGTTACTGCTACATTAATGTTCTCTGGCTTGAGAAATCTGAAGCCTTTAGGCAGTGATTAGATTTTTCCTACGTGCTTTACAACACTTCACATTCAACAAATTCATTAACGATAAACAGGAAATAAACCAACAATTTCTCCTGGTTTAGTTCACCCTTAGGACACGCATCTATGAAATCAGAAATCTTATTCCTGTCAGAACAGGATGGCCATGTGCTTCCCTGTTAACAAAGAAGTCTTAATTTTATTAATTACAATGCTTACGACTAAAACAAAGCAGGACCTCTTTCCATTGATTTCACATGATCGCCAGAGTCTCTCATTTCTCTGCTTCCTTCTGCCATCTTTTTTTTTGAGACGGAGTCTTGCTCCGTCGCCCAGGCTGGAGTGCAGTAGTGCGGTCTCAGCTCACTGCAAGCTCCACCTCCCGGGTTCACATCATTCTCCTGCCTCAGCCTCCCAAGCAGCTGGGATTACAGGCGCCCGCCACCACGCCCAGCTAATTTTTTGTATTTTTAGTAGAGATGGGATTTCACCGTGTTAGCCAGGATGGTCTGGATCTCCTGACCTCGTGATCCACCCCGCCTCGGCCTCCCAAAGTGCTGGGATTACAGGCGTGAGCCACCGTGCCCCGCCCCCTTCTGCCATCTTTATATTCGTTCATTTTCCGTTTCCTTCCCTTCCTTTCTTGTCTCTCCCTCTTGAACATTTCTAAGCACCTTGTGTGTGCCAGGCATTCAGTAACAAAGCTTGAGCAAAACAGCCCACCTTCTCATTATCATGGAGCTTACAAGCCTAACTGGGAATTGGAGACATTCATCAAATAATCACCAAATCTATAATTTGAAACTGCACTTAGTGCCATGAAATAAAACACAGGCCCCTGTGACAAATCTGTGTAGATGAAGGCTTCATCCAGGAAGTGGTAGCTGAGCTGGAGTGAGAAGGATAAGGAGTTAGCCAGGCATCTCCCCACATTTAGAGCGCCGAGTGGGCAGAGACCAGGATTGTTATAGCATTTGCTCCTGGGTCTGACTCACAGATGTGCTCATAAATATTTGTGGAAGGGAGGAAGGGACAATACGAATAATATAAAATAAATGAAAATGTGTCCTCCTTTGTTTTGATACTATGAAATTAATAAAATTAACTGCTACTAACTAAAAAATCCAAGTAGAACACAGAAAGGAGAGTGTGGCACAAGGTAAGGTTGCAGAAGTAGCAGCCAAATCACACTGGGGCCTTGAGTATGTAGAGATTTTAGTCCGTATCCCGACAGCAATTGAAAGCCACTGAAAAGTAATTCACAGCAAATATAGTTAATTTTTTTACAGCTTACATTAAAACAAATTATGTACTAGATACTGTGCTAAAGACTCTACTTGCACTATTTGAATCCTTGAAACAATCCTATGATGTACTATTAATATTCCAATTTTACAGAACGAGGATACTGATGCATAGAGAGGTCGTGACTCCAAACCCCTACTCTTACTGTATTACACCTACACACTATTCACAAGTGAGAGAAGTAGGTAAGCAACTATGTACAGCTAAATCTCATCTCCTTGGCAGGCCTAGCCCCACTGTGGAGTTGGTAGCACAGGGGTATCAGGATTTAATGAGCCAATCATTGACTTTACGCTCCTTGTTCTGACTCCCTAATAAAATAACCTTCTAGTTATATTCTGGCTTCCCATATAGATTTTTCTGCTGGGAGATAATGCACTGACCAGCCTACACACGCATTTTGTTCCAGTTGACAATTTTATTACACATTGTAAGTTAATAAATTGGCATTCTCCTTTAAAAAATAACAAAAAAATTTAATAGTCTTATACAGTTACTTTCCCATGAAGGGTTAGCTTGAAAAGTAAAAAGCAACGAATAAAAATATCATCACCTATTGTCTCTTTTGTGGTCGAACCTTTTCTTGCTGCCTGCTTTGAGCGACCGTGGATGTGGTCACTGAGTCTGGGGAGGAGCCCTTTATCTTCTTTGTGGATGCCCCCAGCACAGCCCAAGTGCTTCCTTTGTTTCCCACTGAGCCTTTAGCAAATCCCACCTTTCCTCCTGCACCGACGGAGAGGATTGTTCTTGGGAATGCACCTTGTTCTACTGCCGCCAGCAGTAGGCAGCTGGAGACTGTTACTAGGGGTCTCCTTCACCTCCCCAGCGTAAAGTACATCCCATGCTAGGAGCAGGCCGTTCCCTGAGAACCTCATTAAACCCGGCGTTCTTGTCACGCGCTCCGCTCAGGGCCACCAGGCCACCAGCCCGACCAGACCTGCACCGAGGCCCAGCCCCAGAACAGGCTGCAGAGACCCCCGCCCCCAAGGCGGGCTCCCTCCAAACGGGACTCCATACTCCTTGCTGGCTCAAGTTTTGTTTCGCTCTTTTTCCCTGTAATTCCTTTATTGGGCAAAACTGGGACAAACGCAGGTGGACATTTTAAAGTGAAAGCTTCATGAAACAGCCCATTCCACGCCGTCAAGAGATCTGCTTAAGCACATTCAAGGGAACGAATAGCCCCCACCCACCAAAAAAGAAATGTTCGTTCCATATTCTCCTGAACAGAGGATTGAAACATCGATTCCCCCCCCCTTCAAAGGAACAGGAAGGCCACGGGGCAAGGACGGACTTGGGAGCGGCCTCCTTTCTCTCTGGAGGGAAAGGCTGGAGCGCTGCCTCCACTTTTAAGTCCACGAACCACGAAGGGTGAGGATCCCTCAGAAACTTTAGCGCAGGGGAGCGGGCAGGAGGGCGATTGTTTAAATCGATGGCAGCACCTTCATTAATCTGCTTTCCGGCCATCTTCAGCAGAGCCATTCACCAGGAAACGACTAGAAGGTGGGCCTGCGCCCCTCAGATATCCCGGGGCCGGCAACGAGCCGGGCAGGGACGCCGAAGGAAGGCCGTGAGGAGCCCTCGCTGGCCGGCCAAGATGGCCACCTTCACATGGCCGACCGCCACCGGCTCCCTGCCACCCGGCATCTAGAGGCGGGACGGCCAGAAAGACCCCAGCCGCAGCACAAAACCTCCGCGATTCCCGCCGCCTCCGCTGGGGGACGCGACCTCCGGGAAAGCTATCCCGGCCAACGGTCGGAAGGGAGGTGCCATGTCACCGCACAGGGGAGCGGGTCCAGCAAGCCCCAGTCGCTTTTTCTCCCACATCAAACAAGGAAGAGCAATCCCCCACGTCTCCTCGCGTCTGCATTTTTCTCCTAGCTCTAGCGGCTCAAGATAGCTGAACGGTCTCTGGAGGGCCGGATTGCCACGGCACCTCCCGCGGCCGCGCAGTGTGGTTCAGCCCGGACTCCGCGGGGCGAGCTGCCCTTCCTCCCCCGACCCCCGCGCAAGTGGTGCATTGGCGCGCGGCGCCGAGGGGCGGGGCCCGAGCCGGGCGCGCGCGGGCGCTGCTCTATAAATACCGGGCCGCACCGCCCGCTGCTTCGTTCGCTCCGCGCCGCCCGCCTGCTACGAGTAGAACGCTGTCCGCAGCTTGCGCATTTCGCAGCCGCTGCCGCCTCGCCGCTGCTCCTTCGTAAGGCCACTTCCGCACACCGACACCAACATGAACGGACAGCTCAACGGCTTCCACGAGGCGTTCATCGAGGAGGGCACATTCCTTTTCACCTCAGAGTCGGTCGGGGAAGGCCACCCAGGTGAGGGGACGGCCTGAAGCGAAGCGTGGGGCGGGGCAGAAGGCAGCGCCAAGGTCCGGCTGGCTGCGGCCGGCCGGTGGTGGGGCCCGCGCGGGTCGTCCTCGTCCGCCGGGTGATGGAAGAGCGGCGACCGCGCGCTTTCCTCGTGGCGCCGCCAGGGCCTGGCGCGTGGCCGCCGCTCCTCTTCCCCCTCCCCTCTCCACCCTTCCCTTCCCCCCTCCCTTTTCATTCGGTCGCGCGCCTAGGCATGCGGAAGGTTCCAGAAAACGTGAAGGGCGGGGGCTGTGGTCGCTAGTGAGTTCTGGCCGGGAAGGGAGGGCACTGTTAACCCCTCCCGGCCCTGCCGTCTGACAAACCTGGAGTGGGCGACCCGCCCCGCGTGCTCGCGTCCGGCCCTCGGGAGCGCGCGCCCCGCATTGCAGCGGCGACCACGTGTTTGCCGCATGTGGTATCTGGGCGAGGGGGAGCCGTGAGCCTCCCCGGCTGTCCTGGCCCTCAGTTTGAGGGGTGGGGGGCCTATGCCTTGGGACGTCGTCTGGCTCCACTGCCTCAGTGGTTAGGTCTTGACTACACACTGGAGAATACGCACATGCCCTTCGGCGGATATGGCCTTGCCTCCAAGGTGACGGCCTCTGACTAAATATAGCTCATGTCCAAGAAGGCAGTCCTTATTTGGACCCCTTGTGAAAAGGATGGGAAGCATGAATTAGGAGCTGCCATTGCTTTGGGTTCGCATTTAAAGTCTTCGGTGCAGGGTTTTACTTGAGGCTTTGTCCGCTCAACCGCCATTATGGGGATCAATTGGCACGTGAAGGAGGAGTAAAGCTATATTTCCAGGAACTGAAAATCTCAGCCTGAGCATATCGGCTAGTAAAGATGATTATTTGGCTCTTTTGGCTGTTTCTGCCCTTAGGATGACCGCAGTAGTTATCTATCTGGTGGCTTTAGGGTCTGGTCAGTTTACTGTGCCCATGATGAAATCCCACAAGTAACTTAGTGGTATGAGAGGACAAACCCAGGATCTTGATGAGTGCTGAAGGTTAGCTGTTACACCAGTTAGTAGTAGACCGAAGTTCAGAGCCTGCAGTCTGGCTTCCACATTATGTTTGGATTCTGTTTTAGGCGGTTATAGAAAATTCAGAAAAACGAACTTGAATTAGGGAGATATTTGTTCTCCCTCCTAACAATAGATGACAAAGCAGGGAGACATGGATTCGGAATACGTTTGAGCATCTTCTACACTGTTGAGCTTTTGTTTCCTGCGCAACTCCTAACAGCAAAATCAGATAATTGCCATTTTAGTCAGAAAATGCTTTTCATTTAATTGTTTAATCGAATTATCTTGTTGCTCATTATAATTGGTGTTCCTTAAGATTAGGGAAACTGGCCTACCTGTGGCCTCAGTTCTACCAGACTCCCAGGTGCAGAGGGGTTTGGTACAGTTGTGGAAGTGAATATGATATAGGGCAAATTCTGTTCTTTAAAGGATATAGGACTAACAGTTCACCTTTCTGGTGATTAGATTTATAATGCAAACTTTGAATTTTAGGAGGAAAGTGCAAACACAATGAATTAAGATGTATTAAGCATGTTTTTTAAAATCTCCAAAGATTTTACAGATAGTAACAGGGAGGGAGCTTGCATACATACATACATACTTTGTTTAAAGTTAAAGAAACTGAGCCAGGAATTTCTCTTTTCCAGATAAGATTTGTGACCAAATCAGTGATGCTGTCCTTGATGCCCACCTTCAGCAGGATCCTGATGCCAAAGTAGCTTGTGGTAGGTTCAGAATGTGCTTATCAACTGGTGGAAAGATAGCATAAAAATTATTTTTATAGAAGTGATGTTTGAGTTGAATGTCTCTTTTTATTAGAAACTGTTGCTAAAACTGGAATGATCCTTCTTGCTGGGGAAATTACATCCAGAGCTGCTGTTGACTACCAGAAAGTGGTTCGTGAAGCTGTTAAACACATTGGATATGATGATTCTTCCAAAGGTGTGTTTTAATGATTTTGCTCATTTTTTTCTAGGTAACAGCTGTGAGGTTTGAAGAAACTCCTAGAATGTTCCTGCTAATCCTAAACTCCAGTTGTATCTTACTATACACTAAGCCCTATTCTGTTCATTCTCTAAAAGGTCCGATGGTTTAGGTATATTTGATTTCTTCAGCAGTGTTTAGAATTCCAGATAATTGCTGTAAACAGCAGGTATTTCTAGGACGTAAACAAGATGTTGTGTTTTTTGCTTATAGGTTTTGACTACAAGACTTGTAACGTGCTGGTAGCCTTGGAGCAACAGTCACCAGATATTGCTCAAGGTGTTCATCTTGACAGAAATGAAGAAGACATTGGTGCTGGAGACCAGGTATCTTGGTGTAGAGGCTGTTTTAATCTCTTCTAACATTAAATTCTGGAGCTTGATCACATTGGTGACTTTTCTTTCTTTAGGGCTTAATGTTTGGCTATGCCACTGATGAAACTGAGGAGTGTATGCCTTTAACCATTGTCTTGGCACACAAGCTAAATGCCAAACTGGCAGAACTACGCCGTAATGGCACTTTGCCTTGGTTACGCCCTGATTCTAAAACTCAAGTAAGTGATGATCATAAAGCTTGGTTGTCTCATTTATTACATCAGCACAGAAGATCCATAATTTTGATAATAGCTAACTGGAAAAAATAGCATTTGTTTTCCTATATTGTAACTTCAGGTAGAGAAACAAATACAAAGTTATTGTTTGGTGTGATGTTCTGATGACCTGTGTTGCCTTCAAGGTTACTGTGCAGTATATGCAGGATCGAGGTGCTGTGCTTCCCATCAGAGTCCACACAATTGTTATATCTGTTCAGCATGATGAAGAGGTTTGTCTTGATGAAATGAGGGATGCCCTAAAGGAGAAAGTCATCAAAGCAGTTGTGCCTGCGAAATACCTTGATGAGGATACAATCTACCACCTACAGCCAAGTGGCAGATTTGTTATTGGTGGGCCTCAGGTAATGTCATTTTGTTGCATTTTTCTGGATTTTTGATGGTTACTTAAAATTTTGGCTACTACATTTTTTTCAGGCTTTCTGAAACCTACATGTGAATCATCGGAGGATATTTGCTGAATGAATTCAGAATAGGCAACCTAATCCACTTGGAAAGCACTAGGCGTAAAGTAACTTAAATCCTGTAATTTCAGGGTGATGCTGGTTTGACTGGACGCAAAATCATTGTGGACACTTATGGCGGTTGGGGTGCTCATGGAGGAGGTGCCTTTTCAGGAAAGGATTATACCAAGGTCGACCGTTCAGCTGCTTATGCTGCTCGTTGGGTGGCAAAATCCCTTGTTAAAGGAGGTCTGTGCCGGAGGGTTCTTGTTCAGGTATACACTCTTTATATAACGAACGATTAAAAGTCATGTAAGTGGGAGGGTATTTAGTAGTAATCTACTTAACTACTTGTTTTATACCAACGTATTATACAAGTATATGGGTCTTTGCAATCACTGATTCTTACGACATTTGAATCCTTTTAGGTCTCTTATGCTATTGGAGTTTCTCATCCATTATCTATCTCCATTTTCCATTATGGTACCTCTCAGAAGAGTGAGAGAGAGCTATTAGAGATTGTGAAGAAGAATTTCGATCTCCGCCCTGGGGTCATTGTCAGGTAAAGATGGTAAAGCCTGTTGCTAGTCAAGTATTGAGGGTGTTGGGTGTGTGTGTATATACTTAAGGCTGAGGAGGTGAAGGTGTGAAGGAAGACTCCTCAAATGGGAATATATTTTAATTCCTGGAACAGTTTTGAACTGCTGCCTTAGTGAAGACTTAGTTATTTGAGAAATTTAAAATTACGGTGCTCCATGGCTTAGGCTAACCACTCTAGAGAATGTTCCAGATTTGATATTTGAGCTTTGTGCTCTTCTACTTAAGGGTGTTAAGAAAATAGAGATAAAGTGGGTTGCTCAAGGTTTGTTGCAATGTAAAAACCATGGTAGGGTGTGGGCGGCGGGACCTTGGTAAGTATTGTGTGATCTCAGGTGAGCTTTTTGACAATTGAAATTTCTCAGAATAATGACAAGTTTTCGTATTTGTTGAGCCAGGGACGGAAAAACAACTATAGTTACTAATAAGGACTGTGCAAGGAGTTTGGACACCAGGGAAGTAACACTTTTGCCACAAATTTTTTTCCTAGCATATCCCAGAGAACTCATTTGCCAGAGCTCTTGAAAATGAGTCTTGCTGATTGTTTTGCTTTATTTTAATTTAATGCTACATATTAAGTTACGGACTTGTATATTCCAGGGATCTGGATCTGAAGAAGCCAATTTATCAGAGGACTGCAGCCTATGGCCACTTTGGTAGGGACAGCTTCCCATGGGAAGTGCCCAAAAAGCTTAAATATTGAAAGTGTTAGCCTTTTTTCCCCAGACTTGTTGGCGTAGGCTACAGAGAAGCCTTCAAGCTCTGAGGGAAAGGGCCCTCCTTCCTAAATTTTCCTGTCCTCTTTCAGCTCCTGACCAGTTGCAGTCACTCTAGTCAATGACATGAATTTTAGCTTTTGTGGGGGACTGTAAGTTGGGCTTGCTATTCTGTCCCTAGGTGTTTTGTTCACCATTATAATGAATTTAGTGAGCATAGGTGATCCATGTAACTGCCTAGAAACAACACTGTAGTAAATAATGCTTTGAAATTGAACCTTTGTGCCCTATCACCCAACGCTCCAAAGTCATAATTGCATTGACTTTCCCCACCAGATGCTGAAAATGTCCTTGTGATGTGCACGTAAAGTACTTGTAGTTCCACTTATAGCCTCTGTCTGGCAATGCCACAGCCCTGTCAGCATGAATTTGTAATGTCTTGAGCTCTATTATGAATGTGAAGCCTTCCCCTTATCCTCCCTGTAACTTGATCCATTTCTAATTATGTAGCTCTTTGTCAGGGAGTGTTCCCTATCCAATCAATCTTGCATGTAACGCAAGTTCCCAGTTGGAGCTCCAGCCTGACATCAAAAAAGGCAGTTACCATTAAACCATCTCCCTGGTGCTTATGCTCTTAATTGCCACCTCTAACAGCACCAAATCAAAATCTCTCCACTTTCAGCTGTCTTTTGGAGGACGTACGTAATAAGGTTTT
The DNA here is from genome assembly GCF_000001405.40 of Homo sapiens. Classification (NCBI taxonomy): domain Eukaryota; kingdom Metazoa; phylum Chordata; class Mammalia; order Primates; family Hominidae; genus Homo; species Homo sapiens. Next base: position 85,544,501 of record NC_000002.12, read on the forward strand.
AATTTAGTAAACCAATCCTATGCATGGTTTCAGCACTAGCCAAACCTCACCAACTCCTAGTTCTAGAAAAACAGGCACTTGGCAGCCTTGTGATGTCATACAGAGAAGTCACAGGGCAGTACCTGAGGGTCTGTAGGTTGCACACTTTGGTACCAGATAACTTTTTTTTTTCTTTATAAGAAAGCCTGAGTACTCCACACTGCACAATAACTCCTCCCAGGGTTTTAACTTTGTTTTATTTTCAAAACCAGGTCCAATGAGCTTTCTGAACAGCTGGTGTAGCTACAGAGAAACCAGCTTCCTTCAGAGAGCAGTGCTTTTGGCGGGGAGGAGGAAATCCCTTCATACTTGAACGTTTTCTAATTGCTTATTTATTGTATTCTGGGGTATGGCGTAAGTACAGAGAAGCCATCACCTCAGATGGCAGCTTTTAAAAGATTTTTTTTTTTTCTCTCAACACCATGATTCCTTTAACAACATGTTTCCAGCATTCCCAGGTAGGCCAAGGTGTCCTACAGAAAAACCTTGGGTTAGACCTACAGGGGGTCTGGCTGGTGTTAACAGAAGGGAGGGCAGAGCTGGTGCGGCTGGCCATGGAGAAAGCTGACTTGGCTGGTGTGGTACAGAGAAGCCAGCTTGTTTACATGCTTATTCCATGACTGCTTGCCCTAAGCAGAAAGTGCCTTTCAGGATCTATTTTTGGAGGTTTATTACGTATGTCTGGTTCTCAATTCCAACAGTTTAATGAAGATCTAAATAAAATGCTAGGTTCTACCTTAACTGTGTCTGTTACTCATTTGTTAAAGTGCTTTGGGGCCATAGGTACGTGCCTATAATCCCAACACTTTGAAAGGCTGAGGTAGGAGGATCACTTTAACATAGAAGTTGGAGGCTGTAGCGAACCATTATCAAGCCACTGCACTCCAGCCTGGGTGACTGAGACTTTGGCTCTTAAAAAATGCTATCATATGAATAACCTGAGAATACTATATGTGTATCTTTAACCTTGAATTGTAATCCATAATTAGCCATAATTCAGGAAAATAACCTCAATCCCTAGACCCAGTGGGTGGGCATTTTTTAAAAGCCTAAGCAAGATTTAGTCCTCCTAGTCCACTTAAGCCAAAATTCATGTGTCCTTATTGCAGCAGCCATTCAATGCCATTTTTAAGTTTTCAACTAAGGTTGAGGGCTTCAAACCATTGAAGGCATAAAAACCGCTAAAAGTATTAACCTGGAAGTGGTAATGTCTATCTAAAGTCCTGGCAATTTAAGCCTATTAATCTGCATACATTTTTAAATTATGAGCTTAGTTTTAAGGGTTGTATGATGTTTTCATCTGAGAAGTTCTGAAACGTGATTTCTAGTCAATATCTTGCAGAGATAAATAATGCAAATTAGCTGAAAATGCTATAAATTTCCAAAGGCTTAAATTTCATTTATGGCAGGTTGTGTAGAAAATCCGCAGACCACACTGCTCTTGAACCTAGGAGCTACATGCATAGAGAATAGCCACTTGGATTACATTTCTACCAACATCTGAATGGTGGTCCAGCTTGTCCTGCAAATGTAGAGCCAAGGAGTGCTTGCTTATGCCTGTTTGCATGGAGACTTAAAAACTTGGAAATTTGGAGGCCAGGCGGAGTGGCCTGTAATATAGGCCACTATATAGTAATATAGGCGTGAGCCTATAATCCTAGCACTTTGGGAGGCCAAGGCATGCAGATCACGAGACCATCCTGGCTAACACAGTGAAACCCTGTCTCTACTAAAAATATAAAAAAGTTAGCCAGGCACCTGTAGTCCCAGCTACTCAGGAGGCCGAGGCAGGAGAATGGCGTGAACCCGGGAGGTGGAGCTTGCAGTGAGCTGAAATCGTGCCACCACACTCCGGCCAGGGTAACAGAGTGAGACTTAAAAAAAAAGCCGTGGAAATCTGGGTATGGTAGCTTACACCTGTAATCCCAGCACTTTGGGAGGCTAATGCGGGTGGATCACCTGAGGTCACGGTTTGATACCAGCCTGGCAAACTGAAACCCCGTCTCTACCAAAAATACAAAAAAGCTGGGTGTGGTGGCAGGTGCTTGTAATCCCAGCTACTCAGGAGGCTGGAGAATCACTTGAACCCAGGAGGCAGAGGTTGCAGTGAGCCGAGATGGCGCCATTGCACTCCAGCCTGGGCCAGAGCAAGGTTCCTTCTCAAAAAACTTGGAAATCTGTTGGGAAGTAGGGGGAGGGCAAGGTTAAAACCTATGCAGGTGTGTCAATTAGACTTGTTCCAACTTGAGAACCTGAATTTTGCATGTAATTGAAATGTTCCAGAACAAGTCTGGCAGTTTCATAAGGGAGTTTTTAGATGCCAATACATTGCAGATAACCATATTGGCTACATTAGGGGAATGAGCATGGATAGGTGCCTCCAAGTTGGTAGAATAGCATGAGAAGTTTTCAAAAGTAACCGCTTTAAGGTTATGTTCAGTATTTGCTAAGTAAACAAAGATTCCCCAACCTTGAGGGAGCTTGTGGACCAAGGGGATAGTGTTGTCCTGCCCAGCCTAGGGGAAAAGTATCCTGAAGGTTAATAAGGTGGTGGAGGAACATTAGGCCACAGGGAGCAGAGGGAAAGCATAACAGCAGGGGATGATAAGGGTGATTATAGTTTAGAAAGCATGAAAGTATGACTTAAGGAAATGTCTTTAGGTTGAACATTCTGTATATAACCTGCCTTTCTAAAGTTTCAAAGGGGATGGATACCCATCAGGGGCAAAGATCCAAATCCTGAGGGTAGAATGAGGAGGATGTATACTAAAGTCTTTTGGCTAAAAGGACATTGATAGCCCATTTTTAGAATGGCTACAGTTGCAACCCAACTCTACCCCACTGAACAGCTTTTATTACCAGTATTTACATGACCACTTTTTCTTTACACCTCACCCTACCCCAATATCTTCCTTGGGAAAATTGGTCAGAGAGGTGGTATACTAACAGTTTGGGGAAGGGCAGCATCCTTGCCCATATTTAGAAAAATACTTTTTCAAGTGTCTTCTCCCAAGTAACTCTTGGGACTTTTGTTACCAGTCAAGTAGGTACAGTGAGTTTGGCAAACAACATAGTGGCAAAGTATCTTCTATTGTGTTACTATGAGAGAAGATCTGCAAAAGGATTGAAAATCAGCATCCCTCCCACCCATTCTTACAAAGTAATCAGGGGACCCTGTGCCACAGCCATTGCTTGCCCATATAATACCTTGAATGAATTAGAGATTTTCCACCAAACTCCATTTGGCCTCCTCAGTGGTGGGGGAGGGTGGCAATCTGCTTGACAACTAACATGTCGGCCCTGTCCTGGTCTATCCCTAACTAGATGCTAATACAAAGGTTGAAAATACAGATATAGGTAGTAATGAAAACAGATTTGGCTGGGCACGGTGGCTCACACCTGTAATCCCAGCCCTTTGGGAGGCCAAGGCAGGTGGATACTTAAGGTCATGAGTTTGAGACCAGCCTGGCCAATGTGGGAAACCATGTCTCTACTAAAAATACAAAAATTAGTTGGGCGTGGTGGTGGGCACCTGTAGTCCCAGCTACATGGGAGGCTGAAGTGGAAGAATCGTTTAAACCCAGGAGGTGGTGGCTGCAGTAAGCCAAGATTGTGCCACTGAACTCCAGCCTGGGTGATAGAGTGAAACCCTGTCTTTAAAAAAAAATAGATTCAAGAGGTATCCAGGAGGTAAAATTGATGGGACTTGGCAATTTTAAGAAATGCAAGGAAAAAGGAAGAGTCAAGGCTGATGACCTAGAGATAACAGCTTGGCTAAGGTACAGAGCTGCCATTCAATAATAAAGAATAAGGAAGTCTGAGTTGGGGATGAATGTAAGTTCTGTTTAGGATGAACTGAGCTTGATAGCCCTGTGGGATATCCAGGTGGAACTTAGACCTATACGTCTAGGGCACAGGAAAGAAACCTAGCATCGTTGGAAATCCTGGAGTAGACACAATCATCTGAAGTATGTATACTGAAAAAGCAGTTGCTTAGGAAAGAACCCCCGGAACACTGTCCAAGGAGGAGTGGGGGAGAGTATGGGAAGAGAAGCCTGCAAAGAGATGCAATCATTTACAGAAGTTACTGAGACTGCCAATTTACTACCGGTCTCTGCTACAAGTCCATGAGCTCCCAAAGCAGGGATCCTTTTTCATAACCCTGCATTCTCGCTTCCTAGCTCAGTGCCAACCCTTTGAATTTTCACTGAACTGAGGAGCTTCCTGAGTTACCCTTGTATACCCCAACCTACAAAATGTCTAAGCATTCCCTAATCCCTTACTAAATTTAGTTAATTCTTACTTTACCTCCCCTTCTGCTCACCAAAGGCTAGAATAATACCAAATACTAAGCTTATTTTTAGAGAAAATCTAGCAATCATCTAGATTTCCTTATTTAACTTTGATGCTGCTATTCTGACTGCTCTCATAACTGCTAGTGAAACACTGGGTGTATATAGATAATAGGAACAAAGAAGGAACCAAAATTGCAATGAAGATAAATTACTTTGTGTGCATTTACAACCTGACCACCATCCAATTATACTTTTAATTAAGAAAACATGTTTTAAGCTGCATTATTTCAGATTATCAGTGATTCTGAAAATTACAAGTGGCAGGGTGCAGGACCTTAAGTCAAATAGACGTTAAGTTCAAACCATCAGTCCATTCGTCACTAGCTGTATGTCTTCGGGCAAATTATTTTACCTCTCAGCCTAATGTAATAATGCAGGTAACACTGCTCACGCGGTGTGTTGCACATAGCAAACACTTGGGAACAGTTAGCTATTCATCGTGGTACATTAAATTGCTTTTCCCCAAGAGCCACTTTATTTATTTATTTTGAGACGAAGTCTTGCTCTGTTGCCCAGGAGTGCAGTGGCTCGATCTCGGCTCACTGCAACCTCCACCTCCTGGGCCCAAGCGATTCTCATGCCTCAGCCTCCTGGGTAGTTGGATTACAGGCACCCACCACCACGTCTGGCTAATTTTTGTATTTTTAGTAGAGAAGGGGTTTTGCCATGTTGGCCAGGCTGGTCTCGAACTCCTGGCCTCAAGTGATCTGCCCACCTCAGCCTCCCAAAATGCTGGGATTACAGGCGTGAGCCACGGCACCCAGCCCCCAAAAAGCCACTTTAAACCTTATCCTAGGAGGACAGTTTCACATTGCGTCTAACCTCTTCCTGGCCTCTTAATCTTGGGTTGTTAAATCTTATTTGCTTTATTTCCTTGGTTCCTCTAAGTTGTAATCTCGGAGTTAAAAACAGCTTTAGAACCCCGCCCCCCCAAAAAAAAAAAAAAAACTTTTGAGAATTTTTTTCAAATAAATGTCCATTGCATAGAATGGGTCTGTGACTGGCTGCTTCTACATCTGCACCCAACATCTGGCCCCCTTCAGAACTCTGAGTGGACAGGATCAGGATTTGACTCAGGAGGATTAGAATGTGAAGAATCCGTGTTTGAGGGATTCAGTTCTCCAACTGCCTCAAAGGGTCTCAAGTTTGCATAAGTCACCTCCTGGGCCAGCTGCTCCAGGGAAGGACGGCCTAATATCAGATTTCGAAGTGAGATACAAGTCATCAGGAAGCTGAAAAACAGGAAAAAGCCGACCAAGTTCAAACTCCTGTTTCACCAGAAGAATTTCAGCTAAAGCCCTTAGAAGGCACCTGGTCCTCACTCCTCCCACACAGGCATATATGGGAATCTCCCCCCAAGTGACCCTCCATCTCCCAGCTGGAAGGGTACACCACTCTTTATACAGTCTGGTAGAGGATTCCAGGATAGGGTAGGAACAGCCCACAGAGAGGCTGGAGATAAGCTGAGGCAGAACAAGAAAGCAGGCCATCAGATATAGGCCACTTATTCTTCCAGTAAATCAAGAAGAATGGCAGGAAAAGATACCTAGAGCTAAACTGTCCTTTCCTGTATGACAGTCTCTAGAGTTACTCTCCCCAGGGGAAAGTTACCAAGCTTGCCAACATATGATGGCAATGACAAATATTGTTGTGAACTTACCTGCGGCGAAAGACATAGAGCTTTCGCAACAAGAAGCGGAAGAATCGCTCATGGAAAGGAGTATTTCGCCGGCGTTCAATCTCCTGGAGCCTTTGTTGGCGTCTAAGAAAGGTCTGAACCAGAGGTGTTGGCTCAGGGCCCCCTTTTACTTCCCCTTCCAACAGAGGCTGCAGCTCTGGGGGTAGAGGCCCTGTTTCTGCCCGGAAGACAGAAAAAAGAGGAATCACTGAGATGGATCACTCTCTCCCCTTAGAACTCCTCTTCTGCCAGCTAGAGACTTCAAGTTCATTCTTGAATGGCTAGAACATCATTCATAACCCTGACTTCTTGAAACCAGAGGCTATCTCAGCCCAAATGTTCATACACTCACCACTTCCATTCTCCACCTTTTCCTTTAATTCTTGCAGATATGCCAGGTCTTGCTCCAGTGCAAGCTCTGTAGTGTTGACATAGACGTACATGTAGCAAGAAGGGCTAGGTGATGTCGTATACACCTTATGGTACTCACCAGCAGGCAACTGACAAGGGAGAAGAAATGGATAAATTTCATCAGCTTTTCTCTAGCCAGCTTATGGCCTCCCTACTCTATGACTCTTGGCTTCTTTCTACTCAATTGTGTTTTGGAATCGAAAGTAACGGACCTCTAGAATCCTGGATGAGGCTCTTCACAGTCCCAGGGGCCCTTGTTTTTTGAGCTCCACTGCATTACTGCTATGGTAAAATATTTTCAGTCTATAATAAGTGAATCTTGCTCATCTAAGCTTTCTGCCATTGTTTTTTAAATTGTTAGAGATGGGGTCTCACTCTGTTGCTCAGGCTCACTGTGAATTCCTGGCTTCCCACCTCAGCCTCCTAAGAAGCTGGGATTACTGGTGTGAGCTACTGCACTCAGTTCTTTCTGCTGTTGTTAATCCCAGCAAAATACCTGCATTTTTTCTCCCTCTCGAAGAGTCTGGTTCTTCTGTTCTGCCACAAGCTCCACAGTCACTTCCCCCTGCAGCAGCTGGATGCTAGTGTTGCCCAGGTCTTCACTCACAAAATTCTCCAAGTGCAGTCCTGCCAGACCAACAGAGTTCATCATCCCACCCCATGGCAGAGTGAACTCACTCCCAGCCAGAACAGAGACATCACACCTTTACCACCATCATCCCCTTAGGTTTCAAAAACATTCCCTCTCCCCTCCCACCACATGGAATGTCCCTGGCCAAGGAAGCCAGAAGGAAAGACAGAAAAGCCTCTCCTCACTTTCCTCCATACCAGGGAAATCTGCAATGAAGACCACCTCAGTGTGGTTGTCTAGGCTGCTCTTGATTTCCTGTAACTTGGCCCTCCAGGGAGACAGGTCCATCAAGAGTGGTTGCACCCAGGATGTGCGCTGAAAGGGTGACCAAGCGGCCTGCACGATGTCCACACGAGGGTCAAAAATCCTTAGGAAAGAAAACCATGTTCTAAGGACATCACAGCCACCCACCCACCAGAACTTCCAGTTCTCTCCCTTTCATCATCATTCCTAAGGACAGGGAATAGAAGAAGAAATGGCCTGTGTCAGCATGTTATTGCCAGTCCAGGGCAGAGAAAGAAGGCAGAAGAGATCTGGAGCACTGGGTATAATGGGGGTTAGTAGCTACCTGAGAAGGTATTATGTCAACAGTGTCTAAAAGAACAAGTCAACTCACTTTTCTCCTGGATGATGGTGCCCCCTGCTGGAAGCAACCAGCTATGCCCACAACCAGATCAAGGGGGACATGCACTAGAGGAAGGACAGCTTTTTAAGCAAGACAATACCAGGAAGCAAGGGCTGTTCATCTTGGTAAAAAGAACTGTGCTTCATTTTTTCCCACTCTCTGCTCCCCTTGCCCACCTCTGCTGGAAGCGGTCATTGATGGAGACCCAAATATCAAAGTAGATCTGGGGCTCAGTGACATTATACTTGGGAAGCAGGCGGCTCAGGCAAGTGGCATATTGCTTCAGCATGTCTGCATGATCCTTCCATCGCCGACTCTGTGTAAATACCTGCCCCAAACCCCCATATTAGTCCCACCTCATCATTATCAACTTCCAAGACATGTCATGCACTGCCAATGGCACAACGAGATCCCTGCCTGCTGCCCATTCTGGCTAGAAAAAAATGGAACTTGCCTTTGGGAATGAATTTTTCATTGTTGGGCTAGTGGTGCTTACTTTTCCTGAATCTAATCTCAGTTCAAGGAAATGAATGCATTGCCCTATCTCAACCCACATAAAAGATAGTTCAATCTGGCTCTTGAGAAAAGGCAAAGCAGACTCAAATTTGTTTTGCTTTATGGTGTGTGTAAGACAAAACCAGACCCCAAAGCACAAGGGGGCTCTGAAGAACAGTAAATTGTCAGCATCAGACATCTCACCCCAGGGTTAAGGTAGCCCAGTTCGCCAGTGCGGCCATCACGGTAGGTGATCTTCACGTGCTGGTGGGAGCGGGAGTGCACCATCATGTCCCAGGAATAGCCATACAGCCCATTTGTCCAGTTGTTATAGCCCTGGGAAGGCAGCACAGAGGGGAATCAGCTCAATGCTTCTCACACTGACCCCATCCCCTACCAAGAAGGGGCTGCAAAACCAGCCCCATTCTTTCCCAACTATTGTCATCCGTTCCTTTCTAAGTCCAGCCTTTGCTGTACACTCCACAGCCCCTACAAACCTGGGTGAGAAAATGAGAATAGGGCAGGAATAGCTGCTCCAGGAGGTAGAGCAGGGTGAAGGCAGCTCCCAGCTGATGGCGCAGCCCTGGCTTCTGGCCACTTTTGCCCCGGCTCCTCTTATACACACAGGAAACACTGGGCTGAGGGGCTGCCTTGAGGGGCAACAGTTGTTGCAACCTTCGGGGGCAGTAGGACACCAGCTTCCGAGGCCACTCAGGGGAGCAGAAGAGAGGGCTGCTGGCCAGCATGACGTAGGAGAACATACCTAGGAAAGCAGGGAGAAAATACATATTTCAGGAGTTTGGCTGGGCCTCTTCAACCCCGTTCCCTTAGGAGACTTCTCCCAGGTGTTCCACTGAAAAGGAAAGTAGTTCTTCTTTTTTTTTTGAGACAGTCTTTCTCTGTCGCCCAGGCTGGAGTGCAGTGGCGTGATCTCAGCTCACTGCAACCTCTGCCTCCTGGGTTCAAGCGATTCTCTTGCCTCAGCCTCCCAAGTAGCTGGAATTACAGGCATGCGCCACCATGCTCAGCTAAGTTTTTGTATTTTTAGTAGAGACGGGGTTTCACCATGTTGGTCAGGCCGGTCTCGAACTCCTGACCTCAGGTGATCCACCCACCTCGGCCTCCCAAAGTGCTAGGATTACAAACCTGAGCCACCAAGCCCGGCCACAAAGTAGTTCTTAACTGTAAGATATTTGTTCTTCCTGGAGATTCCCTACTGTACAACATACTAACTGAGCCCAGAAGCCCCAGTCCTCTTATCCCCATTTATGCCTACTTCATAGTGACTGCCCTGGGTTCAATTTAGCTCCTGCTCACACCACCCTCTCCCACTCCCAAACAATGCCTCTGGCTAGTCCCTTCCTGCAAAACTGTGGTTCCTGTTTCCTCCCAGGCTACAGGTACTGACCAATGCTGAAAAGCTGGGAATTCATGCAGTGGAAGTAGGACACAAAGAACAGGCCAATGGATCTTGAGACATCAAAAAAGAGCAGGAAACCAGCTGAGAGGTCAAGCAGCAGCCCACCCCAGTGCACGACCAGCAGGCTAGTCAGCTCCTCAGACAACAGCAGTCTGCAAACACATGGAGAAAGTTCAAGCACCAGCCCACTGGAGAACACATCAAAGCACATTCACAGCACGAATGTGCCTTGGCTACTCCAGTGGCTGGGTAGATGCCTAAGGTACATAATCCACCCATGAAGACACTCCTCTAGGTTGTTTGTTGTTGTTGTTGTTGTTGTTGTTGTTGAAACGAAGTTTCACTCTGTCGCCTAGGCTGGAAGGCAATGGCATGATCATGGTGCACTGTAGCCTCAAACTCCTGGGCTCAAGCAATCCTCCTGTCTCAGCCTCCGAAGTAGCTGGAACCACAGGCACGTGCCACCACGCCTAGCTGTTTTTTTAAAAAATTTTTTTGTAGAGACAGTGTCTTATATTGCTCAGGCTGGTCTTGAACTCCTGGGCTCAAGCAATCCTCCCACCCCAGCATCCCAAAGTGCCGGGATTACAGGCATGAGCCACCATGCCCAGCCCCCTCTACATTTTCACACACTTTAGGTGTTCAATGTTTTCTAACATATCCTATGTAATAAGCAAGGGCAGATCTCCTAGGACAAAATTTGACTGAGATGTGTGTGTGTTGTGGAAGGGACGTTCCCCACGGAGGTCATGAGTGAGAGGACACTTTAAAAGGTGAATGCTTGGCTAACATCATAATGAAGTCAAACTTCAGGAACTGGAAAATAACAGGGAAGAAGAAAGAGAATAAAGTAAAACAAGAGGAAAGAAGAAATGGGAAGAAGACAAATCAGAAAGGTGACCCTTTGTTTTGTGGAAGTGATAATAATGGTTTTGTCAGAGCCTGAACAGTGAGTGCCCATCTTCTCAGTACATCAGCTGCAGGGCTCTGATGGGAGGCTAGAGTGGCAAGGCAAGGACACAGGCACCATCCAAGGCAGCTGCTGAGGGCACTGGCTCACTCACCAAGTCAGCCAGTTCCGGCTCTTTCCTTTCCTTTTTAAATTTCTTTTCCTTTCTTGCCTATCTATACCATATATCTCCCAAGAGCAGCTAGGGCTCAATCTTTTGATACCACTGACTCTGCTTCTGCTGAATAGGGAAATGAGTGGACAAAGGAAGGCATGTGGCAAATTCAGGCAAAGTAGGAACAGGTGCCATTACTGAGAGAGATGAGTCACCTGCTCTGTACCCATGCCTCAAAGAGGCCTCCACCATGACTGCCACTCACTTGAAGGGACTGAAGAGCCAGTGCCGGGACAAATATTCCATGGAATAGCCTTCAACCCAGTCTGCATCCAGCTTTTTCACACCCGCAATGAAGTACACAATGAAGATCTGAAAATAAAATGTGACACAAAGTTCAAGCAAAAAGAATCTTTTCTACAGATAGGCAAGAATAAAATAAGGAGCATATAGTTAGGACAACTTGAATCCATGCTCCTGAGTTACAGTCCTTGACCCAAATATTACAGTCCTTGACCCAAATAATCTACTTATATATATTTTTTAAATGAATAAAATAAATACTGATCTGAGTCCAGGGCCCAAGGAAGAATAGACCCCATCTTCTATTCATTCATCTCAGAAATTCGCCTCATCCAAACAGCATTTATTGACATCCAACCAATGTCAGCGACAGTATCAGGCACCAAGGAAGAAGTCATAAAGCACAGACTGAATCCTTTCTCTTTGTCATGAGGATTCCAATCTAGCAGGGACAAAGCTCTAGTCTTTCCTTGACAAATAAGATAATTCAGAGATTAAGGGATTGGAAAAAATGAGAAGCCAGCCTAGCTTTCCAGCAAAGGGTAAAAACTAAAAACAGAAGATCCAGGGAGGCAGCGGAGAGTGTAGTCTGGCAGTGGGATGGCCATGCTGACCACATGGCTGTCAAGGAGCTCCTCCCTCTGTCCTAAAATGCTGTACCTGGCCACGGAGCACTGCATAGTTCCAAAGGGGCACGTGGGCATTCCTCCTATGGGCATTCAGCAGACCGTCCACAGACCTACACCGAGGGAGGTAAACATTGAGGGGGGAGCTGCTTAATGCAGCTACATCTCCATCCTTCCTTTTATACACGATAATCCTATCTATCCTGGGCACATCTCCCATATCCTCCCTGGTTATTCTGAGACCTTTTAGAATTATATGAGCAAATTCTAACATGATTATACAAGTCATAGAAGAAATATTGCTACTAAGTTATAACAGCAAAAAGTTCAGTATTTCTTGTTAGCTCCCAGTTGAGTTTGTTCTAATGGATCAAATCAGGAAAAAAGGACTACAATACTAGAAAATTACTGAAAAAGGGGAGGAATTTGATGGAGTGTTTGAAAAGCTATGTATGTGTAAATAAATATGCGGTGTATTATCTTTAAAAAAAAATGAAAACCCTCAACAGCAGAGTAACACACAACATAAACTAACATTTCATAGACCTGGGTGCCAGGATCCAGTATAAGAGGGTTCCTGCTAACAGCTTGTATTCTGGAAGAGAACTGATTAGACCCAGGCTACTAACACCAGATGTACTCTGGGGAAGCAGAAGCAAAGCAAGTTTTCAAGAAGTAGAAGCTGGGAAAGGGGCAGCTTACACTGTGGTCAAGAGCACTGGACTCTGCAGTCATGAACACCTGGACTCACTTCTGTTTCTTAACTGCTAGCTGACCTTAGGCAAATTCTTCACTCGTCAATAATACTTAGCTTCTTTATCTTTAAAATGTGAACAGGCCAGGCTCAGTAGTTCATACCTATAATACCAACATTTTGGGAAGCTAAAGCGAGAGAATCTCTGGAGCCCAGGAGTTTGAGGTTGCAGTGAGCTATGACTGCACCACTGCATTCTGGCCTCAGTGACAGAGCAAGACCCTGACTCCAAAAAACATAAAATGTGAACAGCACCATCGACCTTACAGGGTTTTAATGAGGAAAAACTCTAAATATTTAGTATAGTGCCTGCGATGTGGAAAACCCTGAATAAATGATAAGTGATTTTTTCAAAATGCATAAAGTCATAAAAATGGAACTTCTGACTAGCCTGAGCAACATAGTGAGATCCCATCTCTACAAAAAATTTTAAAAATTAGCTGAGTGTGGTGGCACACACCTGTTGTTCCAGCTACTCAGGAGGCTGAGATGGAAGGATCACCTAAACACAAGAAGGTTGAGGCTGCAGTGAGCTATGATCACGCCACTGCACTCTAGCCTGGGCGACACAGTGAGATGCCATCTCAACAAATATCCCCACAACGGAACTTTTCAGAGATATTCTATCAAAACTGCCTCTTAATTCTCTATGATCAGAGCTGGCCATTCTGAATGAGTTTCAAGTTTTACCAAAGGGGTTTTGTATGTGTGTATTAACAAATAGGCCGGACACAGTGGCTCATGCCTGTAATCCCAGCACTTTGGGAGGCCGAGGTGGGAGGACTGCTTGAGCCCAGAAGTTCAAGACCAGCCTGGGCAACAAAGCGAGACCCCATCTCTATTTAAAAATAAATAAATAAAAAGAAAAATAAATAAAACTTAATGACTGTTAATGAATTCAATGTTTGAGTTTTTTTCCCCATACTCATGTTATTGACACCTATTTTATTACTTTTCACTCAACATATAAAGAATCCTTAAGGTCAACTGCCCCACCACCTTATCTCCAAATCCCTTCTCCACCTCCCCTTAGAGACAGTCACCTAAGCCAGAAATGGGGAAGGGTTACCTCCTCCGAGAACAGCAATGCTGAGCAGCCCTGGTGGGCCCTCTTCTCCTGACATGATCTCTGCCTCACAGCAACTTCTACTTTTGGCTCTAACTCTGCCCTTCTGGACTCACACAGAGAAAGTCTGCTCCCTCTTCTACATAACCACCCTTAAAGTATCTGAAAACAGCCATGTCTGGCTTTAGTATTCTGTTTTTCTCTCTAAGAGGGTTACAAGAGGTGAATAAATCAAGGCACCTGGGGAGATAGGGAAAGACTGAAGGGGTGGGATGGAGCCATTTTGCTTTGTGTCATCCCAAGCGCTCCAACTAGTTGGCCCTTTCCCCTCCCAAATCCACCTAGATCAAAGTGACCTTGTAACCATACTTTGCAAACATGACTGAAAAATTCCAGAACCTCACTGGGCCCCTATCTCTGATAACCATCCTGACCCAGCCAACCCCTCCCCTTTGTCCCCCCTGACTCATACCAGTAGTGGTTTGCATCCATGAATGTTAGCTGAAAGGCCAACAACCCATACAGATAGGAGTGGTTGTTCCATGATGTCTTGTCCAGGAGAAACACATACCAGTATGGCAGCAGGAATAACACACAGCTTATCCGGTAGCACAGGCCCAGCATCATGCCCAGTGCCCCTGGGATTTGTAGGGAGAGGATTAAGAGGTCAAGAGATCACCACAGGCCCAGTTTCCCTGGACCAGGATATGGTTGGAATTAAGAAAAATCAAGCATTGTATAATCACATAAAACTAAATGAAAATTAAATGTTATTTTAATATTTTAAAAAGAATTATGGGATCACAGCTTAAGTGACACACAGGTCAACAGCATGAAATTGATCACAGCAGAAGTGAAATAAGGTGCCAAAGACTTTGACCATTCACCAGCATGCTTCTATTTCTGTGTTTCTGGCAGGCCAGTCAATATTTCCCACAGTTCCCCTCACCCAGAAACATGATGGTGTAGACAAGATACATCCAGTCAAGTGGCAGTGGGCGTAGGGCATCCAGCAAGGGGAAGCGGCACACATCCAGCCCATCAAGGTATTTCCGGTCCAGAGAGCTGAGCCCCCGCTCCTGGGGAATGTCTAGCACCATCAAGAACCCTAAGAAGGCAATAGGGGAGTTGGTCATTGGGCCTCAGCTAAGGAAGCAGTAGAATACAGTGGAACACAGTTGACAGTGTGCAGCTCCAGGGTCAGACTTCTTTTCTAATCTTGGCTCTGCCATTTATTCAGTATTAATTATTGAGTGCCTACTCTGCACAGTACTACATCTGTTGTGCCATCTAGAACAGCCCCTGCAGCTCGGTTAACCAATTCCCCATTTGTGAGAAGGGGAATACATCACAGGACTACAGAGAGGATTAAATTACAGAAATGCACAAAATGCTATAAAAACTGTTAGGGTCTTGACAGCTATAAAGATCCATCCTATTGAGCTTCAGAAAGTGCTCTGGGAGGCCAGGCACGGTGGCTCACGCCTGTAATCCCAGCACTTTAGGAGGCTGAGGTGGGCAGATCACCTGAGGTTGGGAGTTCGAAACCAGCCTGACCAACATGGAAAAACCCCGTCTCTACTTAAAATACAAAAAAATTAGCCAGGTGTGGTGGCGCATGCCTGTAATCCCAGCTACTCGGGAAGCTGAAGCAGGAGAATCACTTGAACCTGGGAGGCGGAGGTTGCAGTGAGCCGAGATCACACCATTGCACTCCAGCCTGGGCAACAAGATCGAAACTCCGTCTCAAAAAAAGAAAGAAAGAAAGAAAGAAAGTGCTCTGGGAGTGCTTCTCAACCTTTTCTGCTTCCTGGCACACTCCAAAAACAGTTGCATTTCGTCAACACCCTGGGAATAAACAGAAGAGGCTACTCAGATCAGGAAGCCAGCTTGAGATAAAGCAGGGTTTCTCAACTTCAGGACTAGTCACATTTTGGGCTGGTTAATTATTTATTGAGGGGATTATCCAATGCACTACAGGACATTTAGGAGCACTCCCTGACCTCTATAGAGATGCCAGCAGCCACCTATTCTTCCTCCCCCAAGTTGTGACAACTAAAAATGTCTCTAAACATTGCCAAATGTCTCCCAGGGAGCAAAACTCCCTCCAGTTGAGAACTACTGGGCTAAGGGGACTAATATCTCTGCACATCTGTAAACCATTCCAAGCACACCATGCTGCGGCCTCAGTTAAGAAGCTCTTGATTAGGGAGTCACAGCCAAAAGGTATGGTCCCTGTGGCCCCCTGCTCTGTTTCTCTGAGTCTTCTGGGCAACTTCATGCCACAAGCAAAATGGGTCACTGCTGCCTCGCCTCTACATATCATATAGCATTTCTAGCTGGGTACGGTGGCTCACACCTGTAATCCCAGCACTTTGGGAGGCCGAGGCAGGCGGATCACCTGAGGTCAGGAGTTTGAGACCAGCCTGGCCAACATGGTGAAACCCCGTCTCTACTAAAAACACACATACAAAAAAAATAAAAAATTAGCCGGGTGTGGTGGTGGGCGCCTGTAATCCCAGCTACTCGGGAGACTGAGGGAGGAGAATCGCTTTAACCCGGGTGGCGGAGGTTACAGTGAGCCGAGATAGCGCCATTGCACTCCAGCTTGGGCAACAAGAGCGAAAGTCCGTCTAAGGAAAAAAAAAAAAGCATTTCTGGCCACCAAGTAAATCCTAACTGTAGGAGACAAAGCAGGTTTAATCCTAAACTTCGCAAAGACCTCTTCTTTTATACCAATGTCTTCAGCTCTGAGGAAAAGGGAGCTAAGTCTACTTGCAACCAAAAAATAGAGATTGTCATTCTCCACTCTCAACCAAATTGCTCCCACCCATAAACTGGACTCACCAAAAAGAAAACGAAAGACAGCTAAGCTTGCAGGGTCCGTTGGTCGATTCAGCAGGGTCACCAGCCTCCGCCAACTGGACAAATCTGTCCACTCAAAACCCAAGAGTTTCCCTATTCGGCTGTCCTGCCTGGGCCCTGAGATCAGTTCAGCCTTGTCTTTCTGTACTTTATCTGCAATCAATAAATGGAGAAAATATGTGTGCGGGGGTGGGCTCCACCTCAAATCAAAGAAATCACTGCACCAACAGCTCAGAGCTTCCGCCCACCCGGGTCGGCTCAATGAGGTTGCCTCAATGATCTGACTATAGGAAACATCCCTGCAGTGCAGCCCCCTCTCCACGATCCCCTAATGTCCCAGAACCCCTCAGACTACAGTCCCCTAACCGCAGTGTTCCCGAATGTCATCATCATTCAGAAGCCGCAGGCTGCAAATGTCTCACAGCACGCCCCCTTCCCCACAGAGGACCCCCCCCCCGCCTCACCGGGAGACACTGGGCGTCCTCCCGCCCCCGCCCCTCTGAGACCAGCGCTCCTAGGAACTCTCCGCCGGAGGGCGGGGTCCTAAGCCTACCTGAGCTGGGCGAGGTCCGCGCGGACCCGGCAGACACCGCCATTGCTCTGCGGAGGAGGCAGGTGGGTCACAGCTGCCGCGTCTGAACGGAGGCCGCCAGGAGAATTTGCTTCCCTAGGCTCCGCCTCCCGACGCGTCAGCGGCTGTGCGGCCGGCCGCAAAGCGCCAGCACTGTCGTAAATACTACCCACGACCGGCGGCGCCGGATTCCTTGCTTGGCGGCAGGGGGCGGAACAAGGAGCCTTGGAGCGGGGCAAAGGTACCCCTTAGTGCCGTTGATCTCCAGGGGCATTGTTAGACTCGCCTGTTATGCCTTCCGAGGGGGCCTCTGCTTTTTAAACACTGAAAAGAGTCTGAGTTCCCCAACTTCCTTGGGTCCTCCCCGACCCCATTAGTCCTCTCCGTCCCTGCGTCCCTGCGGTGCTCTCTGGTGTGAGGGATCGGGCGCAAAGGGCAAACTTTTTGTCAGAGTGACGCCGAGTTGAGGACGCGCCTGGAAATGTTGCCTGGGTTTTGAGCCATTGCACGACCCCTTCACTTTCTTTTCCAGGACCTGCAAAGAACCGAGGTTTCAAAGCAGTAGGGGCCGGGCACTGCTCTCGCTTGTAATCCCAACAGTTTGGAAGGCCAATGCGGGAGGATCGATAAAGAAAAAAAAAAAAGGCAACAACAAAAAAAGAAAAAACACTAAAAAAAAAGTTAGCTGTGTGTCGTGGCGCGCTCCTGTGGTTTCAGCTACTCGGGAGGCTGAGGTGGGAGGTTCGCTTGAGCCCAGTAGTTCGAGGCTGCAGGGAGCTGTGATCGCACCACTGCACTCCAGCCTGGGGGACACAGTGAGACCCCGTCTCAAAAAAAAAAAAAAAAAAAAACAAGCCGGGTGCGGCAGCAAGCCTGTAATCCCAGCACTTTGAGAGGCCAAGGCGGGCGGATCACTTGAAGTCAGGAGTTAAAGACCAGCCTGGCCAACATGGTGAAACCCCGTCTGTACTAAAAATACAAAAATAATCCGGGCATGGTGGCGTGCGCCTGTAATCCCAGCTACTCGGGAGGCTGAGGCAGGAGAATCGCTTGAACCTAGGAGGCGGAGGTTGCAGTGAGCCAAGATCGCGCTACTGCACTCCAGCCTGGGCGACAGAGTGAGACTCCGTCTCAAAAAACAAAAAACGAAAAAGAAAGAGAAAGAAAAGAAAAGGCGGGAAGAAAAGAAAGAAAGAAAATTAAAAGCAGCCAGGGAAACAGGAACAACATAACTGAAGAGGGGATACAGAGCAAGGGCAGTGAGTAGAGTGTGGCCCATCAGGGAAGGTTCTCAGAGGTGAGTCTGGAGCAGAATTAAATACCTAAATCTCTCCACTGGGATTAGCCAGCAGGAAAAGAAGAAGGCATCCCAGAGAAGCGGTTCTCAAACAGTTGGGTCTTGGGAACCATTTACAGTGTTAGAAATTATAGAAGACCCTAAAAGCTTTGTTTATGTGGATTATATCTTTCAATATTTGCCGTATTAGAAATTTTTTTGGCCGGGCGCGGTGGCTCACGCCTGTAATCCCAGCACTTTGGGAGGACGAGGCGAGTGGATCACGAGGTCAGGAGATCGAGACCATCCTGGCTAACACGGTGAAACCCCGTCTCTACTAAAAATACAAAAAATTATCCGGGCGTGGTGGCAGGCGCCTGCAGTCCCAGCTACTCGAGAGGCTGAGGCAGGAGAATGGCGTGAACCCAGGAGGTAGAGCTTGCAGTGAGCCGAGATCGCACCACTGCCCTCCAGCCTGGGCGACAGAGCAAGACGCCGTCCTGAAAAAAAAAATTTTTTTTTTTGAGGCCAGGCGCGGTGGCTCACGCCTGTAATTCCAGCACTTTGGGAGGCCGAGGCGGTTGGATCACTTAAGGTCAGCAATTTGAAATCAGCCTCGCCAACATGGTAAAACCCCGTCTCTACTAAAAATACAAAAAAAATGAGCCGGGTGTGGTGGCAGGCGTCTATAATCCCAGCTACTCAGAAGGCTGAGACAGGAGAATCACTTGTACCCGGGAGGTGGAGGTTGCAGTGATCCAAGATCGAACCACTGCACTCCAGCCTGGGTGACAGAGTAAGACTCTGTCTCAAAAAAAAAAAAAAAAAAAAAAGGCCGGGCACGGTGGCTCACACCTGTAATCCCAGCACTTTGGGAGGCTGAGGCAGGTGGATCACAAAGTCAGGAGTTCGAGACCAGCTTGACCAATACGGTGAAACCCCGTCTTTACTAAAAATACAAAAATTAGCCGGGTGTGGTGGCACGTGCCTGTAATCCCACCTACTGGGGAGGCTGAGGCAGGAGAATCGGTTGAACCCGGGAGGCAGAGGTTGCAGTGATCCCAGATTGCGCCACTGTACTCCAGCCAGGGTGAAAGAGCAAGACTCCATCTCAAAAAAAAAAAAAAGCTTTCTAACTTCTACTACAAAGGAAAAAAAATGGCATGTTTCTGTAGTCTCAGCTATTCCCAGCTTTTCTGGAGGCTGAAGCAAGACAATCACTTTAGTTCAGGAGTTTAAGACTAGCCGGGGCAACATAATGGGATCCATCTCAAGGAAAAAAAAAAAAAGCTATCAAGCCATTAGAAAACATGGAGGAACCTTAAATTCATATTGCTAAGCGAAAGAAATCAATGTGGAAAGACTACAAACTATGATTCCATCCATATGACATATATATATGTATTTTTTTGAGTCAAGGTCTTGCTATGTTGCCCAAGATGGTCTTAAACTTCTGGTCTCAAGCAATCCTCCTGCTCAGCCTTCCAAAGTGCTGGGATTACAGGCATGAGGCAGTGCGTTTGGCCCCAACTGTATGATATTCTGAAAAGGCTAAACTATGGAGATAATAAAAAGATCAGTGACTGCCAGGGAAGTGGAGTTGGGGGGAGGAAGGGATGGTAGGTGGAGCACAGGGGAGTTTTACAGAAGTGAAACTATTTTGTATGATGTAATAGTGTCATGGTGGATACATGTCATACTTGTGTGTGGAAAAGAGTAAAGCCTAATGTAACTTATGGACTTAGTTAATTATAATGTATCAATATGGACTATGTTTTTTTGTTTGTTTGTTTTTTGAGACGGAGTTTCCCCCTTGTTGCCCAGGCTGGAGTGCAATGATGCGATCTCGGCTCACTGCAACCTCTGCCTCCCAGTTTCAAGCGATTCTCCTGCCTCAGCCTCCTGAGTAGCTGGGATTACAGGCACCCGCTTCCACGCCCAGCTAATTTTTTGTATTTTTAGTAGAGATGGGTTTTCACTATGTTGACCAGGCTGGTCTTGAACTCCTGACCTCAGGCGATCCACCCGCCTCGGCCTCCCAAAGTGCTGAGATTACAGGCATGAGCCACCGCGCCCGGCTGGGCTATGTTAATAATATACCAATACTGGCTCATCAGTTGTAACAAATGTACCACACTAATGCAAAAAGTTAATAATAGGAAAAATGGGGAGCCTGAAGGGGGATATGGGAACTCTCGGTACTTTCTTCTTCTTCTTTTTTTTTTTTTCTTTTCTTTTTTTTGAGACAGAGTCTCCCTCTGTCGCCTAGGCTGGAGGGGCAGTGTCACAATCTTGACTCACTGCAGCCTTGTCCTTCTGGGCTCAAGTGATCCTTCAACCTCAGCCTCCCAAGTAGCTGGACTACAGGCGTGCACCACTGTGCCTGGCTAATTTTTTTTATTTTTTGTAGAGACGGGGTTTCACCATCTTGCCCAGCCTGGTCTCAAACTCCTGAGCTCAAGTGATCCTCCCTCCTTGGCCTCCGACAGTGCTGGGATTAAAGGCTTGAGCCATTACTCCCAGCCTGGAATTCTCTGTACTTTCTGCTCAGTTTTTCTGTAAGGCTAAAATTGTCCCCCCAGAATAGTCTGTTAATTAATTAATTAATTTATTTATTTATTTTGAGATGGAGTCTCGCTGTGTCGCCAGGCTGGAGTGCAGTGGCACAATCGTGGCTCACTGCAACCTCCGCTTCCCATGTTCAAGTAATTCTGCTTCAGCCTCCTGAGTAGCTGGGACTACAGGCGCGCACCACCATGCCCAGCTAATTTTTGTATTTTTAGTAGAGACGGGGTTTCACCATGTTGGTCAGGATGGTCTTGAGCTCTTGACCTCGTGATCCGCCTGCCTCAGCCTCCCAAAGTGCTGGGATTACAGGCCTGAGCCACCTCGCCCGGCCTAGTCTGTTAATTTAAAAACAACCATAGACTGGGCACAGTGGCTCATGCCTGTAATCCCAGCACTTTGGGAGGCTGAGGAGGGAGGATTATTTGAGCTCAGGAATTCGAGACCAGCCTGTGCAACATGGTGAAACCCCATCTCTACAAAAAATTACAAAAAATACAAAAATTAGCCAGGCGCAGTGGCACACGCCTGGAGTCCCAGCTACTTAGGAGGCTGAGGTGGGAGGACCGCTTGAGCCCAGGAGGTTGAGGCTGCAGTGAGCTGTCACTGTGCCACTGCACTCCAGCCTGGGCAACAGAGCAAGACCCTGTCTCAAAGAAAGAAAGAGAGAGAGAGAAAGAGAAAGAAAGAAAAGAAAAAAATAGGCTGTAATTGACTTACTGCTTGTATTCTTCTTCATCAAAGAATGCAATTGGACACTATTTGCTTTTTTGGGTGTGTGCATCAAAGGGATACTTGAAAGTGAAAAGAATGAGAGAAAGTATTTTAAAACCATATCTGATGAGGGTCTAGTATCCAGAATATGTAAAGAACTCCTGCAACTCAACAATGAAAAAGACAACCCAAATAAAAATAGGCAGAGGGGCTGGGCACAGTGGCTCACGCCCATAATCCCAAAACTTTGGGAGGCCAAGGTGGGAGGATCGCTTGAGGTCAGGAGTTTGAGACCAGCCTGGATGACATGGTGAAACCCCATCTCTACAAAAAAATACAAAAAAGTAGCCGGGTGAGGTGTCCACCCCTAGCTAATTTTTTGTACAGATCTGGTTTCTCCATGTTGCCCAGGTTGGTCTCGAACTCCTGATCTCAAGCAATCCTCCTGCCCTGGCCTCCCAAAATGTTTGGATTATGGGCGTGAGCCACTGCACCAGGCCAAAGGTTAGTTTAATTGCACAAGTGCTTTTTCTTGACAAACCATGAGACAACTATTATATGCAGAAGTGCTATATGCATATTTCCCATTTCTTCACACAAAATATTAAAAAGACATGTACTGTAGGGTCAAGATTTAATACAATTAATAATTTGTACTGCTTCATCAGGGATACTCATTTTTTTTTTTTTTTTTTGAGACCGAGTCTCACTATGTCGCCCCACTAGAGTGCAGTGGCACGATCTTGGCTCACTGCAACCTGACTCCCTGGTTCAAGCGATTCTCCTGCCTCAGCCTCCTGAGTAGCTGGGATTACAGGCACGCACCCACCATGCCCAGCTAATTTTTGTGTTTTTAGTAGAGAAGGGGTTTCTCTATGTTGGTCAGGCTGGTCTCGAACTCGTGACCTCAGGTGATCCACCCGTGTTGGCCTCCCAAAGTGCTGGGATTACAGGTGTGAGCCACCACACCCAGCTTCATCAAGGACGTTCTTAATAGAAAGTGGCATTTTTAAAAATTGCAAGTGCATGGCATTGAGGAATGCAATGGCTACTACTACAATTTGGTGCCATGGTCTTCATTCCTGCTTAGTTGCCAGCACTTTTACCCACCATTGCTTTTGCATCATCAGTACAAATGCTAGCTGTTAAAAAGGTAAATATCTCAGTATTACTACAGTAATTTTGTCTTTGAAGACCCCAGGAGTTTCTAGGCCATCCACCGAGAACTATTGTCCTAAAGGAAAAGAATGGCAGAGGTAGACATATAAAAGGGACTATTGGTACCAGATGGATTTCTAGCAGGAGGAATCACCAGGCAAACTGTGTTCCTGCTATTGAGGATATAGCTCATTTCTAGGTTATTCTAACAGGCAAGGCAGGTCAAGTCACTTTTTTTTTTTTTTGAGACCAAGTCTCACTCTGTCACCCAGGCTGGAGTGCAGTGGTGCAATCTCAGCTCACTGCAACCTCTGTCTCCCGGGTTCAAGTGATTCTCCTGCCTCAGCCTCCCAAGTAGCTGGGATTACAGGCGCCTGCCACCACGCCTGTCTAAATTTTGTATTTTTAATAGAGATGGGGTTTCACCATATTGGCCAGGCTGGTCTCAAACTGCTGACCTCAAGTGATCCACCCGCCTTGGCCACCCAAAGTGCTGGGATTACAGGTGTGAGCCACCATGCCCAGACCCATCTTTCTTTCTTTTTAGAGACAGGGTCTCACTATGTTGCCCAGGCTGGAGTACAGTGGCTATTCACAGGTGTGATCCCACTACTGATCAGCGTGGGAGTTTTGACCTGCTCTGTTTCCTACCTGGGCCGGTTCACCACTCCTTAGGCAACCTGGTGGTTCCTTGCTCCCGGGAGGTCACCATAATAATGTTGAACTTAGTGCAGATACCCGATGGGCATAGCACACTATAGCCCAGAACTCCTAGGCTCTAGTGATCCTCCTGCCTCAGCCTCCCAAGTAGCTGAGACTACAGGCACCTGCCACCACACCTGGCTTTTTTTTTTTTTTTTTTTTTTGAGACAGGTTCTCACTCTGTCACCCAGGCTGAGTGGCATGATCACAGCTCACTGCAGCCTTGACATCCTGGGTTCAAGCGATCTCCTCGCCTCAGCCTCCTGAGGAGCTAGGACTAGGCGTGCACCCCCATACCCAGCTAATTTCTTATATTTTGGAGAGGCAGGGTCTCACTATGTTGCCCAAGCTGGTCTCAAACTCTTGAACACAAGTGATCCTCCCACCTTGGCCTCCCAAAGTGCTGGGATTATAGGCATGAGTCATTGCTCCCAGTCTGAGATGTATTTCTTAATCCACTGTCAAATACTGGCCCAAACAAATTCAGTTTGGCTTAGGAAATTTGTATCCACTCGTCTAGGACTGCTCAATATTAATGCTTCCAGTAAATTCAGCATTTATGGTCTGTTATGTGCTAAGGACTGAACAAGTTACAGAGAGGGGGAAATGACTCAATTGTAGCCTCTGTCTTCTAGGAGTTAAATGGTAAGGAAACATGATAATAATAAAATAATTTAGAAATAATAGGATAGTAATAACAGTAATAGAATGTAGAAAGTCATAAATACTATTAAATGAGTGCAATGGAAGCATTGAGGAAGAAATGAATTACACTAGAGAAATCAGGAAAGCTTTTTTTGAGACAGGGTCTCCCGGTCTCACTTGGGCTTTGAAGGATGAGTGCAGTTTTAAAAGGAGAGAGGGAAATCACGTTCTTTTCAAACTTTTTTTTAATTTAAAAAATATTTTGGCCAGACCCGGTGGCTCACACCTGTAATCCCAGCAGTTCAGGAGGCCAAGGCAGGTGGATCATCTGAGGTCAGGAGTTCAAGACCAGCCTGGCCAACATGGTGAAACGCCATCTCTACTAAAAATACAAAAATTAGCCAGGTATGGTTGTGCATGCCTGTAATTCCAGTTACTTGGAAGGCTGAGGCAGGAGAACTGCTTAAACCCAGGAGGTGGAGGTTGCATTGAGCTGAGATCGTGCCACTGCCCTGCAGCCTGGGTGATAGAGTGAGACTCCATCTCTAAAATAAAATAAGATAAAATAAAAAAAAAATAAAATCGGCCAGGCGCAGTGGCTCACGCCTGCAATCTCAGCACTTTGGGAGGTTGAGGCTGGCAGATCATGAGGTCAAGAGATTGAGACCATCCTGGCCAACATAATGAAACCCAGTCTCTACTAAAAAAATACAAAAATTAGCTGGGCGTGGTGGCAGGCACTTGTAGTTCCAGCTACTCGGGAGGCTGAGGCTGAAGAATCACTTAAACCCTGGAGGCGGAGGTTGCAGTGAGCCAAGATCGCGCCACTGCACTCCAGCCTGGCGACAGAACGAGACTCTGTTTCAAAAATAAAATAAAATAAAATAATAAATATTTTGTACAGATGGGGTCTCATTATGTTGGCCAGACTCATCTGGAACTCCTGGCCTCAAGGCATCCTCCTGCCTTGGCCTCCCAAAGTGATGTGATTACAGGCATTAGCCGCCTTGCCCAGCTGGAGATCAAAAGTTCTTAATAGTCTTGGGTGAACAAGAGTATTCTGTATAGGAAACATACAGCTAATAGCTGGGCGCAGTGGCTCACGCCTGTAATCCCAGCATTTAGGGAGGCCGAGGTGGGTGGATCACGAGGTCAGGAGTTTAAGACCAGCCTGGCCAAGATGGTGAAACCCCGTCTCTACCAAAAATACAAAAATCAGCCAGGCGTGGTGGCGGGCGCCTGTAATCCCAGCTACTTGGGAGGCTGAGGTAGAGAATTGCTTGAACCTGGGAGGTGGAGGTTGCAGGGAGCCGAGATTGTGCCACTGCACTCCAGCCTGGGCAACAGAGTGAGACTCCGTCTCAAAAAACAAAACAAAAAAAAAAAAGAAAAGAAAAGAAAAGAAAAATACAGCTAATAAATGAGCTTGCTAACTCAGTATCTCCAGGTTTTCCTTTCAGGACCAATATACAAAGATTTGTGATATTTAGCATTCATTTATCCATAAAATAGGTCAAACTTTAGGAAAGAAATTTCTCTATAAATCTTTTCCAACAAAAATCATCTTTCTCTGTACTGTGGAGAAAGCAGCTTTCTTTCAGACTTCTCAGTTCAATATCTGAAACCTTTAGTGAGTTGCCTACATGTCTAGGACATATGTCATATACTACAAAGGGTACCAAAGTGAGGACTCAGTCCCTGCCTGCCTTTATAGGACTTAAGAGTGTTGGAGGGGTCAAATATGTATGACAAAGTATGTGAAAGATTCTTTAAAAGAAATAAAATGTGATGGAGATCAGAACAGGAACAAGTTAGCTTCAGTGGGGAAATCTCTAAAGCTTCATGGAGGCTATGTCTTAAATGTGAATAGAATTGTCATAAGCAGTGATGAGTGAAGGCCTTAGGGAAAGATATAGAAGGTGGATGGTGTACGACGTTTGAGAAAGGACATGTAATTTGGTTGACTGGAGGGCTGGGAGGTGAATCTAATGGGAGAGAAGTTCAGAAAAGCAGGTTGAGAACAGTCTTGGAATGCCATGCTAAGAAGTTTGGGCTTTATCCTGGAGGCAGGGTGGAGCATACAATATGTGTTTCTGGAAGATAGCAATCAACCACAGAGGGGTAGATGGGAAAAGAAAGGTGAATTTAGAGGGGATTGGAATTGTCCAGGGAAGAGATCGTGCTGCTGGCATTAACCAGGAGGCAGGAGCTGGTGGACCAAGGAGGTGGTGGATATGAGAGGCACGACCAAGAATGAACCAATTGCCTGATTTTTGTGCCCTTGTAAAAAATTTTTTTAAAAAAGTATGAACTAAGGCTTGGTGACGACCTTGCATGTGAAGGATGCTTTGTGGTTCCTAGCTTGAGAAGCGGGTAGAATGGGAGTCCCACCCAGGAGGAGGAACATGGAGAAAAGATAAAGGGTTTGGTTTGGGTGTTGGAGGTGTCTGTGAACTGTCCAGGGCATTGGAGAGGCAGCATTGGTAGTTGAGGGAGAGGCCCGGGCTGGAGATAATAAATTTGGGGATTTTTCATAAATGGCTATTGAAGCCGTAGAGGCACTGCACTTCCCTATAGGGAGACCAGGGTTTTCTCAGCCTCAAAACAATTGCCATTTTGGTCCAGATTCTTTCTTGTGAGAGGGTGTCCTTTGCATTGTAGGATATTTTAGCAACATCCTTGGCCTCAACCCACCAGATACTAGTAGCACCCCTACCCCCAGCTATAACAACCAAAAATGTCTCCAGACATTGTGAAAAGACCCCTGAAAGGTAAAATAACCCCTCTGAGAAACACTGCTCTAAAACAGAGTGGTTCTCTTCAGAAGTCGGAAGAAAGATTGCCAACGGGCCGGGCATGGTGGCTCATGCCTGTAATCACAGCACTTTGGGAGGCCGAGGCGGGCGAATTGCAAGGTCAGGAGATCAAGACCATCCTGGCTAACACGGTGAAACCCTGTCTCTACTAAAAATACAAAAAATTAGTTGGGCGTGGTGGCACATGCCTGTAGTCCCAGCTGTTCAGGAGGCTGAGGCAGGAGAATCGCTTGAATTCGGGAGGTGGAGGTGGCAGTGAGCCGAGATAGTGCCACTGCCCTCCAGCCTGGGTGACAGAGCAAGACTCCATCTCAAAAAAAAAAAAAAAAGAAGAAAAGAAAAAGATGGCCAAGGGCAGAATCTCTGTGTTCTAGGGGCACATTCAGAGAGGAAGAGGGCACATTAGGAGACAGGTGGGATGGCCAGCAGCATAACAGGCTACAGAGAGAAGGTTTGGAGACAGAAATGAACCTTGGCAGTGGTGAGAACTTCATGATCCTTCAGGAATCAGGTTCAGTTGAGCCTCCTGAATGTACCTTTTCCTTGTTCTCCAGCTTTTTTCCTCTGAGATATAGGAGTAAACTGCCCACCTGGGGCATAAATCAGAAGACTGGGATATATGCCAAGGGTTATGTACCTGAAAGTTTGCTTGGTTGCCTTTTCAGGTGGTAATATTCCCTTTCTCTTAGTTTCTCATTCAGTTTTCTCCATTAGTGTCCTTTTTCTCTTTTCTTTCTTTCTTTCTTTCTTTTTTTTTTTTTTTGACGGGGTTTCGCTCTTGTTGCCCAGGCTGGAGTGCAATGGCACAATCTTGGCTCACCACAAACTTCACCTCCCCGGTTCAAGCGATTCTCCTGCCTCAGCCTCCCTAGTAGCTGGGATTAGAGGAATGTGCCACCACGCCCAGCTAATTTTTTGTTTTTAGTAGAGACAAGGTTTCACCATGTTGGCTAGGCTGGTCTTAAACTCCTGACCTCAGGTGATCCACTTGCCTTGGCCTCCCAAAGTGCTGGGATTACAGGTGTGAGCCCCTGTGCCCCGCCTTTTTTTTTTTTTTTTTTTTTTGAGATGGGGTCTGGCTCTGGCTCTGTGAACCAGGTTGGAGTGCAGTAGGGCACGATCTCAGCTCACTGCAGCCTCCGCCTCCAAGCCTCAAGCAATCCTCCCACCTCAGCCTCCCGAAGTAGCTGGGACTACAGGTGTGGTCACCATGCCTAGTTAATCTTTACATTTTCAGTAGAGACGGGGTTATGCGGTATTGGCCAGGCTGGTCTCTAACTCTTGGTCTCAAGTGATCCGCCCGCTGCAGCCTCCCAAAGTACTGGGATTACAGGCATGAACCACTGCACCCAGCCTATTCTTAATCCTATTTTGCAAATGAAGTGACTTGCCCAAAACTGCACAGCCAGGGGTAGTAGTGTAGAAGAGCAGGAGGTCAGATGTCACCCTAGTCTTTTTATCACACAGGGAATTGCTAGGAAGCTGGGGCTTTATCCTGGAGGCAGGGTGGAGCATATTTAAATATCTGTTTTGGGAAGATAGCAATCAGCCACAGAGGAGTAGATGAGAAAAGAAAGGTGAGTTTAGAGGGGATTGGAATTGTTCAGGGAAGAGATCATGCTGGCATTAACTAGGAGGAAGGGGCTGGCATTAACTAGGAGGAAGGGGCTGGCATGGAAAGGAGGAGGTGTATATGAGAGGCACAACCAAGAATAAACCAAGATTTGGCCCATTGCTTCTTGGGCTACAACTCCTATAACCAAGCAGTTCAGCAGTTTTTCCTTACAAAGTCACTTCACTGAATATATATATATATATTATGTTTGAGGCTGGGGCGGTGGCTTACACCTGTAATCCCAGTGATTTGGGAGGCCGAGGTGGGCAGATCACTTGAGGTCAGGAGTTCGAGACCAGCCTGCCCAACATAGTGAAACCTCGTCTCTACTAAAAATACAAAAATTAGCTGAGCATGGTGGCGCATGTGCCTGTATTCCCAGCTACTTGGGAGGCTGAGGCAGGAGAATCACTTGAACCCAGGAGGCAGAGGTTGCAGTGAGCCGAGATTGCGCCACTACACTCCAGCCTGGGCAACAAGAGCAAAACTCCTTCTCAAAAAACAGAAAAAGAAAAAAGAAAAAGACAGGGTCTCACTATGTTGCTCAGGCTAGTCTCGAAATCCCAGGCTCAAGCAATCCTCTCACCTCAGCCTCCCAAAGTGCTGGGATTACAGGTGTGAGCCACTGCACCTGGTCTACTGAATTTTTTGAGTGCTAAGCACAGATGATGAGGTAACTGAGGCTTAGAGTTGTTATGCAAGTTTGTCCCAGGTCATGTAAATATTAAGGTATGGATCAGCCACCATGCCCAGTGATAAGCCACATTACAATATGTATTTTAACATTTTTCACTAATCACATAATTTACATTTTTCTACTGGCCAAATTTTAAAAGTAAGAGAAACAGGGCTGGATGCAGTAGCTCATGCCTGTAATGCTAACACTTTAGGAGGCTGAGGCAGGAGGATCACTTGAAACCAGGAATTTGAGGTTACAATGAACTATGATTGTGACACTGTACTCCAGCCTGGGTGACAGTGAGACCCTGTCTCAAAAAAAATAAATAAATAAATAAAAATGAATTTTAAAAAATAAAGAAACAGGTGAAATTATTATTATTATTATTTTTTTTTTTTGGAGACAGTCTCACTCTGTTACTCAGGCTGGAGTGCAGTGGCGCCATCACGGCTCACTGCAACCTCTGCTTCCCAGGTTCAAGTGATTCTCTTGCCTCAGCCTCCCGAGTAGCTGGGATTACAGGCAAGCGCCACCACGTCCAGCTAATTTTTGTATTTTTAGTAGAGACGGAGTTTCACCATGTTGGCCAGGCTGGTCTCAATCTCCTGACCTCATGATCGGCCTGCCTCAGCCTCTCAAAGTGCTGGGATTATAGGTGTGAGCCACCATCCCCGGCTGAAATTAATTTTATTTATTTTATTAATCTTTTATTTAACTCAATATATCCAAACATTATTTCGCCACATAATCAATATATAAAATTATTATTATTATCATTATTAGTGACAGGGTCTATCTCTGTCTCCCAGGCTGGAGTGCAGTGGCACTATCATAGCTCACTGATGTCTCACACCCCTGGGCTCAAGTGATCCTTCTGTGCTAGCTCTCCAAGCAGCTAGGACTATGGACATGCACCACTATGCCTGGCTAATTTTATTTTATTATTTATTTATTATTGGTTTTTTTTTTTGAGATAGAGTCTCACTCTTGTTGCCCAGGCTGGAGTGCAATGGTGTGATATCGGCTCACTGCAGCCTCCACCTCCCGGGTTCAAGCAATTCTCCTGCCTCAGCCTCCCGAGTAGCTAGGATTACAGGCATGCGCCACCATGCCTGGCTAATTTTGTATTTTTAGTAAAGATGGGTTTTCTCCATGTTGGTCAAGAGCTGGTCTCGAACTCCCGACCTCAGGTGATCTGCCCATCTCGGCCTCTCAAAGTGCTGGGATTACAGGCGTGAGCCACGGTGCCCAGCCAATTTTATTTTTTTAATTTTACTTTATTTTTATTTTATTATTATTATTATTATTATTATTACTTGAGACAGAGTCTCACTCTGTCGCCCAGGCTGAATTGCAACGGTGTGATCTCGGCTTACTGCAACCTCCGCCTCCAAGGTTCAAGCGACTCTCCTGCCTCAGCCTTCCGAGTAGTTGGGAATACAGGTGCCCACCACCATGCCCAGCTAGTTTTTGTATTTTTAGTAGAGATGGGGTTTCGACATGTTGATCAGGCTGGTGTCAAACTTCTGACCTCAGGTGATCCACTGCCTCGGCCTCCCAAAGGGCTGGGATTACAGGCATGAGCCACTGTGTCCAACAGTTTTATTTTTTTATAGAGACAGTGTCTTGATATGTTGTTGCCCAGGCTTATATATAATATTTGCTGAGCATGGTGGGTTATGCCTATAATCCCAGCACTTTGGGAGGCTGAGGTGGGAGAATCACTTGAGGTTTGGAGTTTGAGACCAGTTTGGACAACACAGCAAGACACTGTCTCCAAAAAAAAAAAAAAATTAACTGGACATGGTGGCCCTTGCCTGTAGTCCCAGCTAACTGGGGAGGATGAGGTGAGAAGATTGCTTGAGCCCAGGAGTTCAAGGCTGCAGTGAGCTTGAACACACTGCACTGTACTCTAGCCTGGATGACAGAGTGGGACCCTGCCTCTAAAAAAAAAAAAAAAAAGCTACAGGGGTCCGAAGTTTGTTTAAAGCTTTTAAAAAGGCATTTGTGGCCGGGCGCGGTGGCTCACGCCTGTAATCCCAGCACTTTGGGAGGCCAAGGCGGGCGGATCACCTGAGAGGTCAGGAGTTCGAGACCACCCTGACTAACATGGTAAGACCCTGTCTCTACTAAAAATACAAAAAAATTAGCCGTGCCTGGTGGCATGCACCTGTAGTCCCAGCTACTAGGGAGGCTGAAGCAGGAAAATCGCTTGAACCTGGGAGGCAGAGGCTGCAGTGAGCCGAGATAGCGCCATTGCACTCCAACCTGGGCAACAAGAGAGAAACATCTCAAAAAAAAAAAAAATTATTTGTGTCTGGATGTGGTGGCTCACACCTATGATCCCAACACTTTGGGAAGCTGAGGAGGGAGGATTACTTGAGAACAGGAGTTTGAGACCAGCCTGGGCAACATGGTAAGACCCCCATCTCTACAAAAAGTTTTAAAATAAATTAGCCAGACATGGCGGTTCGCACCTGTAGTTTCAGTTACTGGGGAGGCTGAGGCAGGACGATCGCTGTAGCCCAGGAGTTCAAGGCTGCAGGGTGCTACGATCATGCCACTGGACTCTAGCCTGGGTGACAGAGGGAGACTATCTCAAGAAAACAAAACAAAATAAACAAACAAAAAAAGTGTTTGTTGGAGAAGCTGACATTTCCTCCTTGGAACTGATTTCTTCTGGAATGGGTCAAGAATGTTCGTTCCCTTCTGAATGTCCCTGTTATTGTTCTTCTGTCTTGATAAACACTGTCAAGGAAGATCAGATTTTCTCTGGCCTGGAGCCAGGTTAGTGGAAAAATCCTTTGCCTTGGGCCCCCTGCTCTGGTTCACTGGGGCAGTCCTCTGATCACTGACTGGGATCAATTACCTCTGCGGTAGCCCCTAAAGGGAAATGCAGAATTGCTGAACTCTGGAAGGGAAGGAGAGGTTTGGTGAGCCATCATTATAGACACTGTGCTAGTGGCATTGCACTGCACATGCTATCTTTTTGCTTCTTTTTTTTTTTTTTTTTTTGAGGCAGAGTCTTGCTCTTGTCACCCAGGCTGGAGTGCAATGGCATGATCTCAGCTCACTGCAATCTCTGTCTCCCGGGTTCAAGCAATTCTCCTGCCTCAGCCTCCTGAGTAGCTGGGATTATAGGCAACTGCCACCACGCCTGTTTATTATTTTGTATTTTTAGTAGAGACAGGGTTTCGCCATGTTGGCCAGGCTGGTCTTTAACTCCTGACCTTGTGATCTGCCCGCCTCGGCCTCCCAAAGTGCTGGGATTACAGGCGTGAGCCACCACGCCCGGCCTCTTTTTGCTTCTTACCAGCACCATCTGAGCTAAGCATCAGCACCTGCAAACTCCACAGAGGTGAAAAGTTTCCCTGAGGGGCCTGTAACTAGTAACCCAGAACTTTCTGAATCAGAGCCCAGGATCACAGTATTCCAGACTTCAGGGATTTTAGTGCTTTCTGCCACCCAGGGACCTGGGAACAAGTGTTATCCAGCAATACATTTTCATAACTGCATTTTGTTTCCCTGTGAGCTAGGCCTGGCATGGTTGATCTCAGTCTCTAGAAACTGGAGTCAGATATTCAAGACATTACAAGGAGATGGCTGGTGGGGCATCATGGCTCCTAGGACTTTGGGAGGTTGAGGTGGGAGGATCGCCTGAGCCCAGGAGTTTGAGACCAGCCTGGGCAACATGGTGAGAACTCGTCTCTATTTAAAAAAAAAAAAAAAAAAAAAAAGGCTGCCCTTTCTAGATCAGGAGGTCCAGCCTCTGGAAACCTCGGAGGGCTGCTTGATCTTTCTTTTCTAATTCCTGACAAGTTAGAAGACCTTTGGCTTCTGAGAACCCTATTACTTTAAGTTTAAGCTCTTGTTTGGGAAGCCACTGGGAGGACAGTGAAGAATGCCCGCCTACCTGGGGAAACCTGAGTTAGGTGTGGCTGGAGCGACTCGAGATGCGAGGTGGGCGGGGGCAGGCTGAAAGTTGGAGCAAGCAGGAAGTGAACTGAGGGCCACCCTGGGAGGAAGCCGACTAGGCGAATTCACTTACTGACCGGCCTGGGCTGCTCTGAGACATGGTGAGCCAACTGGGAACTAGGAAAGGGCTGGTTTAAAGAGGAGCCAGAGGGGGCTTGGGACTGGGGGTTGGCTGTGTCGGGGGAGGAGAGTTGGTGGCAAAGTTAGAGGGCTGGGCCAGTGCTGCTATGGCCTCTCTTCTTTGACAACTTGGCTGCAAATAGCTCTGAGCTGTCCTGGCAGGTGTTTCTACTCCTTCTCCCTCCCTCCCCTGACCTCTGTGCTGGTGGGGAGCTGGGCTTCCGTGCCAGCGCCGATGGGGGCTCCGAATTCCAGGCAAAGAGTTGTTGTGCCTTCCTCCTCCAGGGAGCCCGAGGCGGGTGTTGTGACACCACACCAGGCAGCGCCTGGGCAGTTCCCAGTTCAGATTCCAGCCCAGCGGCAGAAGCTCTCCTCTCCGGCCTTTCACTTTATCCCCACACAGAAACACAAAGGATTTGTGTGTCCACTGAGTCCTTTGGGTGTCCTTTCTCCATTAACATGGAGAAGAGAACTAAAGGTTTATAAGAGAACCAGAAGTTGGTTCTCTGTGATAATGTAGTTCTGACCCATGCCACTGGCCTATTTTTGGAGGTCAAGCGGGGAGGAGCTAAATACTATTTTTCTCTCCTTGTTCAAAAACCTTGTCATGAAGCCTCCGAGATGAGACATCAGCCAGGGAGGACTAGTCCTCCATTTCCCCCAACACCCAGGCGGGTATTTTTATTTAATATCTGCATAAGCAGGCGGTTGCTTGGTGCCTGCACGTGTCGCCCAGTGGTGGGGAAAGCAGAAGTGTGTGGCTCAACGGCTCCAGGCGCCTTCTGGGATACTTGGTTGCCTGTTGTTCTGGGTCACAGCAATGGCATTGCGGCCAGGGCCGTGCTCCGGCAGCTGGCTTAGAGGGACAGATGGGTGGGGCTGGGTGAGGGTGTTCTGCTGGCCAGCACAGACACTTTCAACCAGGGTCCCAAGAAATCAGGAAAGGGGGGTGGCTCTGGGAATTGTAAATAGTGGCGGGCTCTGCTCTGGAAGGGAACATTGTGAGATGCTGGCCCTGCTGTATTCTACGGCCCTCTCTAGGGAGCAAGGAAGCAGTGGGGAGGGATTTAGTGATGTGCTGCTTTTCCTTGTCAGGGGCCCTAATAACCCCAAAAGAAGTTTGATCTAGTCTGTTCAGCATCACATCTCACCTTCTGGGGCTTACAAATGCATTTATTTTTGATTACAGAAGTAATACATGAAAACATTCTCTTTGTAAACATTTCAAGCATTTTACAAAAAGCTTAAGTCTGCCTGAGGCCTTACCCTCCCCAGATCTCTGAGCCCAAGTCTCCAGTTCCCCCACCACTTGGTCTAATTAACCCCGTGTTGCCGCACAGGAGGAAGCCAGTGAAGGTGGAGGAAATGATCGTGTGCGGAACCTGCAAAGTGAGGTGGAGGGAGTTAAGAATATTATGACCCAGAATGTGGAGCGGATCCTGGCCCGGGGGGAAAACTTGGAACATCTCCGCAACAAGACAGAGGATCTGGAAGCCACAGTGAGACAGGGAGCCCACTGGGGGCTGGAGGAAAACAGGGAGGGAGGGAATTTCTTTTTGGTGGGGCAAAATGGACAGGAGGGCCAGAAGTTTGACATTTCTGTTGCCTTTCACCTGGTTTGGGAGCTGATGTGAGCTGAGTCTCCACTTCTGAATCTGCTCTGCTCCACAGATTGTTATGGATCCCAGGGAATGGATCCCATGACTGGGGCTTGAGGTGGCAGCTCGCCCATAGAGGCATGTTCTGAGACCGAAAGCTCAGTCAGCCCATGCATTCTCAGGCTTCTCTCCCGGGAAACTTGTTTTCCCTTTGAAGCCTGCCCATGACAATCATCTGGGTCTGACCTTCCCAGGGCAGAAATATTGGCTCTGAGGAAACCCCCGCTGTGGCCTCTAGCCTTCTCTAGGAGCTGTTAGACAAGGGGTGGGAAATTGCTGGCGTCTTGCTGAGTAGGCTTTAAAAAGAAGGGGGAAAGAGCAGTGAAATGCTTTGATCCCAGGGTCCCCTGCTAGATGAAGGCTAAAATAATATCTCCCACACATCTTGCTAGACCTCATTCTTCTCTCTCTCCAGCCAGGGGCTGAGGCCAGCTGTTTCAGGGAGGAAGTAACTCCAAAGTTGAGCAAAGTCTGGAGCCTCAAGTTCTGTGTTCAGCGGGGAGGCTGGCTCTGGCTTTCTGAGTCCTGTGTGAACTCTTGGCTCTTGGGTATTGCTCCCTTGTCTCCCTGGGGCTCATTGCCTGTTTCTGTAGCTTAATTGTAGCTTAATTTGGGGAGCATGGCCCCGGGAATTTTTTTTTTTTTTTTAGACAGAGCCTCACTCTGTTGCCCAGGTTAGAGTGAGTGCAATCTTGGCTCACTGCAAACTTCACCTCCTGGGTTCAAACGATTCTCGTGCCTCAGCCTCCTGAGTAGCTGGGATTACAGTGTGCACCCCCACACCTGGCTAATTTTTTGTATTTTTAGTAGAGACGAAGTTTTGCCTTGTTGGCCAGGGTGGTCTTGACCTCCTGACCTCAGGTGATCCACCTGCCTTGGCCTCTCAAAGTGCTGGGATTACAGACTTGAGCCACCATGTCTGGACAAGCCCCAGGAAATTTAGTGTCTATAACTTGAATTGCTGGGCATGGGGAAGAGTGGGTGGAGGAGGAGGAGTTCCCTTACTTCCAACCCTCTATCCTGTCCTGGTCCCTCCTCCAGCCTCAGCAGTCCCGATGGGGCAAGGAGTCCTGGAGCTGCGAGATGTGCCCACCTGGAGCCTGCACCCCTCAGTCCCAGGGTCTGCCCTCCCAAGGGCAGATTTTGCTGCCAGTGTTGTACCCTTGGGTGTAAGCAGGTGTCGAGGACCCCTCAGTGTGCAGGGGTAAGAAGAGAAAGGGGACCCCTAGTCATATCTAGGTGGAGACCTCCTAGGATCCTGAGAATTCTAAATTTCAACCCGGCCTTCCAGATTTTTAGGAAGGTACATTTGTCAAGGTAGGCAGATACAGCATTTTTTTTTTTTTTTTTTTTTTTTTGAGATGGAGTCTTGCTTTGTTACCCAGGCTGGAGTGCAATGGCGCAATCTCGGCTCACTGCAACCTCCGCCTCCCAGGTTCAAGTGATTCTCCTGCCTTAGCCTCCTAAGTAGCTGGGATTACAGGCGTCTGCCACCACACCCGGCTAATTTTCTTGTATTTTTAGTAGAGAGGGGGTTTCACAATGTTGGCTAGGCTGGTCGCGAACTACTGACCTCAGGTGATCCACCAACCTCGGCCTCCCAAAGTGCTGGGATTACAGGCGTGAACCACCGCACCCGGCCAGAGCATCTTTTATTTAGCAGTTTGTTACCTCAGCTTACAGTGTCAGTATTAAGATGTATGGCTTGAGCTGAACGTGGTGGCATGTGCCTGTAGTCCCAGCACTAGGGAGGCTGAGGTGGGAGGATTGCTTGAGCCCTGGAGATGGAAGCTGCAGTGAGCTGAGATTGTGCCACTGCACTCCAGCCTGGGTGACACAGCCAGACACTGTCTCAAAAAACAAACAAACAAGGCCAGGCGTGGTGGCTTACGCCTGTAATCCCAGCACTTTGGGAGGCCAAGGCGAGTGGATCACCTGAGGTCAGGAGTTCAAGACCAGCCTGGCCAACATGGTGAAACCTCCTCTCTACTAAAAATACAAAAGTTAGCTGGGCGTGGTGGTGGGCACCTGTAATCCCAGCTACTCAGTAGGCTGAGGCAGGAGAATCAATTGAACCCAGGAGGTGGAGGCAGCAGTGAGCCAAGATCGAGCCACTGCCTGAGTGACAGAGCGAGACTCCATCTCAAAAAAAAAAAAAAAGTATGGCCTGTGGGCTGCACTTGTACTCTTATAATCTTGTTCCAGTGGGAGGAGCCACTGGGTCACTCACTCTGCCTTTTCCCCAACAGTCTGAGCACTTCAAGACGACATCGCAGAAGGTGGCTCGAAAATTCTGGTGGAAGAACGTGAAGATGATTGTCCTTATCTGCGTGATTGTTTTTATCATCATCCTCTTCATTGTGCTCTTTGCCACTGGTGCCTTCTCTTAAGTAACAGGGAACCTCTCCCACCTGCCCTTCTCTTCAGGGACAACCCTCCATAAATGTGTGCCAAGAGGGTCTCCTTTCCTGTCTTCCTCTACAGAGAATGCTGCTCGGTCCTCCTACCCCTCTTCCCGAGGCCCTGCTGCCATGTTGTATGCCCCAGAAGGTACCTTGGTCCCCCGGAAGGAGAGAAAAAAGAGAGATGGACTGTGGCTGCATTTCTTGGGTCCTTAGAGTGGGCTGGAGAGACCTAGAGGGCCCAGCATGTGGCTGGGAAACTGTTGGTGGCCAGTGGGTAATAAAGACCTTTCAGTATCCCTATATGTGTGAGGCACTTTCTCTCTTCCCATTTTGCCTTTGGCTTTTCTATTTCTTTTCTTCCTGAGGATACCTTCTGGCTAAAATTCTCTCATCTGAGGTCCAAGTTGTTGGAAGGGCAAAGAGTATATGTTTGGAGAAGAAAGTTGGAGCCCCCACCCTGTCTTTATTCCTCCCAGTTCCATTCATTGTCACAGGTCTCAAGAACAAGAATTTTCTGGGAGTCTTGGCATATGGAAAGTTCAAAACCTTCATAGCATTTTGGGGTGGTATGCAAGATTTTTAAGTGTTCCCATTGGGTCCTGCCATGGCCCTGTAGTACTCTTCTTCTGGAATTGTTAGCTGAGGCATGAAGCTGGTTGAAATCCTCCTGCCTCTTCCACCAGAGCCATCTCTCTTCAACGACCCTGTAGTCTAGAGCCGAGGGGTGGAGGAAATGGACTGCTATTCCTTTCCTTGTGCTTCTGCATGTTTTATTTGTCTTTTCTCTGTCCTTGTCTTCTGGGACTTAGCAAGGCCTCTGGGTCTCAGTTGTCCTGAGGGGGCAAGCATCTCTCCTTGGCATCCCATGGCTGGGCACAGTCAGTCAGTCAGTGTCACAGGACAGGGCCAATGGCTCTTCTTCCCCTCTGTGCACAATAAGCCTTTCTGTCTTCAGGCCCCCCTCCTCCCTACCAGGTTCCACCATCACTGTCACTTTTTCCAGTGCCCAGTCCGCCTTGGTTTGCAGGGAGGGTTCTTGCTATCTCTGTTCCTGTTTCCTCCACAGGCTTTCCAGAATTGGAAACAACCTGTTGTCAGGAAGAAGGGGAAGGGTTGAGAGTCAGGGTTTGGGACCAGATTGGCAAGTCAGGCTCTGGAAGAATCATGCTCTGAAATTTGGGGAGGGAGGAGGAAAGGTCAGAAAAGACCCTTGTGATATTTTTATTTTTATTTTTTCAGAGATAGGATCCCACTTTGTTGCCCAGACTGGAGTGCAGTGGTGTGATCATGGCTCACTGCAACCTCCATCTCCTGGGCTTAAGAGATCTTCCTGCTTCAGCCTCCCCTGTAGCTGGGACCACAGGTGTGTGCTACCACACCTGGCTAATTTTTGTATTTTTTGTAGAGACATGGTCTCACTGTGTTGCCCAGGCTGGTCTCAAACTCCTGGGCTCAAGCAATCCTACCACCTTGGCCTCCCAAAGTGCTGGGATTACAAGTGTGAGCCACTGTGCCCAGGCTTGGGGTAGTCTTTGCTACAACATGTTAATCCTCTCTCTCCTGGATTCAAGGTGTAAGGAACTGAAGTGAAGCTTCTGCCTTGGGACCCAGGCTGTCCAAGGTGGGGGTGAGTGTCTGTGAAACCCTCTTGGTCTGGGACTTCTGTATTCACAGAGGCTCAGCCCCAGAGAGGGAAACTTTCAATTCTGTTGGTCAAGAGAGGCCTCACTTGAGGGACCAGGCCCAGTGGCTCACACCTGTAATCCCAACACTTTGGAAACCTGAGGCAGAAGAACTGCTTGAGGCCAGGAGTTCGAGACCAGCCTGGTCAACATAGTGAGACCCTGTCTCTCTCAAAAAAAAAAAACAAACAAACAAAAAAAAAAAAACGAGGGACCTTATTTTAAGATGTCCGAGGCAGCTTGGAGTAGTGGAGAACAGGTAGCTGGTGGTTTCTCTGTAGCAGTGAGAGGACAGGATGGGTAGATTCGGCTCAGGAAGGCTCTGAAGTGGTAGTAGATACACCAGCCTCCCCCATCCTCTGACTGAGGAGCAAGTGCATGGCGGGTGCATGACAGCACAGAGCTGCACTTGCCCTCATGGTGAGGAAAGACATACAGAAAGGCTAGAGCTAGTACTTTGCCCATGTGGGGCTGCTTTCTTTTTGAATAGAGGTGAAAGTCACACAATGTACAGTTTGTTATTTTAAAGTGTACAGATCAGTGACATGTATTCAGAATGTTGTGCAACCACCACTTGTCTTTAGTTTCAAAACTTTTTGGGTGCCTGTTTTTGGTTCTGGGTGAGATGCACTCACCAGGGTGATAAAGACCCTGCCTGGCTTGTTCATGGCGTCTCCAGGACCTAGTATGGTGCCTGACCGTGGCACTCATAGGGTGTTTGTTGAGTGAATGAATGATGCCTTTTCAGCTGAACTCGAGCTAGAAGACTCCAGGGCTCACTCCACTGTGCCCATTCCACAGATCCGGCCCCGAGGTGTGCCCGTTCACCAGGCAGAGGTGTCATCCGAA
The DNA here is from genome assembly GCF_000001405.40 of Homo sapiens. Lineage (NCBI taxonomy): Eukaryota > Metazoa > Chordata > Mammalia > Primates > Hominidae > Homo > Homo sapiens. The sequence goes on from NC_000002.12 coordinate 85,584,263, forward strand.
TTCAGGCTCCTGGGGCCCGGGAGGGTCCGACTCTACGGACCCAGGTCGCTGTGGCCCATCGCTTTCGATTTGACTTGGTTTCTGTCGCCACTCGCGGAAGGCGCGCCCCCCGCCCTCGCTCGGCGGCCCGCCCCGCCCCGCCCCTGCTCTTCCTCCGGGGCCGCTGGCACTGCGGCCGCTCCGCAGGCAGAGAAGCCGGGAGCGGGCGAGGCGGCGGCGGCAGCAGCGATGGTGAGGGCCCAGGCGGGGCCGGCCAGCCCTGCGACGGGCAGAGGGCGAGTGGCGAGGGTGGGAGAGAGGAGTCCAAAGTCCGCGGGCTGGGGCCTCCCCTGGGGCCCACGAGGGCCAGACCTGAGGCGGTGACCACTGCTGGAGCAGGACGGGGCGGACCCTCCACTCCCTGCGCGCCGCATGGGAGAGAAATGCGTGAGCCCCGTCCTGGCTGCACCGCGCAGAGCGAGCGGGACTCGGGCTCCCCATTCTCCTGAAGCAAAGCGGTTAAGAGCACCGACTTTGGAGTCGGACTCCGGGCTGGGATCCCAGCTCTGTGACCCGGGACAAGTCACTTAACCTCCCTGAGCCTCCTTTTCCGCGTCTGTGAAGTGGGGTCAGTAATACCTGCCTTGTTGGGTCCTTGCGAGGTTAAAGGAGCCACAGTGGCAGAGACCCGCCTGGCACTCAGAACCCACTGCTAAGAAGTGGTAGGAAATGTAACGACCTCGTCAGCCCTTTCCGCAGCTGTGAGGAGCCAAGCCTGGCTCAGGAGTTGGAAACTTGAGCAGATGGGGTGGCAGAGGCCATTCCAGCCCCATGGCAGGGTGTTGGAGGGCGAACTCCTCCCCTAGAGAAAGAGAAAGGGAGATGTTTACTCTGAAAGTTCCACTGAAGTTATCAGTGTATGGCACAGGCCTGACTCCCTGCTAACCTCTACCTAGTGACACATTCCTGAGTTGAGTCATCCCCACTCCTGCTGCAGATCCTGGCCTTTGTCCTCACTTGCCATCTCCAAGGCAAAGATGTCAGGAACAGCTGGTGCCAGTTTCTCCCTTTCCCTAGGGCTCCTGGGAAAATGGACTGGGCAGGAAGTAGGCTTGGTGCTTTAAGATTTTGCCTTGGAGAAACTGACAGAGGTGTGATGGATGTGGCCTGGCTAGGGGTCAATGCCTGGATGGCCTTATCTCCAGGGAACTTGGAGGCAGGAAGAGGAAGTGGGGCAGGAAGGTAGCACTGAGCTCTGAGGCCAGGCCAGGAAGCTGAGGAAGGCTCTGAGAATAGGGCAGAGCCCAGAGCCCACTTAAGGGTGTGCAGGGCAAGGGGTCAGGCAGGGGTAGGGGTGGGCTTCAGCCGGCCCTTAGCTCTTTGGGAGAAGCTCCTGAAGTGAAGGCTGAAGGCAGGATATTTTATTGGGGGAGGAGGATACTGGGAAACCTGGGGATTCTCACGGGTACATTTGAGGCAGTCTGTGGAGGAGAGGCTGGGGAGGTCGCTCCTCCACCCATCCATCTCCTAGCCTCTTCCTGTTTCTTCTTTCACTCTTGCCCCTTTAGCGCTTTCCTTCCTTCCACCCATCCCCTTTCCCTCCCTGGTCCTTCTTCCTTTCACTTTTCTTTTCTTCTCTATGACTCATTCAACCAACAAGGATTTCTTGGAAATGTCCTTCATGCCAGCATGGTGACAAGTATAGGGGACAGAGCAGGAACAAAGCAGTGATGGGAAAGATGGAAATGGAATGAATAATTACTTGAATTCATTAATCTTGTAGATGATCCTCTCTCCAAAGAATGTGTGTGTTGAGCCACAGGCCTCCCTCATATGCACACAAATTAGGTTGGTAGCATCAACCAGATTCTTTAGCCAATCAGCTAAAGTGTCTGACCTCCTTGTACCTGCATCTAATTTAGCACACGGGTTACAAATGTGGTGCCTGGAGTCTGTGTTGGTTCAACTCCCAGATCTTCTACTCACTGGCTCTGTGATCTTGGACAGGTGATTTAACACCTCTGAGCCAAAGTTTCCTATAAAACTGGGAAAAGGCCAGGCGCAGTGGCTCACACCTGTAATCCCAGCACTTTGGGAGGCCGAGGCGGGCAGATCACGAGTTCAACAGTTCAAGACCAGCCTGGCAAACATGGTGAAATCCCGTCTCTACTAAAAATATAAAAAAATAGCCGGGTGTGGTGGCACACGCCTGTAGTCCCAACTATGCGGGAGGTTGAGGCAGGAGAATCGCTTGAACCTGGGAGGCGGAGGTTGCAGTGAGCTGAGATCGCGCCATTGCACTCCAGCCTGGGTGACAGAGTAAGGCTGTCTCAGAACAAAAACAAACAAACAAACAAACAAAATAACTGGGTTAATAATATGGCCTTCAATGGGTTGTTGGGTGAGGATTAAATGAGACAGAGCAAATGAACAGCAAGCAGCATAGTGCCTACCTCAGAGTATGTGCCCATTGGATGGTGGCTGTTATTCTTGCTCAAGATGTAAAACCTCAACAGCCTGCCGTGCCAGATGAAAATAAACTAGATGCAGCCGGGCGCGGTGGCTCACGCCTGTAATCCCAGCACTTTGAGAGAGAGGCCAAGCCAGGTGGATCACGAGGTCAGGAGTTCGAGACCACCCTGGCTAACACGGTGAAACCCTGTCTCTACTAAAAATACAAAAAATTAGCTGGGCGTGGTGGCAGGCGCCTGTAGTCCCAGCTACCCTGGAGGCTGAGGCAGGAGAATGGCGTGAACCCAGGAGGCAGAGCTTGCAGTGAGTGGAGATCACGCCACTGCACTCCAGCCTGGGCGACAGAGTGAGACACCATCTCAAAAAAAAAAAGAAAGAAAATAAACTAGATGCTAGTTACCAAGTTACCAAAAGCCCATTTAAAGTTCTGAGCCACAGGTTAGAAACAATTATGTGTACTATGTGTACAAGTTTGCCATAGGGAAGAGCTTGCTTGGCTGTGCATTTTATAAAACGAAGAGGTTTTACTGACCACCTGTATTACACAATTTTTTTTTTTTTTGAGACAGAATCTCGCTCTGTCGCCCAGGCTGGAGTGCAGTGGCCCTTAGTTCACTGCAACCTCTGCCTCTCAGGTTTAAGTGATCCTCCTGCCTCAGCCTCCCGAGTAGCTGGGATTACAGGTGCCCGCCACCACGCCTGGCTAATTTTTGTATTTTTAGTAGAGACAGGGCTTCACCATATTGGCCAGACTGGTCTCAGACTCCTGACCTTGTGATCCACCTGCCTCGGCCTCCCAAAGTGCTGGGATTACAGGCGTGAGCCACCACACCTGGCCATATTGTACAATTCTTGAGATCTGACTGCTAAAAAAAAAAAAAGGAGCTAGGGAAATGTGGGCCACATCAATATAATAGCTCTTATTTATTGAGCATTTAGTATGTGTCAGGCGTTGTGCTAAGCTTTTGATTTACAATAAGTCACATAATCCTTAGCTAACATTATTATCAGCACTTTACAGAAGAGGAAGTGGAGGTCAGAAAGGTCATATCCTCAGTCTCAGTCACTCAGCTGGTGAGTGGCAGAAGCAGGATTTCAACAGACGGGTGCAAAGCAGAGCCCTGCTCCTAGTCTCTGAGCTGAGTGCCGACTTAGGGAGGCAATGTTATACCGGTACTTGCGCCCATTCATCTGACGACAGTTAGAACAGTTTCTTGGATACTAGACAGGAGATGGGGAGACAAGGAGAGTTAGGATAGGGAGGTTTTTTTGTTTTTGTTTCTTTGTTTTTTCTTGAGACAGGGTCTCACTCCTTTGCCCAGGCTGGAGTGCAGTGCGCAATCTTGGCTCACTGCAGCCTCTGCCTCCTAGGTTCAAGCAATTCTCCTGCCTCAGCCTCCCGAGTAGCTGGGACTATGGGCAGGCACCACTTTGCCTGGCTAATTTATGTATTTCTTGGTAGAGGCATGATCTGCCCACCTTGGCCTCCCAAAGTCCAGGGATTACAGGCATGAGCCACCGTGCCTGGCCCAGATGGTGTGGTTTTGAGAACTGCGTTTTCATAGGAGGAATCAAAGAGATTGAGCCCAGAAAAACCTGAGAGGTTTGAGTGTCATAGAGGGGATATTCTGTACAGGGGGCAACAGTCTGTCAAGAACATTTCCTGTGTAACTGCCACTCTCTGGCAATTACACAACTGCTCCCCTCTCGCCCTGGCTCAAAATTCCAAGCCCTGCAGGCTTCTGGCCTCAGGTCTCAGAAATGCCTGTCTCACCCTTCTTCCTTTCTCCACGCTCTGCTTGTCACCCCTCTCCCGCCTGGTGGCCATCTCCTGGCAGTCTTGCTGATGGTACTTCTCCACCCCTCTGGCTGGCCTCTCTGCCATTTTCTTACTTCTATCTGTGCCTGTCTACCACCAATAGAGAAATTATCCTGAAGCACTTCTTCACTGTCACCCGTGGCTCAAAAACCACACTAGCTCTTAAGTTTTATCAGTCGCTTGGAGCCAGTCTTCTCTACCTGACCTTTTCTGCCTTCTGTCCTGCCCCATCCCTCCCATCCTCTGCCTGGTCCTCACTGTCAGGGTGTATCCCTATCTCTCAGTGCAAGAATGTCCCTGCTCCATGTCATCCTTCAAGGGGTCACCCGCCCCCACCATGGCACCCTCTCTGTGGCAGCTCTGATACTTACTATCTGTATCGCACAGTGTAACTCTTTACTCTTCTCTAATTGTATTACATGTGTCTTTTCCCCAGGGCAAAGTGGTCTCTTTAAGAATAGGCACAATTAGGCCAGGCATGATGGCTCATGCCTATAATCCCAGCACTTTGGGAAGCTGAGGTGGGAGGACTGCTTGAGCCCAGGAGTTCAAGACCATCCTGGGCAACATAGCAAGACCCCATCTTTAAAAATATAGGCACCATTTATTCAGGAACTGTTTATCACATCTCTGCTGTCTGCAGACATTATGCTGAGTGACAGTGTGGCGTAAGGCAGTATGGCCCTTGTCCTCTTGCTTACCTCCTTCCAGGGTCCCTGGAGCTTTATTTCTCACAGTGCCAGCAGAGACCTGTGTATATAGTCAGTGTCCTTTTTCCTCTGGTTGAGTGGGGGCCAAGGAGGGCCCGAGACTTGAGTCTAAGGCCTCTGTGTTCCCTGGAGCGAATGTGTTCTTTTAGGCCTGGGTCCATCTTGGCTCCAGGCAGGCCTGGCTTCGCATTGGGGGAGACTGGTCCAGATTACAGCTGGAAGCACAGCCAGCTCTTTGGAGAATGTGACCCAAATATCACCCCTTGTTGAAAAATAAGGTAACAACAGCTGTAGCATTTAGAATAGAAAATAAAAAGATAATATCCAGCATTTTCCCAGTCTCTAGCAGTGACTCTTATTTTCGAGTATTTATCCATTCTCAAGTTTTTGCTTTGGACTATTTAATTTTGTTTTTTGTTTTGTTTTGTTTGCTGAGATGGAGTCTTGCTCTGTTGCCCAGGCTGGAGTGCAGTGGTGTGATCTCGGCTCACTGCAACCTCCGCCACCCAGGTTCAAGCGATTCTCCCATCTCAGCCTCCCAAGTAGCTGGGATTACAGGCATGCACCACCATGCCTGGCTAATTTTTGTATTTTTAGTAGAGACAGGGTTTCACCATGTTGGCCAGGCTGGTCTCGAACTCCTGGCCTCAAGTGATCTGCCTGCCTGGGGCTCCCAAAGTGCTGGGATTACAGGTGTGAGCCACTGCGCCCAGCCTGCCTTGGAGTATTTGAATGTGGGGAAGTTCAAAGGATTGAATGATGGAGCCTTGTTGAATGCTATAGTAGTAATAATAGTGATGACGGTTGACTCAGGAAAAGGTGAGAGTGCAGTTTCCCTGCTCTCTTCGTTGTTCCTCTGTGTTTCCTGCTTACTGCTTCCTCCAGCCTGTGAGCGCAGCCTCCCCTACAGTGGTTTGCCTGACCTCTCTTGAAGCAGGTTGCTTTTCTAGCTCATGGGTAAATATTGACCTATTTGGGTTTCAAATGCCTGCCCCTCGAAACTCATGCAGGGCTAGAAAAACATGCTGGGAGAACATCTCTTGAGAATAAGAATTGCTTTTGGTTAGGCTGTATCGTAATTGGCCCACTCACTGATTCCTTGCTTGCAATGGTCAGCACTGTGCTGGCCTCCCGGTGGGATGGTGGTGGACAAAGGCAGGGCACTGCTCCCTGCCCTCCCTCTGGGAGTTTGTGGTCCAGCTGGGGAGATAGGACTCATACAGTGGGAATTCTTGGAGGCTGTATACCAAGCAGCTGCAAGGATCCTGAAGGAGGATTCTTGGCTGAGTGGGAGGTAGCCCTCTGTGACCACCAGATCTCTTCTAACACTTAAGTTTTCTGGTTTTAAGTGGAATTCAGTCAAGTGCCAAAATGTCTGTTGTAGACAATGGGTGACGTGGGCTGGCAGGAAAAGAAGCTTGCCCTTCTTGTAAGGAGGGGAAGGGAACAGGGATGGGCTGTGGGGAAGTAGGCTAAGAGGAAGGAGTTTCTGTGGTTTGCTAATCCACTGGTATTCATCTCCCTGAAATGTCCCTGCTCCTAGGCTTCTGGCTTATACCAGGGCCTCCTGCCTGGTGTCTCTCTCTGTTACGTGCACCCAAAGCCCAGTGCCTTTCTTGCACATGACCCAGACTTTCTCTCTCCCCTGTCATTTCAACCTTCCCCAGCTTGGATCCAAGACCTCCCTTCCCAGTCCTCTGAAATGAGCTGGTGTTTTCTGTTAGGCAAAGCTGCCCCCCAGGCTGGGAAATCCAAGAGTTAGTCTCATCTCTGTAAGTTGGACCCCAGTGAGGACCCCAGCTGAGTGGAAGGCTGGAGGCCAAAAACCGGTACCACTGAGGTTCCCAGACGGAGAGGGAAGTTGGAGCAGTGATATAGGGAGCAGGATCAGGCCAGGAGGCAGAACTGGCCTGACCAGTCAGAGGCCCAAAGAGGAAGATCTGAGCTTCTCAGTTTGGGGATAGAGGGGTTAGGCAGAGACTATGATGTGTGCTGCTTCAAAATTACCTTTCTAGCCTGTAGGGTAGGTCTCCTCCCTGTGTGTTCCAGCCAGGTAGCTTGGTTACCCATTCTTTGCTGCCTTCTTAGGCCAGTGGGAAACCTTAGGGCAGCTGTGCATTGATTGGGTAGACGCCATTCTGGAGCAGGTGAGAAAAGAATCAGCTTTGTGGGAGGGTGGGGTCCTGGGAAGATCCCACCTTGGGACAGCTTAGAGGAAGCTGAGGTGCTGGAAGCCGGGACTTACCTAGGTCCTAGGCCCTGCCTTGACGTGCAAGGGGAGGAGCCTGTGAGACTTAAGGTGTGCCGCACTCACCCCGAAGGCCAGACCTTCACTCCGCACACATCATACCCTTACACGAAGGATGCTGTTACTCTCATGCTGTACCCACCTACAGGGGGAGAAGGAGGCTTCTAGATCTCAGGGGCAGATGAGGGCCAGGTGGGGGCCTCATGCAGCCCTGACCTCGGGCTTGGTGTCCAGGCAGGAATAGAGTTGGAGCGGTGCCAGCAGCAGGCGAACGAGGTGACGGAAATTATGCGTAACAACTTCGGCAAGGTCCTGGAGCGTGGTGTGAAGCTGGCCGAACTGCAGCAGCGTTCAGACCAACTCCTGGATATGGTGTGAGGCCTGGGGGAGCATGGAGGGGAGGGGAGAGGATTGGGAAAGTCTCTCTTGGGCTGTATTCAGGATCTCCAGTTCCTTGGTGGGGTTGAGGCCTTCTTGAGGGCCAGTGTGGGGCCTCTGGGTTTCCTCAGGCACCCATAGCCTAGACATGCAACAGATAGACCCCACAAGATAAGAAGGCCTTGGTTTGAAGCTGTGGACCTTCTTAAAGGTAGAAAACTGGTATCGTTTTTTGTTTCTTTTTTACTTTGAGACAGAGTCTCACTCTGTCGCCCAGGCTAGTACAGTGGCACAATCATATTTGCTGCAGCCTCTACCTCCCAGGCTTAAGTGATCCTCCTGCCTCAGCCTCCTGAAGAGCTAGGACTACAAGCCTGCACCACCATGCCTGTCTAATTTTTGATTTTTTGTAGAGATGAGGTCTCACCATGTTGCCCAGGCTGGTCTTGAACTCCTGGATCCAAGAGATCCTCCCACCTTGGCTTTCCAATGTGCTGGGATTACAGGCATGAGCCACTGTGTCCAGCCTGAGTACTGGCATTGTTAACTGAGGGTGAGACACTAGGGCTGAAAGTCAAGGGCCACACCGGTGTTTGAGATGAGTCAGGCTGGGAGGGTTCCACGGCAGGTGGTATAGAAAGAGAGCAGACAAGGCCGGGCGCGGTGTCTCACGCCTGTAATCCCAACACTTTGGGAGGCCGAGGTGGGCAGATCACAAGGTCAGGAGTTCAAGACTATCCTAGCCAGTATGGTGAAACCCCATCTCAACTAAAAATACAAAAATTAGCCGGGCGCAGTGGTGTGCACCTGTAGTCCCAGCTACTAGGGAGGCTGAGACAGGAGAATTGCTTGAACCCGGGAGGCAGAGGTTGCAGTGAGCTGAGATTGTGCCACTGTACTCCAGCCTGGGTGACAGGGAGAGACTCCTTCTCAAAAAAAAAAAAAAAAGAAAGAAAGTAGACAAGATGGGGAGGATGCAGGAGGAGACTAAGCCTTACTGAGATGGGGTTGGGAGGAGCTGGCTCCCAGGCCAAGAGGGTGCCAGCTAACTCCCACTTTGTGTCTGGGGGTATCCGCAGAGCTCAACCTTCAACAAGACTACACAGAACCTGGCCCAGAAGAAGTGCTGGGAGAACATCCGTTACCGGATCTGCGTGGGGCTGGTGGTGGTTGGTGTCCTGCTCATCATCCTGATTGTGCTGCTGGTCGTCTTTCTCCCTCAGAGCAGTGACAGCAGTAGTGCCCCACGGACCCAGGATGCAGGCATTGCCTCAGGGCCTGGGAACTGACCCAGCTGGTCCTGAAGGAGAAGCCAAATGGCTGCACTGGCCGATTCTGGTCTCCAGAGGACCTTGGTGTTTGCTCTCCCTTGACCCACCCCAGTGAGTGCCAAAGGGCAGCCCCAACATGTGCACCCCTGCATTTCCTGTCATGCCACAGACTGGCCCTTGAGGGCAGCCTGCTGTACTGGCCATGCTGGGCCAGCCCCACCTGGAGCTCAGTAAAAACTGCTGTTTGATTAAAAGCTGGTATCTGTGTGTGAAGGTCCCCAGGTTGGTTAATCCCATCTGTCTCTACCCCTAGGGCTGCTTAAAAAGCCCATCACCCAAAGGACTCCACCCCTGGGAGATGGCTCCTTCCTCTCCCTTCCCTACTTGATCCAGCCCGACACAGACAGGGAGTGTGGATGCAAGAACACAATGGCCCCCAAAGCAGACCCTTGAACCAGTCCTCCCCATCTGAGCCTGTTTCTCTGAGAATGAAATCTATTATTTTTCTGTCATCTTGGGGATGCTTAGAGGACCAATGAGACTGTAGATGCGATGACAAAGAAGAAAGCACTTCACCAATTTTTTTTTTTTTTTTTTGAGACAGAGTTTTTGCTCTGTTGCTCAGGCTGGAGTGCAATGGCACTATCTCAGCTCACTGCAAACTCCACCTCCTGGGTTCAAGCAATTCTCCTGCCTCAGCCTCCCAAGTAGCTGGGATTACAGGTGCCCACCATCACACCTGGCTAATTTTTGTATTTTTAGTAGAGACAAGGTTTCACCATGTTGGCCAAGCTGGTCTTGAACTCTTCACCTCAGGTGATCCACCTGCCTCGGCCTTCCGAAGTGCTAGAATTGCAGGCATGAGCCACCGCGCCTGGCCCAAAAAATTTTTCATAAGGCTCTCACCTTCAGATAAATGGTTTCCCCTCTGAACACTTCCCACTCCTCAATTTCTCTTTCCACATTCTATCTACCTCAAGCTTTACATCAGACTGCAGATGGGGGAAGTGACAGCAAGAGATGGGGACCTTAAAGCACTCCTTGGTATTCCCATCTCCCTCCCTCCCTTCCTTCCTTTTTCGACGGGGTCTCTCCTGTGTCTTCTCTCCCTCCCTCTTTCGACGGGGTCTATGTTGCCGAGGCTGGTCTCGAACTCCTGGGCTCAAGCAATTCTCTTGCCTTTAGTGCTGGGATTGCAGGCGTGAGCCACCATGTCCAGCCTGAATTCAGGCTTTTCAAAGCTACAGGGCCATATAGGCCAGGGAGGCAGTGCCTTCAGGGCCATAGCAAAGATCATTGGGCAAAGGCATGGAAGAAGGAAATAAAGCCACACCAAGACTGTGGAAACAGGGCAGCCTCTGCCTGGGCTACTTAGCTGCAGTTCAAACTCAGGTGTGAGTGGCAAGGGGAATTCAGGGTCAAGTGTGTAAAATAAGCAGTTCCTTGCTGGGTAAAGTGAGCGCTACTGACAGAAACCAGAATAAGCCTGAGTTGTGTGGAGCTTCACCCCTTACAGAGCGTGTTAGTTTTACTGAGCGCATTAGCGTCTTCCTCTCTTGGGAAAGATGGAGGAAAGCACTTGGCCCTGCAGCTGGTCTGCAACACCACTTACAGACTGCAAATTTGGGCAAGCCACTTCTGAGGTAAAAAGGGCATAATGACGCTTAGCTCCTGGGTCTATTGAGGGGATGATCGAGCGTGTAAAACATACATCAGACTAACAGTTCTAGATGCTAAATAGTACCTATCATCCAAATCATTGAGTGCAGTGGTTCTTAAACCTGCTTCACCTGCATAATTTATACAAGTGCCATTGCCCAGGCCCCACCACAGATCAGTTAAATCAGAATCTTCGAAGGTATCAGACACGGGTGTTTCTAAAGCTCCTCCGCGCCCATTCTCTCCTCTGGGAATTCATGTGTAGCCAGGAATGAAAAGGTCTTAGTACAAGCCAGCAGTTTTACAGAAGCTAGGGATAGCAACGGGCTGAAGGTAACAGTCCCATGAGCTGGTTGAGGCCCCAGGTTCTCCGGCAAAGAGATCTCTCTCAGTTGGGGAGGCTTGCCCCACCCTTTATTATTATGCCTAACACATAAGAAATGCGCAGGAATCAAACGCAAACTGGTGAACCAACTAGAGGGCCGCGGGGGCAGAAGTGTCCGGCGGGGATCCGGACAGCGCATCCGGAAGCGCCATGGGCCAACGCTCGCAGGAACCTGAACCCCTGGGCCAGCGCCGCCTTTGCTCGCAGAGGCCTCTAGCATCTGTACTGTCGAAGCCCTCTGAGCTTCAGGGCAGACTGAAGAGCCTTACACACCAGACACTTGGACGCGATCGCGCCAGAAATCCCCGGGAATTCAGTCTTGGCTCCGACTCCAAAACAAATGATTCCTCACCAGCCAGATCTCCATCATTGGCGTTAGTCTCTGGTCACCTGACTTGTTCAAGCCAATGAGAGGGGGCCGAATTAGTACTTCCGCTTTCCGTGCTGTTTAACGAGCCACTATGCCCGTCCCTCGGATACTCTGATTGGCCAGCCTCTCTCAGCTCGTCAGTTTATTGGCCAGCGCCGCTAGGCCGCTATCGAGCAGGGTCCGAGGGCTGTGTCAGAAGGCTGGGCAGCCATGGCGTCCTATTTCGATGAACACGACTGCGAGCCGTCGGACCCTGAGCAGGAGACGCGAACCAACATGCTGCTGGAGCTCGCAAGGTGGGTGCGCGGGGCTTGGGGATAGGGTCCAACCAGCAGGTTTCTGGGCTGGGGCTGGCTGGAGAAGGCGGATTACCAGGGGCAGCGGATTCTGGGGAGGACAGATGAGTAATCTGGAGTGTTAGTACGGGCGGCGAGACTGAGGGGTGTGGGGATGAGCATCTCGATAATTTGGGCCGTCCGTTGGGCCGGCCTGGGGCAAGGGGATTGCGGGAAAGATTGGAGCTGGAGAGTGGTGGGCGTGGGGGCGGAAGGACAGCAGGCTCTGGGAGGTCTCAGAGAAGGTGAGGCATGGGGGCGGGGTTGGGGCCGTGTGCTGTGAGTGGGTATATTCATCAGTAACAGCAGGCACTGCTGTTACTGGACCTGGAATCTGGCTTGGTCTTGGAATCTGGGCTCTACCAGGTTATTCAGCGTAGCCTGAGTAACTTCTCTGAATCTGTTGCCTCATGTGTAAAATGGGAATAAACACTTTACGTGCTGGGGCGGTCTGATAGCAGTTGTAAACTATTTCCCATCGTGCTTTTTATCTAGTGAGCATCTACTAACTACTAAGGGTAGCTATTATTCCTACTAGCTGGGCAGCGTGTTTATTAATGTCCAGTGGATTATGGGGACAAAGAAAAAGCATAGTTTTCCTTTGTTCTGACTTTACATCCCCTTCCCCAGGTCACTTTTCAATAGGATGGACTTTGAAGACTTGGGGTTGGTAGTAGATTGGGACCACCACCTGCCTCCACCAGCTGCCAAGACTGTGGTTGAGAACCTCCCCAGGACAGTCATCAGAGGCTCTCAGGCTGGTGAGGACACTGATTCTTTCTGCTATTTGGGCCAGACCCACCCCTTCCCCAAGCCAGACTGTGGTCTGGTCCTTCAGTTTTCCAGGTCAGGTGGGGGCAAGTGTCCTTCAGGAGTGGGAGCTTGGGAGGCAGAGCCTGTAGCAGCTCTCCTGATCAGCACTCCTTCCTAAAGAGCTCAAGTGCCCCGTGTGTCTTTTGGAATTTGAGGAGGAGGAGACTGCCATTGAGATGCCTTGCCATCACCTTTTCCATTCCAGCTGCATTCTGCCCTGGCTAAGCAAGGTACTGCTTCTCTTCTTCTAGCTCTCACCGTGCCCTGGGCCCAGTACTCAAGCTTCTTTCTGTTCATGGACTGCTGGGGGATGGAAGAAGAGTGGCAGTTGGGAGCAGGGGAGGGTGGTTATCAGCTTATGAAGATCAGACCAAGGCTAGAACACTACTCTACTTTTCTCAGACAAATTCCTGTCCCTTGTGCCGCTATGAGCTGCCCACTGATGACGACACTTATGAGGAGCACAGACGAGATAAGGTAGGGGCTGATGCTTAAGTGGAGGGGTCGTAATGGGCTCCCTGAGTCCTGTCCCCGCTGCCATCACTTCCCACCTCAGCAGGACTGGGTAGGCCTCAGAATCCCTGGCTCTGGCTGTCTTCTTAGTGACTTTGATTTGTGGTGAGAGCCTCAGCAATGCAGACGCCAGAGGCCTGAAAACAGAGCCAGCCCCATAATAGCTGCCCATCCCCTCACCCATAGGCCTTCAGTTTTGGCCCCTGCCCAGCATGCCTTCTTTCCTTCAGGCTCGAAAACAGCAGCAGCAACACCGACTGGAGAACCTCCATGGAGCCATGTACACGTGAGGAGGTTGGGGCTGAGTGCTGGCCCTCTGCGTCTTCCTTATTAACCTTGAATCCTCATTAAAGGTTTCTTTACCCACCCTGAGGCTGTATTGATCACAGACCTGGCCAGGGGCTCTGCATCCTCCATCAGGTCTCTACTTCTGTTGGGGAAGGTGATCCTAAATCGCAGAAGGCACCAGGCTGCGGTTTTCCTCCCTGCTGGCCCATCTGGACTCATGGCAGTGGTAAAGAACTGGATTACTGCAATAGCCAGGGCTTGGGCCTATGTGTTCATGGTTGGAAGGCAAAATGTGTCAGGGTCTGGTACCCAGTTAATTACTTAAAGCTGATAAACTAGGCTGGGTGCAGTGGCTCATGTCTGTAATGCCAGCAGTTTGGGAGGCCAAGACAGGTGGATCACGAGGTCAGGAGTTCGAGACCTTCCTGACCAACATGGTGAAACCCCGTTTCTACTAAAAATACAAACATTAGCTGGGCATGGTGGCACGCACCTGTAATCCCAGCTACTTGGGAGGCTGAGGCAGGAGAATTGCTTGAACCTGGGAGGCAGAAGTTGCAGTGAGCTGAGATCATGCCATTGCACTCTAGCCTGGGCAACAAGAGCAAAACTCCGTCTCAAAAAAAAAAAAAAAAAAAGCTGATAAACTAGCCTGCACCCTCCTCCCACTGCAATGTCTAGTTAACTTTGTAATCCCACAGGTTTTCTTTTTGCTCCATTGAGAAAGCCACTTTTAATATTTTAAAGTTGCTCTCTGTACCACCCCCACCTTCCCCCCATGCCTCCTAAGGAATCAAAGTTCAAACCAGACTCTGAGTGGGGGATGGGTGAGATTATCAGACCAAGTTAGTTCTTTAGATTGCTTAGAGGCCCAGAAGGGTTTCAAGCCCTTTGAAGGGGTATTTGGGTGGCACCTGGCATCCTTTGTTTCTGGCAACAGAGTGCACTCAGCACTCCTGGGGGGCAAGGGCTTCCTCCCATCCTTGGCTTATGGAAAGCCATCCCAGATCAGGCCCCCCAACTCTCCAGAACAGGCTACAAACATGCAAATTAGAATTCTTTTAATATAAAAAAAAGTACTAAAATACCCACGTGGTTCTGCTGTGTTATTTGCCCTAAAGGAAGTGAGGGGCAGAGTGAAGAATCCCAGTGCAGCTCAGTGGGCCCAGAAATGGGCCTTTCCGTAGGCTAAGGCGTGCCCACTCCACCTCCACCAGACTTCTATCCCCTCTGCTGTTCCCAGCCCCCAATTCCTGCAGCAGGAAACCCCAGTGGTCTGGCTTTGGCACTGGGAGTAGAAGGCACCTGAAGGGCTGGCTGGGTGAGTGAGGACAGGTGACCTTTAAAAACAAAACGACACCGTGGGGTGGGGAAGCAGGTCATGCAGCTGTGGCAGCTGGCAGGGCCCACTCCTCCATGGCACAGGTGGGCATGGGATGGCCACTTCTCCAGAAGTGAGGAAGCCCAGATCCCAACAGAATACTTTCTCAAAATTGTTTTTGGTACGAAATAAATGGAAAGAAGATATGGGGTGGGGTGCTGTGGAGGCCGGGCCAGCCACCCTCCCCAGACCTTAGATCATAGCGATGCTCTCGGGGGCACAGTTGAGGTGGGTGGAGGTGCTGCTGCTCCCGGAGGACTTGCAGGCCCGGCCAGGGGTAGGCTGCAGTGCAGCCACCAGTGTGTCTGAGGAGACTGCCCCAAACTCGTAGCTGAAGGTGCCATAGAAAATGAGGATATCGATGACACACACCCACTCACACAGGGCTGCCCCATGTTGCAGCTGAGAACTCTCATGGACAAAGAAGACTCCACCTAAAACGAGGCTAAGGAAATGTTCAGTAGGACATACGGAAACCTGGCAACACCCCTTCTGCAGTCTCAGGCCTCACCTCTCCAAAGGGAGAGGTGTTAGTCCTCTCCCCCACATGGCAGTGTTAGGCCTCCACCCCCCATCCTCTTGGGAGGGAGAAAGGTTGAGCTAGAGGATGAGTTCCTGGCTGCCCCGTCCTGAAAGGATACTGAGGACCAGGGTGATAAAGGCGATGACAGCCAGCACACTTCGCAGATAGGCCACAGCCAGGTCCAGCGGGGCGGTGGCCCCTTGGTAGGAGAGAGCACAGTGCAGGCAAACAAAGAGCAGCCCCGCAGGGAAGGCCACGCCAGCTCCAACGTAGTGCAGAGACCTGGCATGATCCACCTGGGCCCAGAGAAGGGCCAGTTGGTGATGTGGCCATGGCCCCACCTCTCCACCCCTCCTTCAATGAATCTCCTCTCTCCCTCTTCCTTCCTCTCCCTCTTTCCAGCCCCAACCTTGAGGTGCCACACTGCAGGCAGCCAGGCCTTGTTAGGTAAAGTTTAAGGTTTGCAGGGGAGAAGGGGAAGCACCTGAAAGTTGCCAACCACCAAGAGGCCCGCAGCGTTGGTGCAGCCTGTGATGAGTGCCGTGGTGTTAACCCAAGAGTGCCGACTCTGCTCCAGGAGCTGCCCGTAGCGCAGGAGGCAGATCAGGGCCACTGGGGGAGGAGAGCACAGTTGAGGCCTTCCTCCAGCCCTGGCCCTGCCCAGCGAGCCTGTCAGCTTCCCCCAGACGCTGTGGTGCTCCTGCCCCTTCTGAGGGGCAGAAAGGAACAGACAGGCGGGTGGTGAACTAGGTTTCCTCAGGCTCCAGCCAGCAGGGTGGCTGTGTGGGAGTCAGCTTTTGGCCTTCAAGGAAGGGGAGAAGCTGCCTCTATTGCCTTAGCCCTTGGTGGGGAGGGCTGCACAGAAGGGCTTCCTGGGCCTTTCTGTGTGGGGATCACTGGGCTGGGCACGCAGGGTCAGGGCTAAGGGTACAACTCACCCATGAAAGCACCCATGTTGCCAATGAGGCTGAAGAGGCAGCTTTCTGGGGGATAGGAGCCACACTTGCTGCGAGGAGGGGGAAGGACAGAGTAAGAGGGGTGCAGGAGGCCCGGGGGGCCCCCATTTTGGCTCACTGGCTCTCCCCTGCTTTACCTGCACCTGCTCCTTAGCAGGCAGGCCACTGATTTATGTGAAGATCCAGGGTCCCTCATGAACAACTGGTTCCAGGCTGGGCCCCCAAAGCAGAGCTCATGTGTGTGAGAGAGAAGGGAGTGCCCAGGAGTGTTCGGGCAACCCTGACACTCTTTGCTGAGCCCTGCGGCTGGTTTGGCTATCCTTGAGCCAGAACACGGGCTGGGCAATCTGAGGGCTCCAGCTTAAATCCAGGTGCCTCCGCTTATTAGCTGTGTGACCTGGATGAGGAAGACTGAGCCTGTTTCCTCACCTATAAAATGGTGAAAACAATACCTGCCTCACTCCTGGGAGGATGAAAAGAGACAATGCATATAAAGCACTCAGCAGAGTGCCTGCCCCACAGTAACTGTCAAGTAGTGTTGTTATTAAGTGGCTCTTAGGATACTTATTGTTCCTGAGACCCAAGGACAGCTCTTTGCTTGAGGGGCTGTCTGGGAGGCCCTTAGATCTCCCTGACCGGCCCAATGTCCAGGCCTTACCTGATGAGGGGGACATCGTCCAGGGTGCAGCAGGTCTTGGGACCCCCTTGCTCAGCAGGGTCAGGAGGGCAGGACTCGTTGTAGGACCTGGCAGGCAGGACAGGGAGTAGACTGGGGGAAGGGACTGCCCCCAGGCCCTTGGCCTATAGCCTCAGGCCTCAAAGAGGACTCTCTCCCAGACCTCCCCTACAGGGACAGAAGATCCCACTCCCCAGTGCCCGCCTGAAGCAGTAACCAAAGGGGCAAAGGGATAGTGGGAAGTGGGTAGGTGGCAAGAAGCCATGCCTGGGGACCAATTTCAGAGAAGAGCAGTGAGGCTCAGGGTTGCAGTCTGGCTCGTGGCAGCCTCAGGCCCAAGAGGGGACAGAGATGAAGGAAGCTTTAGAGCAAGGTTGTCTGCAGAGTCCTTCATACCAGTTCTCCACAGGGCATACATGGTGGTTCATCACAGCCATGGCATACCTGTGGGAACAGAACTGTCACCCTGGCAGCCTTCCCGAGCCCCACTCAACCCACCCCATGACCCTTCTCTTCAACCTTGATTTCTGGCCCCATTCAGCCTCATTATTGTTGCTGGGGACTCAAGTTGAGGTCCCTAAGGCTTGATGCCACACCAGCACCTGCAGCATGCCCCCAGCTACAGGCCCTCTGGAAATTGCCCTGGCTAGAAGTATATTTGTCAGGGCCACCCTGCTGGACAGCAGTGGTGCCAGCTTGTCCCAAGGGGCTGTGTGCCCAGGCACCAAGTCAGGCTTTTGAGACACCCAGAGTGACCCTGGGTACCACCGTGGCTATGACAGGACAAGAGACTTTGTGTGCGTCATCAAGCTCCTGTTGCCCCCCGGGCACCCCCCTTTACTCACACAGTCCATATGCCAGTGATGGAGAACGCTGACAGGCTGACAGGCAGGAGGATCCAGGCGGTCATGAGGGAGGGGAGCCAGGGTGGTGGTGGTGTTGGGGGGAGGACAAGAGGTAGATGGGGAAGTGGGGGCGGACCAGCTACCTTGAGATGTTTCTGCCACAACCATCAGCTGTCCTGGCCTGGTGGAGAGAGATCAAAGTCCAGGAGTGGGTAACTGGCCGGGAAGGGGGAGGGGAAGGGGGTCAACACCTTATCCAGCGCTCCCGTTGGGTCTCTGAGCGTCCAAAGTTTGGGCTGAGCCCACGGCAGAACGTGAACACCCTCTGGCACTGGGGGCCTCCGCGGTCAACCCAAATGCCACCGGCGTGCTGAGAGACGCAGGCGGACCGTAACATCTGGAAGGGAGTTACCCTCCTTCTGAGGGACCAGGGCTGGGAGAAGGGCTGGACAACCGAAGAGGCCACGCCAAGGAGAGGCTGGGTGCCGGCCCAGTGGAGCGGTGGCGAGTCGGCGGCGCGCAGGCAACCACCTGACCATCGGCGCCCTGGGCGAGGGGCGGGTTCACGCGGAAAGCCCAGCCCGGCCCGGCCCCCGCTCGCCTGGGCGCGGGGACCCCGGCTGGGGCCGGACCCTGCGGCCGGCGACCCCCCAGGACCCGGGACGCGAGAGTCCCCAGGTGATTCCTGGAAGCCCGGAGGAAGGGAAGGAGCCCAGTACGCACCTCCCCGGAGCGCCCCGCCGCCGCCGCACCCTGCTCGGCCCCCTCGTGGCGCCGACTCTAGCTGCGGCCCTCGGAGCAGCCCTGAAAGGTTTAAAGGGCCGAGCGGCCCCGCCCCTGGAGGCCCCAGGCCTCGCCGCGCCGCCCGCCGGGACGTGGAGTCCGCGCAGCCCCGGCCTCGGTGCCCGCGCCCTGCCCGAGACTACAACTCCCGAGCCCCCGCGCCCGCGTCACGGGGGAAACGTGGGCGGTGTCCCAACTTCGGAGGACCTGGGCGCGGAGGGCTGTGGCGTGAAGACCGCTCTAAAACCGAGATGACTAGAGGTTCCGTTTAACCGATTCCTGCCGGGGAAGCGTCAGCAGGTGGGGATCTCGGGGCAGCCTGCATTCCAGCTCTACCTGGGATTGTCGCCGTGCACATGGCTGGAGGAGCGTCTCTCCGCCACTGCGCACATTTTGCAGCCTGCACCGGCCAACGGTGAGTCCTCTAGGAAGCTCTCTCAACGTGGCGCCCCATGCCTGCCTCTGGCCAGGGCTGCGGTGGGTCCAGAGAAGCAGACACAAAGACTTGGCTGTTTCTTAAGAAATCCAAGCGCCTGGGATTTGGCTTATGGTTCCTGTGGCTCAGCAAACTCCGGAGGAGGGCTGCTTTCATTAGATACTTTTTGCTTTCCTGCATACAAGTACACAATGTACTAGCCAGAAATCAGTGTCCAAGACGTGTTTCCCGACTGATCAACACTTATTTGAAATAAGACGGCAGAGACCAGAGGACATCCATTCTAAATAGACACATGTAGGTGTCAGTGTAGAGTAGGTAAGGATTAACATGGCCAGTGTTGGTAAGCAAAGAGGGGAAGGTGAGAGACCCGGAGGAATCTGGGAAAAGGAAACAGGATAGTGTGGGAAAAATTACTGACCAGCTTCACCAAAAACTTACAGGCTATGAGTGCATTCCTGGATGTTTCTTTTTTTTTTACTTTTTCTTTTTCTTTTTTTTTTTTTTGAGACGGAGTCTCGCTCTGTCGCCCAGGCTGGAGTGCAGTGGCGCGATCTCGGCTCACTGTAAGCTCCGCCTCACGGGTTCACGCCATTCTCCTGCCTCAGCCTCCCGAGTAGCTGGGAACTACAGGCGCCCGCCACCTCACCCGGCTAATTTTTTTGTATTTTTAGTAGAGACGGGGTTTCACCATGTTAGCCAGGATGGTCTCGATCTCCTGACCTCGTGATCCGCCCGCCTCGGCCTCCCAAAGTGCTGGGATTACAGGCGTGGGCCACTGCGCCTGGCCCGGATGTTTCTTAAATTATTGCAAGGGTGGAAATACTTTCACATATCAGAAGTGTGCCTGGCATTCTGTCTCAAAGGCGGTCCCAGCATCTGTTGGAGCCCTTGTGAGATGACAGATCATCACCTGAATGGTGCACAGGCGCAGGTTGCCCAGCGTGGGGAGCTGAAGTTTGGCAACACTGGTGAGGCAAAGGCTATGTGAAACAACAGGGTCCTGTGCTTTAGAGAAGTAGAGCAGAATAAACTGCACAATGACTTGAAGAGGGAGAAACCTTCTTGGACCCAGTGGAAAGCAGAAATGGAAGCAGAAAACCTGTTGGAGAGCCCTTTTTCTTTTGAGACAGAGTTTCACTTGTTGCCCAGGCTGGAATGCAATGGTGCAATCTCGGCTCACTGTTACCTCTGCCTCCTGTGTTCAAGTGATTCTTGTGCCTCAGCCTCCCGAGTAGCTGGGATTACAGGTGCCTGCCACCATGCCCAGCTAATTTTTTTATATTTTTAGTAGAGACGGGGTTTCACCATGTTGGTCAGGCTGCTCTTGAACTCCTGACCTCAGGTGATCCGCTCGCCTTGGCCTCTCAAAGTGCTGGGATTACAGATGTGAACCACCGTGCCCAGCGGGAGAGCCCTGTCCTTAAACACATTAGGACAAGTAGTTAAAACAGGGCCAAGAAGTATGGCTGTGTAGTGATCACTGTACAAGCACACCTGGCTGAATAAACCAGTGGGGGATAAAATCCAGCTCACCTGCCGCTGGCTATGCTTTGTGCCTCAGGACAAGGGTGTGCTTCCTTGCTAATTGACAGGAACCATCTTCCTGCCCAACTGCATTCCCACTGCGTAGGCACCTTATCTGCCCAATGGGGCTGTGAACCCTAATTGGAAGCTTTGCAATTCTTAACACTATATCTTCTTGAGCTGGGTTTGAGTCCCTATCCAATCAAGATGAAGGCCTGAGAGGACTACTCAAGTTCTAACATGATGTGGGGGCAAGGCATAGTAGTCCAGATCCGGGACATGAGGCAGCTTTTGGCTTAGTATGACAATCTAATAGTTCCTAAAATAGAATTATCCCAGGATGGAGCTCCGTATGACAGAAGGGCTCTTCATAGGTAGTTGGTAGGGGGAATTGTGTATCATGTAAGAAGTAGGACCAGATGTCTTTAAAAAGACCTTCCAACTCTAATGCTACATGAGTCTGTCTAGTTGTTATGTTCCAACAGGGACAGCTCTTAAAATAGTGTGGCAAAGCAAGAGATGAGATTTCCAGTGCTGACTCGGTGGTGGAATGACTTTAGGGCAGGTATTTAACCTCCACTTCCCCAAGTACACAAGTTATTTCACAACTCTTGGCAAAAACAGTGCTGTAAAAATCGTAAGTTTATTTGTTAAAAAAAATACTGTATTTGAAAAGTACCTTCCTTCTGGGATTTTCAAATAATTTGTACACTACATTTTATTCATCTACACATTGGAAATGAGTAAACTGGTGAACATATAGCTTTTTATACATTTAACACAACCAGTGCAAATTCTCCTGCCTCTGAGAAGGCAGAGAAGCCCTTTACTCAGAAGGTCTTCAATTCTAGCATTACTCCAACTCCTAGGGAAATTTCGGGTGGGTGCCTATGGCTGTATGACCATCTGATTCCTCAGGGACAGGACAGGAATTCAGCAAGGGAGCTTAAAATATTTTAAGTAATTGTCAACATTCCATGGTGACTCTCCCCAAAAATCTAGTGGTAGGAAAATAATCTGTACTTATTCCTCTTTCTGCACACAAAGCCCTCATTTAAATTTGTGAGCCTGCTTGGGATCCATTACCTAGCCATTCAGAGATCCTGTCAAATGCACAGCAGATTGGATACTCACCATCCCAAAGGGGTTCCTCCCACCTGGATGGGGCCAATCTCTAGTTGACAGTGCCCCTCAGAGTGCACCATGGAGATGGAATGTCCCTTCCAGAGAGACTTTTACACAGGGAAAAGCATTTGTTGGCTGGGCTCCAACTCTCATTTGGTACAAAAAGCTTTACATTCTTTTCCCTTTTTACATTACATTCTTCAAAGACTTCCGTGCTTGCCAGCTGGATAACAACTCAAGCTCTAGTGTTTACTCTTGCACAGCCCCAAACCCTTGGAAACTCAGCTTCGTTCTATCAGTGACATCACCCATTGTGGCCGAGGAACCACAAAACCTTAAAATACAGGCTTAAATTCAGCAAGCGAAGAACATTCCATATTGAATGGGCATGAGATATGCCTATCAGATTGTGTGTGTGTGCGCGTTTTTTAAAGACAGCCAATTACATCGTATCTAGTCAAATGAGCGGATTCTAAAGCAGCCTGCTGGGATGTTCCACTTAGTCTAATGCTGTTGCCACTGTACGCCACAGCACCGGACAGTGTTCTTTGGGACATCTCTGGGAAATGCTCTGGAACATGCTCCTTGATGGAAAACACTAATTTTTGAAAGAAGTAGATGTCTGGAGGCAGGTCTGGTGAATAAACTGAATAGTACTGCCTTGGACCCCAGCTGAGGGGTGGCAGTAAGCAATGAGGATGGGCTATAAAGCTGTTAACTGGCTAAGGGCCATCCTTGGGCAGGCATTTCAGACACATCTGTAGAGAGGGCAGTAGCATCTCCGATAGGCCAGCTCTGAAGGAAGCTTAATGCTTAATACAGTCACACTGCATAAATTAGCTTAGAATGCTCTCTTGGGTAAAAAATATTAATAGTGTATATGCACTTGAAAAGCAAAATTCCTCAAGAAAAAAAGTTTAATAGCAAGGAGTTTCCATCAGTCCCGGTCTTTGTGAGGATTACCACAACAAACACTTAAAAGGATACAACAGGTACTTATTAAATGCTGCCTTGCCTTTTACCTCTTCCTTTTTTTTTTTTTTTTGAGATGGAGTCTCGCTCTGCTGCCCAGCCTGAAGTGCAGTGGTGTGATCTCGGCTCACTGCAACCTCCGCCTTCCAGGTTTAGGTGATTCTCTTGCCTCGGCCTCCCGAGTAGCTGGGATGGACTACAGGCACATGTCACCATGCCCAGCTAATTTTTTGTATTTTTAGTAGAGACGGGGTTTCTGTGTTAGCCAGGACGGTCTGGATCTCCTGATTTCATGATCCGCCCGCCTCGGCCTCCCTACCTCTTCCTTTACTTAATAAGAATGCGGTCTAAATTTTCAGGTGCCAAGCCCCCAAACTCCTCTTCTAGCCTTCTGAATTGTGTAATAAAACCAGGAAACAGGTGATCCAGCTGTGCGAAAACAGACCTCAAATGTATTTCCAGACTAAAAAGCCAGACTTGCAGTGAAATCCTATGTTCCAAGTCATCAGATCAGTTTAAGGACTAGAAGACTAGAATGACTGACTGGTTCTCTGACCAGGAAGAACAGGGGTGGAGTTTGGGAGAGCCTTCTTGACCCAGGAGGCTTTGGAGGGTAGTTAACATTAGAAGTCAAAAGGCACTTCTAGCCCAGCTGCCTAAGTAGAGGACAAAGACTTTCTCCTTTCAAAGGAGAACTGAGCCCAGGATTGGTAAGTTTAAGGCACTTAACCTTGACCAGCTCTGTAGGTCTGGAGCATTCTGGTCCCTGGCCGCTTTCACCACCAGGCCCTTCTCACTTATCCACCTCACTTACTGCCCCAGCATTCCTTTGGCATTGCGAGCTGTGACTTGACACATTTTAATGACAAGATTGAAGTAGCTACCTTGCAGGATAGATTTTCTGGGGTATAGGGGACAAACCAACAGTGCCATCAGGTGTCTTAACACCCGGATGTGGAGAAACCCCTGGGGCAAGGGCCTATGGTTTCAGGAAATCTCAGTTCTCAAAGGCTTAAAGCCATATTTCAAGGCACTGAGGTTAGGCTGATATGCTGGAAAACAAGTGCCTTGGAACTTCCGTACTGGAGGGGGAGGATGTCTTGTGGAATTCAGACGTAAGCCTAACCCTGCATTAGAAAAAATGTTCACCGGGTTAGAGCAGTGGTATTCCTGGGGATCTTTATGCTAAGGATCTGAGTTACATACTCCTGGGAGGTAGGAGAGAAGGCCTCATTTCATTCCCTCTGGCGTGCTGTCAATCAGGCAATTATTGCTAATATTGACTTTCCCTTTGTAGGTATGTTCAGAACTGTTAAGTCACAACTGGAGAGTAAGTTCCCACTTGTTTATAATTCCCTTTTAGTCTGAGCAGAGGACAGTCTGTTCACGGCTAGGAATCAAGTTGAAAGTTGGAATTCTGTAGCCCTGGCCGAGGCAGGTTTTGCTGTAAGAAATCTTTTCAGTTTAGCACCAACATCTTCCTAGGTTTCCTGTCTAGACAGTGCAAAGCAGTGGAACATGCGAGAAACGAAAAAGCCATGGAAAGGGAGGGAGACATGCTTGCAAATAGGCCTCAAAAATGGAGGTCTCCCACTTTATTGGTATCAGAATTACTTGGAGAGTTTTTTAGAAGGGTAGATCCCCAGGCCCCGCCCCCACCTCCAAAGTCCTGAGCAGCTGGAGGTACACAGTCATTTGGAGGGGGAGGAAAACTGATGGATTCTACCTGAGGCAAAAAGATGAGGGAAAGGAACAAAGAAAAAGGGCTGAAAAAAGGTCTATAAACACATGGGTGGAAATGAGCAAAAGCACAGAAGAAACATAAAATAACAAACGTGGCTCATGGAGCTGAGTGGAACAGCAGCAGCCAGGCATATGACCTCGGTGAGAAAGCACCATGTTGCACGAGGCTTCATAAATTCTGGTTCTCCCTGGAGTCTCTGCTTCTAGAACACATTAGCCACACAAAATCCTCAAAAAAAAAAAAAAAAAAAAAAAAAAAAGAATTCCAGAATATCAGGCTGGGCAAATGGGTCAACATATAAGAAAGAATGACTGCAAGGCAGGCCAGGTGTAGTCCTGCAACACCC
The DNA here is from genome assembly GCF_000001405.40 of Homo sapiens. Classification (NCBI taxonomy): domain Eukaryota; kingdom Metazoa; phylum Chordata; class Mammalia; order Primates; family Hominidae; genus Homo; species Homo sapiens. The sequence goes on from NC_000002.12 coordinate 85,608,817, forward strand.
TATGGATGCAGCAGCTCTGGGGGTCTCAAGATCAGACAAACTGGTCCTGGTACCCCCACACTAAATTCCCTGGGCAGAATTCTTCCGAGTGCAGTGAATCCAGCCTGGAGAGAACGCCTTCAACATGGTCAGTGTTGGCTCTGGCGCTTTGCAATCTCCTCCTGGATACGCAACTTGAGGGCTTCTCGCATGGGTGGATCCAGAGGCGTGTGTGCCGACACCTTCTCACTCACCTTTCCTGGGTCATCACCCTACGTGGAGGAAGAGTCAGAAGGCTCAGGGCCTGGCCTCTTCCAGAAAGGTGACCTGCCCTGTCCCTAAACACTCTCACAGAACTCCATTTAGCTCAAGGCTTTTTGCCAGCACCTGTCATTTCCTATGTGTCTCCTGTAATAGTGATTCTCCACTGGGGGCCAAGAGCCCTCCCTGTTCCCCTACTGAGAATCACTGTGAGATGGGAGTGAGTTGTGCTCAAAAGCACTGCCCGGCAGGCCTAGACTCACATGTGGAGCAGACGCTTCCCATTGGGGGTCCTGAGGAAAACAGGGCTCAGGGTCTGACAATGATTACTACCATGGCCCAGGACCTTCAGGCTGCAGCTGTTTCCACCAGGCGTACCTGATAGACGATAACTGATGTGACCTCTCCACTGTCTGCCTCGTATTCTAAGCAGAAGAGCTGATGGCCAGAAGGCTCCAGCTCAGAGCCTCCACTACTGCTGCTTTCACCGGACTCTTCATAGTCTGGGTTGCGTGGGTGGGCAGAGACATCTGGAAGGATGAACCACAGTAAGAAAGAAGAGGGGGGGTGCTGCTGAAGGCCCTGTCCATAGAGATGCTGCAGGAAAATATACGGTTAGGAAAGCCCCAGTCTTCTTTTTTTTGAGACGAAGTCTCACTCTGTCGCCCAGGCTGGAGTGCAGTGGTGCAATCTCGGCTCACTGCAACTTCCGCTCCCAGGTTCAAGCGATTCTCCTGCCTCAGCCTCCCGAGTAGCTGGGATTACAGGCAAGTGCCACCACATCCAGCTAATTTTCATATTTTTAGTAGAGATGGGGTTTTACCATGTTGGCCAGGCTGGTCTCAAACTCCTGACCTCAGGTGATCCACCCACCTTGGCCTCCCAAAGTGCTGGGATTACAGGCGTGAGCCACTGCACCCAGCTGCCCCAATCTTCTTATGGGTCCAGTGTAAGTGGTTTTTTTTTTTTTTTTTTTGAGACGGAGTCTTGCTCTGTTGCCCAGGCTGGAGTGCAGTGGCTAAATCTCGGCTCACCGCAACCTCTGCCTCCCAGGTTCAAGCAATTCTCCTTCCTCAGCCTCCCAAGTAGCTGGGATTACAGCCGCCTGCCATCATGCCTGGCTAATTTTTGTATTTTTAGTAGAGATGGGGTTTCACCATGTTGTCCAGGTTAATTTCGAACTCCTGGCCTCAAGGGATCCGCCCACCTCGGCCTCCCAAACTGCTAGGATCACAGGCATGAATCACCGCGCCCGGACCAGTGTAAGCATTTGGTGTGCTGCCAATCAAGGACTTATTTACCTTTGCATCCCTGCTCTGAGGCCAGCACAATCCTGTCACACAGTAGGTACACAATGCACATTTGTCTAGCAAAAAGTACTGGAAAGCAGAAGGGTGGATAGAGCTCTGCCTGGGTTCAAATCCAGGCTCTGCCATTTACTAGCTGAGATCTTGGGCAAGTTGTTTAACCTCTCTGTGCCTGTTTCCTGACTGTGAAACAGACAGAAGCTTTCTTATGAGGTTGTATAAAGACTCAATGAATTAATATACGTAAGATCTAAAAGCACTTTCACTAATGCCTAACAAAGGTAGTGGCACACACCTATAATCCCAGCACTTTGGGAGGCCGATGCGGGCAGATCACCTGAGCTCAGGAGTTCGAGATCAGCCTGGACAACGTGGAGAAACCCCTTCTCTCTCTCTCTTTTTTTTTTTTTTTTGAGACCGAGTCTTGCTGTGTTGCCCAGGCTGGAGTGCAGTGGCGCGATCTCGGCTCACTGCAAGCTCCGCCTCCCGGGTTCACGCCATTCTCCTGCCTCAGCCTCCCGAGTAGCTGGGACTACAGGCGCCCACCACCACGCCCGGCTAATTTTTTGTATTTTTAGTAGAGACGGGGGTTTCACCATGTTAGCCAGGATGGTCTCGATCTCCTGACCTCGTGATCCGCCCGCCTCGGCCTCCCAAAGTGCTGGGATTACAGGCGAGAGCCACCGCGCCCAGCCGGGGAAACCCCTTCTCTACAAGAAATACCAAAATTAACCGGTGTGGTGGCACACGCCTGTGGTCCCAGGTACTCGGGAGGCTAAGGCTGCAGTAAGCCCAGATCGCACCATTGCACTCCAGCCTGGGCGACAGAGACCTAGTCTCAAAAATAAAATAAAAACATTTTAAAAAAAGTAATAATGCTTAACAAAAATTGACCGTCATATATTAACCAGTGTGATCTCTAGGTAGCAGAGAAGCTGGGGAAAGGCCATTTACTGGGTTCATTCCGCAATTATGTGCTGGTCGCTCATCGCTGTGCCAGACTTTCTCTTTGCTAGGTAGCGGAGCACCTTACTAAAATACAGCACGGTGGGGCAAACCGGCAGATAAACTTCTTGCTGGCTCCCCGATACTCTGACAGCGATGCTTAACTGGGGGCTTATGAGTCGTCCCAGTTCTTGGTGAGAATCATTCAGCGGAGATTTGGGAGCGCTGAGGTGGAGGTTCCGGAAAGAGACGAGATGAGCTGAACCTTAGGAGTAAGAAGTGGTTTTTCCCTATAGAGAAGGGGAGTGCGTTGCAGGAAGAGCGCGCGGGCTGGAGGCAGGCGGGGCGGGCGGCCTCACCTCGGTGTCGCGGCAGGTACACCTGCAGGTCTGGCTTGCGGGGCCGCGTCGGCGCGGGCGTGTGCCGCCTCCTCACCTTCTCCTTGGCCGCCTGCTTCACCTTCTTGTCATAGTCGTCCCTGCGGGGAGCCGAGCGGGAGTCAGGGACTGTCGGGCCGGGCCAGGCCAGGCCAGGAGTGGTGGCGGCGGCGGCGCAGGGCGGGGCGGTACCGAGCGATCTGGTTCCGTCGGATATGGTGCACGAAGCCGTGGTTCATGTCCAGCCGCCCCCCAGGCTTGCAGCAGTGCCCCGGCCGGGGATGCGGCCCCGCCTCCATCAGGAGCCGGGGACGCAGAGTCGCCGCCGCCTCGACGGCCCCAACAACAGCCACCCGCCCACAGAGCTCCGCGCCGCCCCTTGCTCAGCTTCCGGCCCCGCATCCTGACTTCCGGTCTGGGAGGCCCCGGCCTGGCCAAGCGATGCAGCGCACGGAGTTTTCGGGTCTGGTCGGGTCGGGTGGAGTAGGGTATGCTTGACTTCCACCCCCCGGACGGAGGGCTTTTGTTTTTGTTTTTTTTTGTTTGTTTTTTCGTAACATATCAATAGGAAACAAGGACTTCGGCTTACAGCTGATACCAGAACCTTCAGAAAAATGCAAATCATCTATAACACAACTCGATGCTTACGGCGGTGCCTTCCCATCTTTTTTCTGGTAATAGGATGCTGTGCAATCCATCGCCATCTGCGTGACTTTGGCTGACTGTGTAACGCTGCCACTTCTCAGTTTCCTCATTAGTAAATGGGAACACCTAGAGCACCTACCTCAAATGGATTGTGAGGCCTTGAAGTGCTCAGGCAGGGCAACAGCGGCGCCCAGGCCGCAGGCGCCGCGAAGGCTCTCCTGGCCCGGCTTGCCTCCTGCTCACGGCGCCGATGGCTTAACTGTCCCCGCGGGAGGACCCAGGGTTTTTGAGGGACCTACGGGTGTATTATTTTCTTTTTTATTTATTTTTCCTTTTTTTTTTCTTTTTGAGAAGGAGTCTCACTCTGTCGCTCAGGCTGGAGTGCATTGGCGTGATTTCGGCTCACTGCAACCTCCGCCTCCCGGGTTCAAGCGATTCTCCTGCCTCAGCCTCCCGAGTAGCTGGGACTACATGCGCGTGCCACCACGCCCGGCTAAGTTTTGTATTTTTGGTAGAGATAAGGTTTCACCACGTTGGCCAGGCTGGTCTCGAACTCCTGACCTCAGGTGATCCGCCTGCCTCGGCCTCCCAAAGTGTTGGGATTGCAGGCATGAGCCACCGTGCCCGGCCCCTTTTTTTTTTTTTTCTATTTTTTCTGACCACTGGGTTCACGTCACAGCGTGTAAAATTCTCAAGTCCTTTTACAAAAGTCAAAATCAGGAATTCATGATTAGGACAGGGACAAACGGCTGGATGCAGTGGCTCATGTCTGTAATTCCAAAACTTTGGGATGCCGAAGTGGGAGTATCGCTGGAGGGAGGAATTTGAGACCAGCCTGGGCAACACAGCGAGACATCGTCTCTACAAGAAAAAAATACATTAAAAAAGAAAGAAAGAGCCGGGCGTGGTGGCTCACGCCTGTAATCCCAGCACTTTGGGAGGCCCAGGCGGGCAGATCAAGAGGTCAGGAGTTCGAGACTAGCCTGGCCAAAATGGTGAAACCCCGTCTCTACTAAAAAAAAATACAAAAAATTAGCTGGGCTTGATGGCCGGTGCTTGTAATCCCAGCTACTTGGGAGGCTGAGGCAGGAGAATCGCTTGAACCCGGGAGGCGGAGGTTGCAGTCAGCCGAGATCGAGCCACTGCAGTCCAACCTCCAAATCAAAAAACAAAAAACAAAAACAAAAAACAGGGACCAATGGTGGTCCAGCCACACGATGGAATATTACTGAGCAATCCAAAGGAAGATCTGTAGCTCAACAACATGGATGGATCATAAAATAAATATGCCCAGTGAAAGAGGCCAGGGACTCTGTATGATTCCATTTATATGAGACTCTAGGAAGTGCAAACTAATCTATAGTGACCGAGAGATCAGTTGATTTTTGTGGGGGTTCTCTGGGAGGAAGAGGATATCTTTGGGGCTGGGTAGATTCTTTAAATTTTTTTTTATTTTTTTATTTTTTTGAGGCAGGATCTCACTGTCGCATAGGTTGGATTGTAGTGGTGCAATCACTGCTCACTGCAGCCTCCACCTCTCAGGCCCAAACGATCCTCCTGCCTCAGCCTCCTGAATAGCATGCCACCATGCCCAGCTAATTTTAAAATTTTTTTGTGGAGATGGGGGGGGTCTCTCTATGTTGCCAAGGCTAGTCTTGAACTCCTGACCTCAAGTGATCCTCCTGCCTCAGGCCTCCCAAAGTGCTGGGATTATAAGTGTGAGCCACCGTACTGGGCCCAGATCCCGTCTCTTGATTGTGGTGATGGCTTCATGGGTGTATATGTTACAGGAAAGGGATCCCTATTCAGACCCCAGCAGAGGGTTCTTGGATCTTGTGCAAGAAAGAATTCAGGGTGAGTCCACAGTGCAAAGTAAAAGCAAGTTTATTAAGAAAGTAAAGTAGCCAGGTGTCGCGGCTTATGCCTGTAATCCCTGCACTTTGGAAGGGGAGGCGGGCGGATCACTTGAGGTCAGCACTTCCATACCAGCCTGGCCAACATGGTGAAACTCTGTGCCTACTAAAAATACAAAAATTAGCCGGGCATGGTGGCAGGTGCATGTAATCCCAGCTACTCAGGAGTCTGAGGCAGGATAATCACTTGAACCCAGGAGGCAGAAGTTGCAGTGAGCCGAGATCTCACCAATGCACTCCAACCTGGGTGACAGAGCAAGACTCTGTATCAAAAAAATAAAATGTAAAGTAGTGAAAGTACAGCTACTCCATTGACAGAATAGGGCGTTCCTGAAAGTAAAAGGAGGAACGCATCCACCATGGCTACAATGCTTGTTTATATATAGGATAAAAAGATCATGGGGAGATGTGCTCTGCTACAAGGGTTTGTGATAAAGGATTAATTTTATTATTATATTTTGCAAGAAGAAATATTATCTTTAAAGCAAAATTAGGAATGCCTTTATTCTCCAGATATTGGGATATTAGGACACTCCCAAGTCTGGATCTGTTTAGTAAACATTATCTCTCTGTTCCCTTAACTGTAGACATCTCTAGGCTAGGAATACCTAACTTCCTGGGAATGCAGCCTGTCAAGGCCCAGCCTCATTTTCCTAACCCTCACTCAAGATGGAGTTGGTCTGGTTGAAACGCCTCTGACATATACCGCAAGTCAGAATTCAGTAAATTGCACACAGTGTGGTGTGGTGTGGTGTGGTGTGGTGTGGTGTGGTGTGGTGTGGTGTGGTGTGGGTATGACAGAGTTTCACTCTGGTTGCCCAGGCTGGAGTGCAATGGGGCGATCTCGGCTCATTGCAACCTCCGCCTCCCGGGTTCAAGCGATTCTCCTGCCTCAGCCTCCTAAGTAGCTGGGTTAACAGGCTCGTGCCACCACGCCCGGCTAATTTTTGTATTTTTAGTAGAGATGGGGTTTCACCATATTGGCCAGGCTGGTCTCCAGTCCTGACCTCAGGTGATCCGCCCGCCTTGGCCTCCCAAAGTGCTGGTATTATAGGCATGAGCCACAGCGCCTGGCCTAAATTGCACACTTTAAACATGTAGTTTGTTGTATGTCAATTATACCTCAATGGAACGGTTCAAACAAGCAAACAAGTTCAAGGCAGGTCCTGAGGTTAGAGCTTTATTAGCTTCATGGTAAATCTGCCTTTACCGGGCATTTGCGTTTTCATGGTACCAAGAACCTTCTAAAAGTAGAATTAGGGCTGTCAAGGGGATGATTTGGGAATGTCGCCTAGTTTTCCTGTGCAGGATTGTCAGCCCCCAAGCCGCGGAGACTGTGGGAAACGACCTCACGGTGGTGGTTTCGAGGCACAAATCTGGGGCCGAATGACAGCTTCTTTGTTTTTGAGACGGAGTTTCGCTCGTTGCCCAGGCTGGAGTGCAATGGCGCGATCTCGGCTCACCGCAACCTCCGCCTCCTGGGTTCAAGCGATTCTCCTGCCTTAGCCTCCCGAGTAGCTGGGATTACAGGCATGCGCCACAATGCCGGGCTAATTTTGTATTTTTAGTAGAGACGGGGTTTCTCCATGTTGGTCAGGTTGGTCTCGAACTCCCGACCTCAGGTGATCCACCCGCCTCGGCCTCCCAAAGTGCTGGGATTACAGGCGTAAGCCACCGCGCCCGGCCTGACAGCTTTTATCCAGAAAACTGTCGCCAGTAAAGGTTCCCGTCTCAGTAAACTGTAAACGACAGTAGGCCCACAGAAGGTTCTAAGGGGAGAGGAAGCCAGTGCAGGAACAGCACCGCCCACAAATTTTCTGCAGCGTGATTTGTCCCCAGTGGCGACTCGTAGAGAGTTCGGGGCTCGCTACCAGCCCCTCTCCTGATTGGCCTTGTGCCGCGCGCTCGAGCGTGCTTGGCGCCTGCGCTGGACGACTCGGCCGGTAGTGGAGATGTCCGGCCGGTCTAAGCGGGAGTCTCGCGGTTCCACTCGCGGGAAGCGAGAGTCTGAGTCGCGGGGCAGCTCCGGTCGCGTCAAGCGGGAGCGAGATCGGGAGCGGGAGCCTGAGGCGGCGAGCTCCCGGGGCAGCCCTGTGCGCGTGAAGCGGGAGTTCGAGCCGGCGAGCGCGCGCGAGGCCCCGGCTTCTGTTGTCCCGTTTGTGCGGGTGAAGCGGGAGCGCGAGGTCGATGAGGACTCGGAGCCTGAGCGGGAGGTGCGAGGTGCGCGGGGCCGGGCCGGGCTAGGCGCGAGAGCCTGTTTTTTTCGCGTCCTTTTTTCTTGTCTCTAATCTTCCGCTAGGTCACTGCGCCGGAGTTGGGGGAGGGGTGGGGTTGGGGTGGAGAAGAGGAGGGATCCAGACTCGACGATTCTGCTGTTCGACTTGTTCTGATGAAGACAGTACCCTTCTCAATAATCGTATAGTATTTCTTTTTTCTTTTTTTTTTTTTTTTTGAGATGGAGTCTCATTCTGTCACCCAGGATGGAGTGCAGTGGCGCGATCTCGGCTCACTGCAACCTCTGCCTCCCCGGTTCAAACGATTCTCCTACCTCCGCCTCCCAGGTAGCTGGGATTACAGGCGCCCACCACCGCTCCCGCCACCACGCCCGGCTAATTTTTTGTGTTTTTAGTAGAGAAGGGGGTTTCATCGTGTTAGCCAGGATGGTCTCGATCTCCTGACTTCGTGATCCGCCCGCCTCGGCCTCCCAAAGTGCTGGGATTACAGGCGTGAACCACCGTGCCCGGCCAAACGTATGGTATTTCTAACTGCAAAAATCGTAACAACAGCAGCTTCCCTTTATCGAATGCCCGATGTGGGGGCTCAGTGCTGATTTTACAAGTGTTACTTCCTTCCATTTTAAAAAAGAATTTTTTTTTTTTTTTTTGCGTTTTAAGAGAAGCAAGTCTCGCTATGTTGCCTAGGCTGGTCTCGAACTCCTGGACTCAAGTGTTCCACTCACCTCGGCCTCCCAAAGTGCTGGGTTTACAGGCGTGAGCCACCGTGCACGGCTTTCCTTCAGTTTTTACATCTAAGGTCTTGTAATTTCTGTAATCAAGATATTCAGAATGCTTGAGCAATAGGCACCTCTACTAAAGTATGGATTATGTAGCACTTTTTAAGCTGAATAAAGTCTGGAGACAATTTTCCATTAGTCTCTTGAGTTTGTGCACGTACTGCGACCATTGCCTGACTGCCTTTTCTCCTGGACTCTCGTTAAGGATGTTCGTGTAGTGAGCAGCCTTGGAAGATAGAAATGGTGTCTCCCTACAAAACGAGGAGACAAGGGCACAATCCCTTATAAAAGATTTGGGGCAGGGTGTGGTGGCTCACACCTGTAATCGCAGCTACTCTATAGGATGAGGTAGAGTTCAAGACTAGGATAGGCAACAGAGCGAGACCTCGTTTGAAAAAATGGTTAATGGTTCAGATTCTCTAAGCACGGGGTTCGTCTCCTGTAAGGCAGCTCACTGTGTGCATGGGTTCTCCTCACTTTGCCTTGTGGGAATTCACTTGGAAAACTGACACCAATGCTATATTCCGGCTACTGTCATTGCTCTAATAAACTGTCCTTTATTTCAGGCCAGGTAGTCACATGCTTTCCATCAGCATTCATAAAACTGTGACAGGCTAACTTGTTAGCTTGCGAGTAGGGTAAGATCTGAGACCCACTCAAGTTTTTGACAAGTGGTAGATTTATAGATACACATGTACATTCTTTTTTTTTTTTTTGAGACAGTTTCACTCTTGTTGTCCAGGCTGGAGTGCAATGGCACGATCTCAGCTCACTGCAACCTCTGCCTCCCAGGTTCAAGCAATTCTCCTGTCTCAGCCTCCCAAGTAGGCTGGGATTACACGTGCATGCCACCATGCCCGGCTAATTTTTGTATTTTTTAGTAGAGATGGGGTTTTATTATATTGGTCAGGCTGGCCTTGAACTCCTGACCTCAGGTGAGCCGCCTGCCTCTGCCTCCCAGAGTGCTGGGATTACAGGCATGAGCCACTCACCCAGCCACTCTTTAAACTACGTAGTACATTTGTGGCCGGGCGCAGTGGCTCACGCCTGTAATCCCAGCACTTTGGGAGGCCAAGGAGGGTGGATCGCAAGGTCAGGAGTTCGAGACCAGCCTGGCCAACATGGTGAAACCCCGTCTCTTCTAAAAGTATGAAAATTAGCTGGGTGTGGTGGCTTGTGCCTGTAGTCCCAGCTACTCGGGAGGCTGAGGCAGGAGAATTGCTTGAATCCGGGAGGCGGAGGTTGCTGTGAGCTGAGATCGCGCCATTGCACTCCAGCCTGGGGGACAGAGCGAGACTCCGTCTCAAAAAAAAAAAAACAAAAAAAAAACGAAACACACAACTATATGGTACATTTGTATTACAATTAGTTTATTTTAGTGCTTGTGACATATTTCATATTTTTCATGCTTTATGGGATTTCTTTATGTAAAATGCAAACAAATCTTCTGTTGATTTTATGTATACCAAATATATTCTCCCAGTTTGTGGCTTGTTCTATTAGTGGGCTTTTTTCTTTTCTTTTTTTTTTGAGAGGGAGTTTTGCTCTTGTCGCCCAGGCTGGAGTGCAGCGGTACGATCTCTGCTCACTGCAACCGCCTTCTCCCAGGTTCAAGCAATTATCCTGCCTCAACTTCCTGAATAGCTGGGATTACAGGCACCCACCACCATGCCTGGCTAATTTTTGTGTTTTTTGTAGAGACGGGGTTTCACCATAGTTGGCCAGGCTGGTCTTGAACTCCTGACCTCAGGTGATCCACCCATCTCGGTTTCCCAAAGTGCTGGGATTATAGGCATGAGCTACCGCGCCCGGCTAGTGGACTTTTTTTTCGATATTGTTGCCACCCAAACAATAGGAACTCATCTTGATTAGTTTTTCCCATTTCTGTTTCTTTTTTTGTTCTGTTAGTTGGCCCTGAGTATAGGTTTCCCATTTTCAAAGCCTGTGATGATTTTCCTTTCAGCAAAGAATGGCCGAGTGGATTCTGAGGACCGGAGGAGCCGCCACTGCCCGTACCTGGACACCATTAACAGGTCAGTAGGACAGAGATGCTGAGTATAGCACAAGAACAATGGAATCTGTGCAGAAAGTTTTTGGACTGTACAGTGAACAACACATTGACAAACTTTACTTTTTTTGAACCTGTCTAGAGAGTTGTGCTTCTTGCCATGTTACTCCTTATTCTTTGATTTAAAGTGTCAGAACACATGTTGTTAAAGAGCTTATTTTGCATTTGTATGTTGGGATAACAGGATGCATAGTATCCTAAAATAACAGTAGCACATTGAAATGTTTATGGAGTATCTAGTATGTGCTGGATACTATTTTGGGTGCCTGGGATTCAGCAGAAAAAAAACACAGAAATTTGTTTGAAAGCTGAGGTAGTTTACCTCATCATAGCATTCTTTTCTCTGATTCCCAGGTGGCATGTAGAATGTTTTTCAACCTATATTGTAGGGGAATGTTTTACAATAATATAATTACTCTTGTAAGAGCTGGGTGTGGTGGCCCACGCCTTTACTCAGCCCTTTGGCAGGCCAAGGCAGGAGGATCCCTTGAGGCCAGAAATTTGAGACCAGCCTGGTCAACATAATGAGACCCATCTTTTTTTTTTTGAGATGGAGTTTCATTTTTGTCCCCCAGGCTGGAGTGCAATGGCGCGATCTTGGCTTACTGCAACCTTCGCCTTCCAGGTTCAAGTGATTATCCTGCCTCAGCTTCCTGAGTAGCTGGGATTACAGGTGCCCGCCACCACGCCCAGCTAATTTTTGTATTTTTTTTAGAAGAGACGGGGTTTCATCATGTTGGCCAGGCTGACCTCAAACTCCTGAACTCAGGAGATCCACCTGCCTTGGCCTCCCAAAGTGCTGGGATTACAGGCATGAGCCACCACGCCCAGCCAACGAGACCCATCTTTTAAAAAAACTTAAAAAAAAAGTTATGGCCGGGTGCTCTGGCTCATGCCTGTAATCCCAGCACTTTGGGAGGCTGAGGCAGGCAGATTGCTTGAGCTCAGGAGTTTGAGCATCCTGGGCAGCATGGCAAAACTTCAGCTCTACAAAAAATAAAAAAATTAGCCAGGTGTGGTGGTGCACTCCTGTAGTCCCAGCTTCTTGGGGGGCTGAAGCAGGAGGATTGCTTGAACCTAGGAGGTTGAGGCTGCAGTGAGCTGAGATTGCGCCACTGTACTCCAGCCTGGATGACAAAGTGAGACCCTATCTCAAAAAAAAAAAACCAAAAAAGTTATAAGGGCTGTTCATTATGGTAGGCATGAGCCACCTGTGGCTTCAGTGGCTCCTGCAGTTGAAGAACTGAATTTTAAATTTTATTTAATTGAATTACAGTCAGCCTCAGTATCAGGATATGGAACCTGAAGGTACAAAGGGCCAGCTGTAAGGGGCTTGAACATTGTGGATTTTGGTATTTGAAGGGGTCCTAGAACCAGTGTCCTGTGGCTACTGAGGGACAGCTGTATTTTAAATTTAATTGTCAATAGCCACTTTGTCTAGTGGCCTCTAATAAATTAGACAGCATAGCTCTTTGGGATTATTATCGGTTAATTAAGAGTTACTATTTGAGAATAAATCTCTTTGTGGATTCAGTGGAGATAAGGTTTTTGTTCCTTACTGCCAGTACTCACTTTGCACTTGAATAAATAGGTCTGTTTATAGGTATTCTGAAATTCTTCAGGCTATTTGTTTTTATGGATAAAAATACATTTTTATTTTGTAATTAATTATTATTATTATTTGTTTTTAAGAGAGGATCCCACTCTGTATCCCAGTCTGGAGTGCAGTGGTGGATCAGAGCTCATTAGTCACAAACTCCTGGGCTTAAGTGATATGTTTTTCTTTTATGCAAGGATTTATTCACCCTTTTTATGTCCTCTCCACCTCCAGAATGCTGCTGGGGTACTGTTACCTTAGTCTAACTTGTAGCTTTCTCTCTAGAGAAAGTGACTGCAATGGAAAGTCCTGAACTGGTTACAAACACTAATGAGAAAGAGGCTCGTGGGTATTATGTGTCTGGTGGAGACACCTCAACAGTGCTTTGGAGCATGGCGGGTGGAGGTGAGGAATAATCAGTGTCCCCCATGGTGTATATATGGTTGTGAACTGTTTTCTGAAGGATGTTATGTGGTATCATGGGTCACAGAGCCAGCACTGCTTCATTTGCGTGCCTTCCTACATGTCCATCCTATTTATTTTTTTCTGTTTTGTTTCCTTAGGAGTGTGCTGGACTTTGACTTTGAGAAACTGTGTTCTATCTCCCTCTCACACATCAATGCTTATGCCTGTCTGGTGTGTGGCAAGTACTTTCAAGGTAAATAAGTTGTTAGAGCTAACTGCAGATCTGCTCCAGAGGGACTTTTTTTTTTTTTTTAAAGAAAGTAAGCTGTTCTCAGGAATCATATCTAATAATTTCTATTTGTTCCCAGGAAATTGAAATATTCTTAGAAAACCAATAAGAGGTTCTCTGACTGGTCAGAACCTGGATATGTCTGTAAGGGAGAAAGAGCTAGTCATATGAAAGACTGTAATCTTAAAGACTCTGGGTTCTCGAATCTCTAATATATGTATTTTTTTAATTTTTACTTTTTTAAAATTATTTTGAGACAGTGTTGCCCAGGTTGGCTCACTGCAACCTCCGCCTCCTGGGTTCAAGCAATTGTCCTGCCTCAGCCTCCAGAGTAGCTGAGATTACAGGCGCCTGCCACCATGCCTGGCTAATTTTTGTATTTTTAGTAGAAACGGGGTTTCACCATGTTGGCCAGGTTGGTCTTGAACTCCTGGCCGCAGGTGATCCACCTGTCTTGGCCTCCCACAGTGCTGGGATTACAGGCGTGAGCCACCGCGCCCGGCCTAATTTTTTTTTTTTTTAAGAGATGGAGTCTCACTCTGTCACCCAGGCTGCAGTGCAGTGACGTGATCTTGGCTCACTGCAGCCTCTTGACTCCCAGGTTCAAGTGATTCTCCTGCCTCAGCCTCCTGAGTAGCTGGGATTACAGGCATGCACCATCACACCCGGCTAATTTTAGTATTTTTTAGTAGAGAGGGGGTTTCACCATATTGGCCACACTGGTCTTGAACTCCTGACTTTAAGTGATCCATACTCCTCAGCCTCCCAAAGTGCTGGGATTACAGGCATGAGCCACCGTGCACGGCCACATTTTTTTAAAAGATGGGATTGTACTCTGTTGCCCAGGCTAGTCTTGAAATTCCTGAGCTCAAGCAGTGTGCTTGCCTGTACCTCCCAAAGTGCTGGGATTATAGATGTGAGCCATTGCACCCTGCTGTCTGGCTAATTATTTTATTTTATTTTTTTGTGGAGACAAGGCCTTATTATGTTACCCAGGCTACAATTTTTTTTTTTTTTTTGGAATATTCTTTAGCTCAAAGGACTTTTTTTATTCCATTTTTTTCTGAAAATTTATCATTTCAACTCATTCACACCAAGCAGATGCCATGTACATAGTATAGTGGAGGATTCAAATGAGGTAAAAACAGCTGGGCACAGTGGTTTACACACCTAATCCTAGCATTTTGGGAGGCCGAGGAGGAGGATTGTTTAAAGTCAAGAGTTCAAGACCCACCTGGCTAACATAGCAAGACCCTGTCTCAAAAAAAGAGATAAAAACTGTATTCTTTGCTCTCGTAAGGAGCTTATAAGGAGTCAAGGTTGACATGTAAAACAACCAGTGAGTTCTGTTAGATCATAAAGATTACTGCTGGACTGTGGCACGGAGTAAAAATAAGTGCAATAGGAGTTGAATGTGCAAAAATCAATGTTAGCTGGAGTGTTTATGTTGAGTTCATGGAAGAGCTGAGGTGGGACTTGAATTGGCAGGACATAGAATTTGAATGGTTAAGGGAGAGAGATTCTAGAAAGGAGTAGCAACATGAAAAAAGTTACATAGATAAAGCATTGTCCTGAATATGGGCATTTGGAAATCCAGGACTGAGTGATGATGGACTGTCATAGGATATGTATGTATTTATGTTTATGTGTATTTATGCACACATATATGCATAGATATTTCTAGTTTCATGTATATAGGAAACTATGTATGAATATATAGTTATATGTATTATATATAGATATATATATAGGTTATATATATTTTACATATATATTAAAAAATAGTGAAATTTGTTTCCCTAATCAATGTCTTAGGCCATTTAGAGAATGAAGTAACTAATGTGCTAGTCTTTCTTGCTAATTTTTTTATGAGAGAACTTCATGTGGAGGATTCATTTTATGAATGGCATAATATTTGTTTTTTGCGGATATTAACATGTTCCGGTAGAAAATAATGAAAGGAAAAGCAAACCTGATCTGTGTGTTCTAGTATCTGCCCTTCTATTACAGCTTTTCACCCTTCCCTACAGGCCGGGGTTTGAAGTCTCACGCCTACATTCACAGTGTCCAGTTTAGCCACCATGTTTTCCTCAACCTCCACACCCTCAAGTTTTACTGCCTTCCAGACAACTATGAGATCATCGATTCCTCATTGGAGGATATCACGGTGTGTGTCTAAGAGGGTTGGTTTGGGGTCCATTCTTTAATGAGCCATCCCAGGGCTCCCAGGGGACTGCCCCACCTGAGGACAGGGAAGAATCTCAGTCCCTTTAGGCATCGAGAGGCTGCTTTCTCTTTTGGGAAGAACTGGGGAAACTGAGTAAGGTCAGAATTCATAATTGCAGCCTGTAGTCTGTAACTTAACTGTCATTTCTACTTGTAACATTGAGGGCTAGGACTGAAGAAATATGGGTGTATTCTGATGGGGTTTAAAGTGTTTTTGTGAAATTATTCTTCTACACTGTGAAGTAGGGATATGAATTGGTCCTGGTGTAGGACAGTATTTACCAAGCTGCACACCGGCTCCTGGCTGCTTTTAACATACGCCGTGGCCAGAGCATCCAGCCACAGATATCTTATCTGTGGGCTCTAGTTTGTGACCTGTGCCAAGAGACACTCATTGTACTGAGCATGGAAAGTCCTCTTGGGTTTGATTAGTGTTGGGCTTTTGATTATTATTTTCCTTTTCAGCACGTGGGGTGTATTCATGGTGCCATGTGCTCTGTTCTTGTTTTTGGTTTTTTTTTTGAGACAGGGTCTCACTTTGTCGCTCAGGCTGGAGTGCAGTGGTGCCATCACAGCTCACTGCAGCCTCGACCTCATGGGTTCAAGTGATACTTTTACTTCAGCTTCCCAAGTAGCTAGGACTGTAGGCGTTACCATCATGCCCAGATACATTTTTAAAATTTTTTGTAGAGATGGAGTCTCACTGCATTGCCTAAGTTGTTCATGCTCTGTTTATTTTTAAGGAAAACGTGGTATTTAGTCTTTGAAATACTGCTTTTTCTACTTGTAAAAGTTGTATAAGCCTATTATTAATAGTTGAGATTAAAATAGTTATGGACAGGCTTGGTGGGGAGGCCCACACCTGTAATCCCAGCACTTTGGGAGGCCGAGGCAGGTGGGTCATTTGAGGTCAGGAGTTTGAGACCAGCCTGACCAACATGATGAGACCCCGTTTCTACTAGAAATACAAAATTAGCCGGGCATGATGGCACATGCCTGTAATCCCAGCTACTTGGGAGGCTGAGGCAGGAGAGTTGCTTGAATCTGGGAGGGGGAGGTTGCAGTGAGCCAAGATCATGCCATGGCACTCTAGTCTAGGCAACAAGAGCAAAACTCCATCTAAAAAAAAAAAAAAAAGTTATGGTCAGTATTTATAGAGGGAAAAACTGGGCTAAATTCAGTGTTTCAAAGTGAGTTTGCGATGATCTCTGTCCAGTCTGTGACATAATGACTGTGGTAACTCTGTGCCTGGGAAGAGTCTGATCCTGCTCTTCCAGTACCAGGGACTCATGGAGATCCTCATTCCCACCCAGAGTGGAGGAAACTCTCCTGCTCCAAAGCTAGGTCCATGTGCTGCTCCCAGGAGGTTCTATCTGAGACTTAGACTGCCTTTAGGAACTTGAGTATTGTATGGTTTCTGGCAGTCAGTTTTCATGAGTTGACCAGACCTGAGGTCGGCGAAAAGACCTGGGATTCAGTGATTTTGGGATAGACACAGAGATCCCCTTGTAGATTAGCCATGGGAGAGGATCTACTCCGTGTTACTTCAATCTTTACACCTACTGGTTCGGACTATTTTTCTGTGTGTGGTGGGATGTTCATGGCCAAGTGTTTTTTGTTTTTGTAGAAATTACTGTTACAGACATTTCTTGTGAACTCAGCTCTTAAACAACTTAGCATTTTCTTTTGCTTTGCAGTATGTGTTGAAGCCCACTTTCACAAAGCAGCAAATTGCAAACTTGGACAAGCAAGCCAAATTGTCCCGGGCATATGATGGTACCACTTACCTGCCGGGTATTGTGGGACTGAATAACATAAAGGCCAATGATTATGCCAACGCTGTCCTTCAGGTAAGATCAAGACGGGAACATTGAGGAAGAGAAGGACACCCAGAAGGCTGAGCACAGTGGCTCACCCCTGTAATCCCAGCACTTTGGGAGGCCAAGGCAGGCGGATTGCCTGAGGTCAAGAGTTTGAGCCAGCCTGGCCAACATGGAGAAACCCTGTCTCTACTAAAAATACAAAAATTAGCTAGATATGGTGGTGGAAGCCTGTAGTCCCAGCTATTTGGCAGGCTGAGGTGGGAGAATCGCTTGAATCCGGGAGGCAGAGGTTATAGTGACCCGAGATCGCGCCACTGCACTCCAGCCTGGGGAACAGTGAGACTCTGTTTCAAGAAAAAAAAAAGAGAGGGACAGGAAATAGTATGTGTACTGGCCAAGAAATTACTGCCTTCGGCCAGGCGCAGTGGCTCATACCTGTAATCCCAGCACTTTGGGAGGCCAAGGCGGGAGGATCACCTGAGGTCAGGAGTTCGAGACTAGCTTGGCCAACATGGAGAAACCCCATCTCTACTAAAAATACAAAATTAGCCGGGCTTGGTGGTGCATGCCTGTAATCTCAGCTATTCGGGAGGCTGAGGCAGGAGAATCACTTGAACCCAGGAGGCGGAGGTTGCAGTGAGCTGAGATCACGTCACTGCACTCCAGCCTGGGCAAGAAGAGCGAAACTCCTCCGTCTCAAAAAAAGAAATTACTGCCTTCTTGTAGAGTATAGTCAGATGATCCTCAGACACCAAGTCTTGCTAAGGACTCTACTTGAGTAATTGTTCTGCAACAGGCAGAGCATTCCTTTGCTCACTGGGCTGCTGTCAAATGGTGAGGCTTTTTCTAGCCTCTGGCTCATGGCATCTGGAACTTCAGGGAATGAGGGACCGAATCTGTGTTGCCTTGCAGTATCAAGTAAGAAACATGCCAGATGCATTTTTTTAAAAAAATGGTGTAGATATTTGTTGTGCTGGCTGATCAATGACTTTTTCCTGCCCATGTGCTCATAACCCTGAAATTGGAAAGGCAGAAAACCAAAGCTGTCCTATTTTCTTTTTTTTTTTTTTTGAGACGGAGTCTCAGTCTGTTGCCCAGGCTGGAGTGTAGTGGCGCAATCTCAGCTCACTGCAACCTCTGCCTCCCAGGTTCAAGCGATTCTCCTGCTTCAGCCTCCCGAGTAGCTGGGATTACAGGCGCCTGCCACTGTGCCTGGCTAAGTTTTGTAGAGACAGGGTTGTAGTAGAGTTTTAGTAGTTTTAGTTTTAGAGACAGGGTTTCACCATTTTGGCCAGGCTGGTCTTGAACTCCTGACCTCGTGATCCACCTGCCTCGGCCTCCCAAAGTGTTGGGATTACAGGCATGAGCCACCGTGCCCATCCCTTATTTTCAATTAAAAGTTGTTTTTAAGAAAATTTTATGAGTAATAGGTGCATACTGTAGAAATTTTTTTTTTTAGAGGGAGTCTGTCACCCAGGCTGGAATGCAGTGGCATGATCTTCGTTCACTGCAACCTCTGCTCCCCAGGTTCAAGTGATTCTTCTGCCTTAGCCTCCTGAGTAGCTGGGATTACAGATGCCTGCCACCACACCCGGCTAATTTTTGTATTTTTAGTAGAGATGGGGTTTCACCATGTTGGCCAGGCTGGTCTTGAACTCCTGACCTCGTGGTCCACCCGCCTGAGCTTCTGAAAGTGCTGGGATTACAGGTGTGAGCCACCATGCCCAGCCAATTTTTAAATGTTGGTAAGTATAATAAGAAAACAATAATCCTACTTCACCAAGAAAATGATTAAAAAATCATAAACACAGGCTTATTGGGGAAAACATGTATAAATTGTAAGGGGCTGGGCATGGTGGCTCATGCCTCTAATCCCAGCACTTTGGGAGGCCAAGGTGGCAGGGTCCCTTGAGGCCAGTAGTTTGAAATCAGCCTGGCAACATAGCGAGACCCTGTCTCTATTTAAAAAAAAAAAAAAAAATTAGCTGGGCACAGTGGTGCATGCATGCCTGTGGTCCTAGCTGTTTGGGAGGCTGAGGTGGGAGGATCCCTTCAGCCCAGGAGTTCGAGGCTGTTGGAGAAGTTTGAGGACTTTGAAAAGTGCAGGCATTACAGGTGTGAGCCACTGCACCTAGCCTTGGATCACTTCTAAAGTTAATTATTTGTATTTTTTTCTTGAGTTATTGGGCCTTACAGACTCCTTTCCTATTGGTTCGTCTTACTGAGCTTTAAGAAATATATGATAAAGTTCTTCCCTTTTCTGTTGCATATGTTGCACATGTTTTCTGCTAGTTCTTATTTGGCCTTTAAATTTTTTAAGTGATATTTTTGCCATGAAGAATTGGACAAAAAACTGTAAAGGCATATTTTTTACATTCAGTGTCTGCTCTTGGTGTCATGCCTAGTCTCTGGAAAGGTCAAATTCTTAAGTAGAGAGACTTTTCATCAGATCGTTCCTCTTAAATCCTCTCATGGCTGCGTGAAAACTGATTTTTTTTTGAGATGGAGTCTCGCTCTGTCACCCAGGCTGGAATGCAGTGTCACAATCTCAGCTCACTGCAACCTCTGCCTCCCAGGTTCAAGCGATTCTCCTGCCTCAGCCTCCCGAGTAGCTGGGACTACAGGTGCGTGCCACCATGCCTAGCTAATTTTTTGTATTTTTAGTAGAGACGGGGTTTCATTGTGTTAGCCAGGATGGTCTCGATCTCCTGACTTCGTGATCTGCTCGCCTCGGCCTCCCAAAGTACTGGGATTACAGGTGTGAGCCACCGCGCCCTGCCGAGTGAAAACCATTATAGGATGGACAGATAGAATTTGGATTTGGTCAGAGCTGTTAGTCTTGGCTTTCTGATGAATTTTAGATCGCATAGGAAGTTCTCTTTATAAAAATAAATGGATTAACAAACCCTGTGTGATGATGTTTCCACTAAAATAGGGTTGACTGGACCAGATCATCCATCTGGAGGGTGGATAATTCTTCTCTGAGGATGACCAATATTATTTATATTGTTGCTGAGGCCAGAGTGCAACCTTTTCTCCACAAGATAGACAACTGAGAATTAGGATAAACTTTGTCCATCCTCTTGTTTTGAGAGTAAATCTCTCTTTTTAGTAATTATTCTACAAACAGGAAGTCCTTGTTTCTTTAGCTGAGCTTAGCTTGTCGGGGCTTTCCTAATCCCCTCTGTGGTTAAAGTGCTCTCTGTGTTCTGAGTTGTCTTCCTTAGAGGTGCCTGGGTTATTACATTTAGCAGAAACCCTTCTAGCTGACTCCCTGAATGGATGACCTTGTTTAAGAAAGAAATGTGTTCATGGTAAGCACAGTGCTGGTCGGGAAGGACCTGTGGGGATACTGCATTTTTATTTAGGGTGTCTTTGGTCCTCTTCCTCCCAGTTTCGTTTTGTTTTGTTTTTTTGAGATGGAATTTTGCTCTTTTTGCCTAGGCTGGAGTGCAATGGCGCGATCTTGGCTCGCTGCAACCTCTGCCTCCCGGGTCTAAGTGATTCTCCTGCCTCAGCCTCCCGAGAAGCTGGAATTACAGGCACTCACCACCACACCCAGCTAATTTTGTATTTTTAGTAGAGACGGTTTCACCATGTTGGCCTGGCAGGTCTTGGACTCCTGACCTCAAGTGATCCGCCCACCTTGGCCTCCCAAAGTGCTGGGATTATAGACGTGAACCATCGCGCCTAGACCCCTCCTCCCAGTTTTGTAGCTCAGGCTGATGAGCCTGTGTTTCTTCCTGAAATTAATACGGCTAGTTTTTATCTTTCTGCTTAATGAGATACAATTTGTTTTTATTGTCCTAAACCTTTTGACCATTTTCTCTTTCTCTTTTTTTTTTTTTTGAGACGGAGTTTTGCTCTTGTTGTCTAGGCTGGAGTGCAGTGGTGCCATCTTGGCTCACTGCAACCTCCGCCTCCCGGGTTCAAGTGATTCTTCTGCCTCAGCCTCCTGAGTAGCTGGGATTACAGGCGCGTGCCACCATGCCCTGCTAATTTTTGTATTTTTAGTAGAGACGGGGTTTCACCATGTTGGCCAGGCTGGTCTTGAACTCCTGACCTCAGGTGATCCTCCCACCTTGGCCTCCCAAAGTGCTGGGATTACAGGCATGAGCCACCTCGCCTGGCCGACCATTTTCCGTCATAACAGAGTATATTTACTTTTTAAAAAAAATTTTGGCTGGGCATGGTGGCTTAGGCATGAGAATTGCTTGAACCCTGGAGGCAGAGGTTGCAGTGAGCCAAGATCGTGCCACTGCACTCCAGCCTGGGGGATGGAGCAAGACTCGGTCTCCAAAAATAAAAAAAAAATTTCAGTAGGTTTTTGGGGAACAGGTGGTTTTTGGTTACATGAATAAGTTCTTTAGTGGTGATTTCTGAGATTTTGGTCACCCATCACCCAAGCAGTGTATACTGTACCCAGTGTGTAGTCTTTTATCCCTCACCACCCCCCACACTCTTTCCCCCAAGTCCCCAAAGATCATTGTATTGTTCTTACACCTTTGCGTCCTCACAGCTCCCTATATTTACTTTTATGTACAATTATATGGTTTTAGTATGGGAAAACATCACATTTTAAGATAATTTTCATATTATTTTAGTGTGGAGTTGAGAGATGGGAGAACTGTGTTTCCTAGGTAGTTATTTTTGCTTCAACCAAAATGGATGATGAAGGAAAGAGTATTTGGATTATAGCCTTCTGCCTTATGAATTTAAGTATTGTCACAGCATAATTAGAGTAACAAAAGGAAATTGTTGAATAAGTTGATAGAGATTTGAATACCTGTGTTTTGTTTTGTTTTGTTTTAACCTTCTTTGTGGTATCCACATCAGCAAAGTTGTCTGCAGAACTGTAGTTCGTATGAAACTCAACGTTAATGATATTTCTGTGATGTGAGCCTGGGTAGGATTCTCCAAGGGTCCATTTACTTTTGGCTCTTTAAGGCCATCACAGGCACATCACAAATTCTATTAGGAGAACTTTAATTGGAAGAGCTTGGCTCAAGGGGTCCTACAAAGGGGCTTTGGGTTAATCGGAGTGTTTGATTTTTAGGCTCTATCTAATGTTCCTCCTCTCCGGAACTACTTTCTGGAAGAAGACAATTATAAGAACATCAAACGTCCTCCAGGGGATATCATGTTCTTGTTGGTCCAGCGTTTTGGAGAGCTGATGAGAAAGCTCTGGAACCCTCGAAATTTCAAGGCACATGTGTCTCCCCATGAGATGCTTCAGGCAGTTGTACTTTGCAGTAAGAAGACTTTTCAGATCACCAAACAAGGTAAGAACAAGTCATTCATGTTTCAGGACAACAAAACTAGTTTGATGAACAAATTTATTTCCACTTGGCAGTGAATTTTTTTTTTTGAGATGGAGTCTCACTCTGTCACCCAGGCTGGAGTACAATGGCATGGTCTCAGCTCACTGCAACCTCCACTTCCAGGGTTCAAGCGATTCTCCCGCTTCAGCCTCCCAAGTAGCTGGGACTATAGGCACGCACCACCACGCCCGGCTAATTTTTGTATTTTTAGCAGAGATGGGGTTTCACTATGTTGGCCAGGCTGATCTCGAACTCCTGACCTCTTGATCCACCCTACTCGGCCTCCCAAAGTGCTGGGGATTACAGGCATGAGCCACTGCGCCCGGCCTTTTTTTTTTTTTTTTTTTTAAGAGACAGTCTTGCTCTTTTGACCAGGCTGGAGTGCAGTGGCGGGACTTGTAGCTCACTGCAGCCTTGAACTTCTGGACTCAAGGGATCCTCTTGCCTCAGCTTCAAGTAGCTATGATTACAGGCATGAGCCACTGTGCCCAGCTGCAGTGAATCTTGAGAGTAGCCAGGAGTGTCCAGTGGATAGTGTGGTTAGGTTCTTCATTCTTCTCTGACCAATCTGCCCTGCTAAGAGTCCCAGGAGATTCTAGCTGAATAGAAAGTCGGTCTTATTTGGTAAATTAAACTGTATGGCTTAGGGAAATACCAGGAGGCTGGGAAAGACACTAGCTTTTATTAAACACCTGTCACCTATCTTCATTCTTTCGTGTCCCACATTAGGGTATTCTGATGATATTTTTGTTTTGTTTTGTTTTGTTTTGTTTGTTTTTTTGAGACCGAGTCTTGCTTCATTGCCCAGGCTGGAGTGCAGTGGTGTGATCTCTGCTCACTGCAACCTCTGCCTCCTGGGTTCAAGGGATTCTCCTGCCTCAGCCTCCCAAGTAGCTGGGATTACAGGTGCCCGCCAACATGCCCAGCTAATTTTTGTATTTTTAGTAGAGAGGGGGTTTCACCATGTTGGCCAGGTGAACTCCTGACCTCAAGTGATCCACCCGCTTCGGCCTCCCAAAGTGTTGGGATTACGGGTGTGAGCCACTGCGCCCGGCCTCTGATGAACTATTTTGACTGTTTTTTTCTCTCCAAACCCAATTTGTTACTGTCTTATGAGTAAAGCGGACAGTGTAACTTTGTACCTGAATCTCATATGGTATCCTCTAGCATCTGTATTAGTTTATTCAGCATTCACTCATGGTGCTAGGTTTTAGAGCAGCAGGGATAAGAAACACGATTTTTCTCTTTGAAGAACTCCCAGTCTGGTGGGGAAATAGTTATGTAGAAAGGTTGAGTGTGCTGGCAGAAGCCTGTGGTCTGAGCTACTTGGGAGGCTGAGGCAGGAGTATTGCTTGAGCCCAGGAGTTCAAGGCTACAGTGAGCTATGATTACACCACTGCACTCCAGCTGGGGAACGGAGGAAGACCCTGTCTTTAAAAATCAATAAGCAAATTTCAACTATCTTTTTTTTTTTTTTTTTGAGACAGAGTCTTGCTCTGTTGCCCAGGCTGGAGTGCAATGGTGTGATCTCGGCTCGCTGCAACCTCCGCCTCCTGGGTTCAGGTGATTCTTCTGACTCAGCCTCCCAAGTAGCTGGGCCTACAGGTGCGTGCCACCATGCCCAGCTAATTTTTTTGTATTTTTAGTAGAGACAGGGTTTCATCGTGTTAGCCAGGCAGGTCTCGAGCTCCTGACCTTGTGATCTGCTCACCTCAGCCTCCCAAAGTGCTGGGATTACAGGCGTGAGCCACCACGCCCGGCTCAACTATCTTTTTTAAGAAAAGGTAATTACAGGTGTTAAGTGCTGTGCTATGGGAGGGGAGCATGGAGTAAGGACCCCCTCAGCTGAACATGTGGGAGGTAGATCAGAGATCAGAGTGGAGGAAGAGACCCTGAGTTTTAGGTAGAGGTGGAGGCAGGTTGGGATGGGGAGTAGGCATTCTAGGTAGAGAGGACATGGTGGGCAGAAGAGAAAAGTGCCTGGCATAGTCAGAGACTGCAAGTAGCTGGACCCTTGGACTCCTGGGGTCAGTGGAGAGCCAAGGTGTAGATCCTGAGGGAGGGACCAGATGGCCTGCTTTATAAGCTACCATAAGGAGCTTGGATTATATCCTGAAAAAAGCTGGAGTCATTGAAGGCTTTTATTTTTTTTTGAGATAGAGTCTCACTCTGTTGCCCAAGCTGGAGTGCAGTGGTGTGATCTCGGCTCACTGCAACCTCTGTCTCCCCAGTTCAAGCTATTCTGCCGCCTCAGCCTCCCGAGTAGCTGGGACTACAGGCACCCACCACCATACCTGGCTAATTTTTTGGTATTTTTAGTAGAGACGGAGTTTCACCACGTTGGTCAGGCTGGTATCGAACTCCTCACCTCAGGTGATCCACCCGCCTCGGCCTCCCAAAGTGCTGGGATTACAGGTGTGAACCACCATGCCCGGCCTCATTGAAGGCTTTTAACAAAGATGTGACATCAGACTTATGAATTTGTTTTTAAAACATTATTCCAGCTGGGCATGGTCACTCAAACCTGTAATCCCACCACTTTGGGAGATCAAGGTGGGTGGATTGCTTGAGCCCAGGAGTTAGAGACCATCCTGCGTGACATAGACCCTATATCTACAAAAAATTTTTAAAAATTACCCAGGCATGGTGGCATGTACCTGTAGTCCAGCTACTTGAGAGGCTGAGGTTGGAGGATCGCTTGGGCCTAGGAGGTAGAGGCTTCAGTGAGCCATGTTGGTCCCACTGTACTCCAGCCTGGACAACAGAGTGAGACCTCTGTCTGTAAAATAAAAAGAAAAACATTATTCTGGCTGAGGATTGACTTAGAGGGGACGTCGAGTAGTGGCTTTTTTTTTTTTTTTTTTTTTTTTGAGACAGAGTCTCGCTCTGTTGCCCAGGCTGGAGTGCAGTGGCGGGATCTCGGCTCACTGCAAGCTCCGCCTCCCGGGTTCACGCCATTCTCCTGCCTCAGCCTCCCAAGTAGCTGGGACTACAGGCGCCCGCCACTACGCCCGGCTAATTTTTTGTATTTTTAGTAGAGACGGGGTTTCACCGTTTTAGCCGGGATGGTCTCGATCTCCTGACCTCGTGATCCGTCCGCCTCGGCCTCCCAAAGTGCTGGGATTACAGGCGTGAGCCACCACGCCCGGCCGAGTAGTGGCTTTTAAGAGTCTCTGGTACTTAAGGAGAAATAGGAGGAATCAAGGTGGTAAGGAATGGGGCCCATGGAGCACTTGTTTCAGGGTTAGTAGGAAATAAGATACACTTCGGGTTGGTTACAACATGGCCAATGAAATCTTAATCTGGGGCCAGGCGCGCTGGCTCATGCCTGTAATCCCAGCACTTTGGGAGGCCGAAGTGGGAGGATTGCTTGAGCCCAAGAGTTCAAGACCAGCTTGAGGAACATAGTGAGACTCCCTCTCGACAAAAAATGTAAAAGTTAGCCGGGCATGATGGCACACGCCTGTAGTCCCAGCTACTTGGGAAACTGAGGTGGAAGGATTCCTTGGGCCTGGGAGGCAGAGCTTGCAGTGAGCTGAAGTTGCATCACTGCACTCCAGCCTGGGTGACAGAGTGAGACGCTGTGTCGCGAAGAAAAAATCTGGGTGCCTCACCCTTCTAAACAGGTGACAGCCTGTTTGTGTGCTTTGTAGGACCATCTAATTCCCAAGAACTAGGTGGCTAGGTTATCTTGTGTTTATAGAGACATTTCTGTTTCTGGACCAACTCCCTGAGCTCCCAGGGTTTTATATTAAGGCTGCAAGAAAGGAAGAAATTTGTGTTGAGAATGATTTTTTTGTGGACCATGAATGGATGGATGAGTGTCAGCATTCACTGTGTTCCACAGGTGACTTATGGCCTGAAGGTGGATAGTGGGGCCTGTCAGCTTTTGGCAGCTTGGAAAGTTAGGGCATAATTGGGTTGTAGAGTTGCAGAAAAACCAGGGTACCCTGAGAATCAACGTGTCTAGTTTCTTCTGTCATAGCCACTATTGGCTAGGATAGTTATGATGTCACATAAACATAATTTCCTCCATCTCTGAGACCTAGTAGGTTATTAGTTGCCGAGTGTTTAGATGTGTGAAGTGTTTCTTGCTGTGGTAGTTTGTTACATAAGAGCATTCTGTGTACAGGGAATAAAAAGAAAATCATTCTATGGAGTTGTTAGAGGCCTCTGGGTTTAGGGAAATGAAGTTGAGGAAGATATACTATAGTCTTTGAGATTTTAATTGCGTGAGCAAAGAGGAACTAAATAGAAGCAAATCTTCGTTGAAGAGAAAGTAGTCATTATCTGGCTGGGCGCAGTGGCTCATGCCTGTAATCCCAGTACTTTGGGAGGCTGAGGCGGGAGGATCACTTGAGGTCAAGAGTTCGAGACCGGCCTGGCCAACATGGTGAAGCCCCGTCTCTACTAAAAATACAAAAATTAGCTGGGCATGGTAGCAGGCACCTGTAATCCCAGCTACTCAGGAGACTGAGGTGGGAGAATCGCTTGAACCCAGGAGGCGGAGGTTGCAGTGAGCTGAGATCATGCCACTGCACTCCAGCCTGGGCGACAGAGTGAGACTCTGTCTCAAAAAAAAAAGTAGCCACTATCCCTGAAATGTCTGAGTGGCAGGTTCCGTAGACAGCATTTTCATGGAATATTGTCAATCTGCTTTCAGAACCCCTTGTTCTGTATGCCTTTTCAGTCTGGGTGCTAGTCACTTTCCTAAAAGACAGGAATCTTCATGAGCTGCAGAAGGGAAGAAGGAAGTTTGAGCTCACTCTGGAGAAAAGTGGATGTTAAAAGGTCATATTCATTTGTTTTGGTCATCACTGAGTGATGCGATACAGTCCTGGTATGAATCAGAGAGCCTATGGAGAGAGTCAAGATCGGAGGAGTGAGAGCTTGACCTTGAGGAGTGCCAGCATTTAATGATAAGATAGAGGAGGATGCACGGCAGTTGGGATGGGATGGCATGGCCAGAGAGGAAGGGGGAGAACCAGGAATGCCAACCAGTGCATGGTTTAAGTTAACTCTAATGCCACTTAGCTTCAACGTTTTCCACCCTTCCTTTTTTTCCAGGAGATGGCGTTGACTTTCTGTCTTGGTTTCTGAATGCTCTGCACTCAGCTCTGGGGGGCACAAAGAAGAAAAAGAAGAGTAAGTCATTTACTTATAAAAAGGAGTTATTTTGTTCCCTTTTAAAAAACTTTGCGGTCGGTCGCAATGGCTCATGCCTATAATCCCAGCTCTTTGAGAGGCCGAGGTGGGTGGATTACCTGAGGTCAGGAGTTTGAGACCGGCCTGGCCAACATGGCGAAACCCCATCTCTACCAAAAATACAAAAGTTATTCAGGTGTGGTGGGATGTGCCTGTAGTCCCAGCGACTTGGGAGGCTGAGGCAACTTCCCATTCTTTTGTTAACTGTTTATCTGGGGTAGGCTAGTATCTATGTTATAGATAAACTACATGTTCTTTCTGAATAGGCCCCTCTCCATAGTTTTTGCTAGAATATGGTTATAGTCCCAATGATATTTTATTATATATATATTTTGAGACAGAGTCTTGCTCTGTCACCTAGGCTATGCAGTGGCACGGTCTCAGCTCACTGTAGCCTCCATCTCCCAGGTTCAAGCAGTTCTTCTCCCTCAGTCTCCCAAGGGTAGCTGGGATTACAGGCACCCACTACCACGCCCAGCTGATTTTTGTATTTTTAGTAGAGATGGGATTTCTCCATGTTGGCCAGGCTGGTCTCAAACTCCTGACCTCAGGTGATCTGCCCAAAGTGCTAGGATTATAGATGTGATGGTGTCTTGATGTGGGATTGTGGCCTGTTGCTTTTCCCACTGGATGGCCCTGCCCTCTCTACCAGGTGTCTTCAGCCTGTGTTAACCCTCTGAGCTCTCTAACTTGCGTCTTGGCAGGGTTCTAGAACTTGGTTGTGCTTTCTCTCTTGTTGCTTTGATCCTGTTCTGGCCCATCTCTTAGTCTGTCATTGTCCTCTTGTCTTCATTACAGTTTGGACATTGTCTCCCTTTGAAAGTAGCTTATGGTTATGGGAAGTTCCTTGGCTGTACCTTGTTTTGCTTGTGAATTTTTTTGTAATTCATGTATCACCATTCCTTCATTTTGAACACATTTACCTTTTCTTTTATGGACCAGGCCCTGTGATGGAGGATAAAAAGTTGTCTTAAGAGAAATAAAGTAATTATTTACACAAATAATTATAAAGGTACCCTGGTGGTATATAGTACAAAAGGAAACTTCTGTGTTTAGTGAGAGCTCTGTGTCTTTTGCTGGAAGATGCTGGTTTATTTCAGAAATTTAGAAGCTGGAAATATACTTCAGACATGTTTTCCATCCTCACGGAATTTGTCTCTTGCTTCCTGTTTGTGCAGCTATTGTGACTGATGTTTTCCAGGGGTCCATGAGGATCTTCACTAAAAAGCTTCCCCATCCTGATCTGGTGAGTTAATTGAGCCTGGGTCTTGGACTGATTCATATTGCTTGAGGGGACGTAGGGGAGATGAAGAGATGCTCAGAGAACTGACAAGCCTGCTTGCCCTGTGAAGAGGTTCAACAAAGCACCTGCCTAGTGGCAGCTCTGCCTGGTCCCTGTCATACTAGTGCACTTTTTCAGTTTGGGAGTTAGTGGTTGGATGTACTGTGCTGGTTTAAGTGTTCTGGCCACTAGGTGGTGCTGCTGTGTTTTTTCAGAAAGCTCAGCTAAGCTTTCTTTTTGTTTTTCTTAGTCTCCCTCTGTCGCCAAGGCTGGAGTTGCAGTGGCGCCATCTCAGCTCACTGCAACCTCTACCTCCTGGGTTCAAGCGATTCTCCTGCCTTAGCCTCCTGAGTGGCTGTGATTACAGGCGCTTGCCACCACGCCCAGCTAATTTTGTATTTTTAGTTGTGACGGGGCTTCACCATGTTGGTCCAGGCTGGTCTCGAACTCCTGACCTCAGGTGATCTACCTGCCTCGGCCTCCCAAAGTGCTGGGATTACAGGCGTGAGTCACCGTGCCTGGCCCTCAGCTAAGCTTCCTAGATGGTCTTAGAGCTTTTCTTTTTTGAGATGGAGTTTTGCTCTTGTTGACCAGTCTGGAGTGCAATGGCATGATCTCAGCTCACTGCAACCTCCACCTCCCAGGTTCAAACCATTCTCCTGCCTCAGCCTCCGAAGTAGCTGGGATTACAGGCATGCGCCACTATGCCTGGCTAATTTTTCTATTTTTAGTAGAGAAGAGGTTTTACCATGTTGGTCAGGATGGTCTCAAACTCCTGACCTTAGGTGATCCACCTCCCTTGGCCTCCCAAAGTGCTGGGATTACAGACATGAGCCACCGTGCTCGGCCCACTTTCTTTTTTTAATGGATTTTTTTTCCTTTTTGAGACAAGATCTCTGTCACTCAGGCTGAGTGTGGTGGCGTGATTATGGTTCACTGCAACCTCAACCTCCCTTGCTGAAGTGATCCTCCCACCTCAACCTCCCCAGAAACTGGGACCATAGATACACACCACCACACCGGGCTAATTTTTATTTTTATTTTTGTTTAATTTAATTAATTAATTAATTTATTTATTTTATTGAGACGGAGTTTCACTCTTGTTGCCCAGGCTGGAGTGCAATGGCACTATCTCGGCTCACCGCAACCTCCGCCTCCCGAGTTCAGGTGATTCTCCTGCCTCAGCCTCCCGAGTAGCTAGGATTACAGGCGCCACCACCACGCCCGGCTTATTTTGTATTTTTAGTAGAGACGGGGTTTCTCCGTGTTGGTCACGTTGGTCTTGGACTCCTGACCTCAGGTGATCTACCTGCCTCGGCCTCCCAAAGTGCTGGGATTACAGGTGTGAGCCATCATGCCCGGCCAATTTTTTTTTTTTTTTGTAGAGATGGAGTCTCACTGTGTTGCCCAGGCTGGTCTGGAAGTCCTGGACTCAAGCAGTCCTCTCACCTTTGTTCCCAAAGTGTTGAGATTACAGCCGTGAGCCATCACACTTGGCCTCAGGGCTTTTTAGATAGTCTGGTATATAAGCAAAATATCTTTAAAGAAGGAAACCTGTTGGTTCTTAAGTTAATCTAACCAGGTGGTGCATGCCAAACTGCCCAATCTCTCGGGCACTTCTCTTTGTTCTTTCAGATGAAGGAAATGTCGGCGTGGTAAAACATCGGTTCTGTGTTGGTTCCTATACCCGTCACACTCCTTTCCTCTCTTTTCTTCTCATTCATTTCTAGCCAGCAGAAGAAAAAGAGCAGTTGCTCCATAATGACGAGTACCAGGAGACAATGGTGGAGTCCACTTTTATGTACCTGACGCTGGACCTTCCTACTGCCCCCCTCTACAAGGACGAGAAGGAGCAGCTCATCATTCCCCAAGTGCCACTCTTCAACATCCTGGCTAAGTTCAATGGCATCACTGAGAAGGTAGCCCATTAACACACCTGCCCTGCCTATACTTACCCTCGCTCTCTCGACTTTTTCATTTTCTTTTTTTTTTTTTTTTCAAGACAGAGTTTTGCTCTTGTCGCCCAGGCTGGAGTGCAGTGGCGTGATTTCGGCTGACTGCAATCTCTACCTCCCAGTTTCAAGCGATTCTCCTGCCTCAGCCTTCCTAGTAGCTGGGATTACAGACATCCGCCACCATGACTGGCTAATTTTTTATATTTTTAGTAGAGACAGCATGTTGGCCAGGTTGGTCTCGAACTCTTGACCTCAAGTGATCAGCCTGCCTCGCCTCCCAAAGTGCTGGGATTACAGGCGTGGGCCACCACACCTGGCCCATTTTCATTTTATATGTAAGAATCACCACATGTATGTGACGTATTTATTATAAATTATATTGACTTTATTGAGCCTCCCAGACTCGTTGGTATTTCTCACTGGTCACCCCCAACTCTTAACTTATAGTGCCCCTTTTTATTATTTTTTGAGACAGGGTCTAGCTTTATCACCTAGTCTGGGTGATCATGGTGGCGTGATCATGGCTCACTGCAGCCTCAAACTCCTGGGCTCAAGTGATCCTCTCACCTCAGCATCCTAAGTAGCTGGGACTAGACACACTCCACCACATCCAACTAAGTATTTTTGTAGAGAGAGTGCTCACTTTGTTGCCCAGGCCATTCTTTAACTCCTGGCCTCAAGGGATCCTCCCACCTCGACCTCCCAAAGTGTTGGGATTACAGATGTGAACCACTGCCCAACCACAGTGCCCCCTCTTGTACTTCTCATATATCCTGTTTTCAGCTTTCTGCCTGCCTCTGGGGTAGTATAGAGAAAGGAAGGTCATTTAGGAGAGGAGAAACTCCAAAAAGTGGGGAGACATACTTTTTTTTTTTTTTTGAGATGGAGTCTCACTCTGTTGCCTAGGCTGGAGTGCAGTGGTGTGATCTCAGCTCACTGCAACCTCCACCTCCCGGGTTCAAGCGATTCTTCTGCCTCAGCCTCCCGAGTAGCTGGGACTACAGGTACATGCCACCATGCCCAGCTAATGTTTGTATTTTTAGTAGAGATGCGGTTTCACCCTGTTGGCCAGGCTGGTCTCGATCTCCTGGCCTCAAGTGATCTGCCTGCCTCAGCCTCTCAAAGTGTTGGGATTACAGGCATGAGCCACCGTGCCTGGTTAGTTTTCTTTCTTTACATATATATATATATATTTTTTTTTTCTTTTTTTTTCTTTTTCCTTTTTAGTAGAGATGGGGTTTCACCATGTTGTCAAGGCTGGTCTCGAACTCCTGTGCTGAAATGATCCCCCTGCCTCGGCCTCCTACAGTGATAGGATTATAGGTGTGAGCCACCAGGCCCGGCCTTTTTTTTTTTTTTTTTTTTTAAATCAGCCTTAGCCAAACTGCACATCCTAAGCCTCATACATAATTTCTCGGACCAGGAGTCTTGTGAACTTAAGTGTGAGGCAAAATTATATTTTAAAAAATCGAAATGAAAAACTCATGCCCCTGCTCTAATACTACTGAACTTCAGCACTAATTTGAGAATTTTCTTTTCTTTCTCTAGGAATATAAGACTTACAAGGAGAACTTTCTGAAGCGCTTCCAGCTTACCAAGTTGCCTCCATATCTAATCTTTTGTATCAAGAGATTCACTAAGAACAACTTCTTTGTTGAGAAGAATCCAACTATTGTCAATTTCCCTATTACGTAAGTAACATCCTGCCTCACTTCTCTCACGGGGAGTGAACCTGGATTTCTTCTCTTGTATTTTTACCAGTATTAATTTTGGACTGTCTTAGTTGGGGATTACAAGGAACAGAGCCTACCTACAGTAGATAAGAGTTTTTATTGGAAGGATACACTTATTTCAGGGACCACAAAAGATTGATGTTTATTGGGATGCAATCCCTATTTTATCTTCTCTCCTGTTGCTAGCTGGAAATTATAGTCTTCCTGCGTAGAGAAGAAGAAATGATGCAAGTAGGATAAGACAGGTAGGATTCTGCCTGGTTTGGAAGATGTCCTGAGTAGTGAGGGTCTGCCCATCTATTTGCTGGCCATCACACCTTTTTGCACACTAGAGTTGTACTAGATGCTTTTAGTTTGCTTCCTTCCAACTCAGAAAACTTCTGCAAGATCCTTTTTGGGGGTAGACTGTTGGTTTTCAGTTCTCAAGAGACAAGGTTTTTCATACTTAAGAAGATGTTTGGCTGGGCGTGGTGGCTCACGCCTGTAATCCCAGCACTTTGGGAGGCCAAGGCAGCTGGATCGCTTGAGCTCAGGAGTTCAAGACCAGCCTAGGCAACATGGCAAAACCCCATCTCTACAAAAAAATACAAAAAATTAGCCAGATGTGGTGGTGCACACCTGCAGTCCTAGGTACTTGAGGGGCTGAGGCAGGAGGATGGCTAGAACCTTGGAGATTGAGGCTGCAGTGAGCTGAGATGGTGTCACTGCCCTCCAGCCTGGGTCTGGGTGACAGAGTGTGACTGTGCTAAAAAAAAAAAAAAAAAAAAAAGAAAGAAAGAAAGAAAATAGTGTCAGTTTTAAATTCCATGTAGTGTTTAAGAAAGTAGTATCTAAAATTAAGAGGCCTGAGTTTTAGGCTGTCTTAGTGGTGGGACCTCAGACCCATAGTTTGCGTGTTTTCTGGATATGTTCTCTCATAGATAAAATGAGAGGCTTGGAGTAGATGGGCCTGAGCCCTAGGGGTTTGTCCAGGTGTAACATCTTATTATAGTATTGCCAGGACTCTTAGAATCATGGAGGGTGAGGAGAGAGAACATTTGCAGTTGAGAATTACAGGGGAATTTCTTTTTCTCTTTTTCTACACTTTTCTCCACTAGCATCTTGTTTGTGACTAGAATTAAATGGGGGGACATGGAGGTTTGTTCTCTGCCTCCTTGAGTAGGATGACAGAGGTGCTTTCTTCGAAAGTCTGTGTGTCAAAGTTTTATTTCAGCACTAGCCTCTTGTGAATTGCCAGTCACCTGTCTGTTCCTGGTAGGTAGGGGCAGTCTGGATTCCAAGGGCAACTCCAGAGGGAGGAAGATTGTGTATCAATGGTACTTCCTGCTCAGTTGCCACAGAAATTTCCTTGCCCCATTGGTTTCTTTTATGGGCCTAGAGTAGGCCCAATATAAAAGTTTGTCCTTCAGAAAGCTTACTTCGGAGAAGTTGAGAAAAAGATTGTTTCTTAACTACGCAGTCTTTTAGAGAACATCAAATTGTGACTAATTCTGGAAACTTGCACTTTAATTATTTTATGTGCTGTAATTACTTCGAGTAATACAATTCTGGATCATTTCATTGTCCATACTTCTTGAAAAGGATCTTTTTCATACCTGTCTTCTCCTATGTTTTATTCATAACACATCCTGTTTTTGTCGGAGAGTTATCAGACTTATGGTGATTAGGCACCCTCTGCTTATTTGGAGATAGAGATTTTTGAGGGCAGGTTTAAAGTTTCACTTTCAGGTAATTAGCCATTCTCTTAACTGGTCTGTTGCTGTGGTTGGGAGATGAGTATAGTTTGCTCTTTTAGGCTGGGCGCAGTGGCTCACATCTGTAATGTCATCACTTTGGGAGGCCGAGGTGGGAGAATTGCTTGAGCTCAGGAGTTTGAGACCTGCCTGGACAACATAGCAAGACCTTGTCTCTACTAAAAAAAAAAAAAAAATGAATAGTTTGCTCCTTTTCCTATTTACTAACACAAAATGATTAAACGTAGTATTTCTCTTTTGCCGCATGGACAGTTTTGGTTCAGTCATGAAATCTTGAGTATAAAGACTTCTCCAAACCAGGCACGGTGGCTCACACCTGTAATCCCAGCCCTTTGGGAGGCCAAGGCGGGCGGATCACGAGGTCAGGAGATCGAGACCATCCTGGCTAACACGGTGAAACCCCGTCTCTACTAAAAATTCAAAAAATTAGCCAGGCATGGTGGTGGGCGCCTGTAGTCCCAGCTACTCGGGAGGCTGAGACAGGAGAATGGCGTGAACCCAGGAAGCAGAGCTTGCAGTGAATTGAGATAGCTAGCGCCATTGCACTCCAGTCTGGGCGACAGAGCGAGACTCTGTCTCAAAAAAAAAAAAGACTTCTTCACTGATACTCATTCAGACAAGTCTAGTCAGCTTTTGTTCAGGCTGAAGAGAAAATAAAATGAGAAGTCAGCCTTTAGTAGCAGGAAGGCAGGTTGGCTGACTAGAGCTCACATGGACTCAGGACTCATATCTCCTTTTTTTTTTTTTTTTGGAGATGGAGTCTCGCTCTGTTGCCCAGGCTGGAGTGCGGTGGCGTTATCTCGGCTCACTGCAACCTTCGCCTCCTGGGTTCAAGCAATTCTCCTGCCTCAGCCTCCGGAATAGGTGGGACTACAGGTGCACGCCGCCACGCCCAGCTAATTTTTTTTTTTGTACTTTAGTAAAGGCAGGGTTTCACGATGTTACCCAGGCTGGTTTCGAACTCCTGAGCTCAGGCAGTCTGCCCGCCTCGGCCTCCCAAAGTGTTGGGATTACAGGCATGAGCCACCGCACCTGGCTTCCATTTTCTTAACAGTGAATATTTATTGCAGTCTGACTGCATCATATATGGGACACTGTCAGTCTGTAGAAACAAATAGCTGTCACCAATACATAGAAAGCTACATATAATAATTACAACAAAGTTGTATGTTTGTTTATTACCACATGGTTTACATTTTAAACTCTGTAATTTTGAACAGTTAATATGTTCACAGTCTAACTTCAAAGGGAGATATATAACTGGACGTGACCACCATTAGCTGTTTCTTGTGAACTCTTCCAGTGATAACATGGTTTTGTTTCATGTAATGAGTGGTAGCACATCAGACAACTTTTATGATGCAATGTCTTTTTTTTTATTTTACCTTGTATTGTGTAAGTTTTTATAAATATTTGTAGACTCCAAAATGATATATTTTTCCTAAAATTATGTATTTAATCTTAATATTCTTGTTAACTGTCTATATATTTTCCTTTTTAACTATTTGAAAGTTCTTCTTCCTTTTGGGGGTTTTTTGAGACAGGGTCTCACTGTCGCCCAGGCTGGAGTGCAATAGTGTGGTCCTGGCTCACTTTAGCCGTAATCTCCTGGGCTCAAGTGATCCTCTCACCTCAGCCTCCTGAGTAGCTAGGACCACATGCATGTACCACCATGCCTGGCTAATTTTTTTTTTGTAGGGGTCTCACTACATTGCCCAGGCTGGCCTTGAACTCCTGGGCTCAAGCAGTCCTCCTACCTTGACCTCTCAAAGTGTTGGGATTATAGGTATGAGCCACTGCCTGTCATTCTTTTTTTTTTTTTTAAATCATATGGGAAGCTGTGTAACCCTGTCATTCATTTTGGCATATTTTGTGAATTCCAACGCACCTGGACCTTCTTGACTCTGCAAGCCTACCCAGAGAAAGGGTCCTAAAATAGGGCTGAACAATTTTGTGGTCCGTTTGTGTAGGACAGTTTCCTTAACCTCACAGCCTTTGTCTGATTATTCCGGCTTTATTTTAACCATTAACAGAAATGTGGATCTGAGAGAATACTTGTCTGAAGAAGTACAAGCAGTACACAAGAATACCACCTATGACCTCATTGCCAACATCGTGCATGACGGCAAGCCCTCCGAGGGCTCCTACCGGATCCACGTGCTTCATCATGTGAGTGGCTGCTGACCGTCTCATGGCACAGAGTGGCAAAAACAGGTGTTTCTTTGGCATCTCAGAGGGCAGCTCCCTTCAGTGTGTCCTTGCTTGGCCTTGGCTTTGGGACTCTGCAAGTAATAGTGCTGTCAGTAGTTAGTTTAAGGCAGTGGTTCTCAATTTTGGCTACACATTGGACTCACCTTGGGAGCTTTTTTTTTTTTTTTTTGAGACAGGGTCTCGCTCTGTAGCCCAGGCTGGAGTGCAGTGGCGTGATCTTGGCTCACTGCAACCTCCGCCTCCTGGGTTCAAGCAGTTCTCTGCCTCAGCCTCCCGAATAGCTGGGATTATGGGATTACAGGCGCCCATCACCACGCCCGGCTAATTTTTGTATTTTTAGTAGAGACGGGGTTTTACGATCTTGGCCAGGCCAGTCTTGAACTCCTGACCTTGTGATCCACCCACCTCGGCCTCCCAAAGTGTTGGGATTACAGGCGTGAGCCACCGCGCCAACCGGGAGCTTTTTAAAATCCCAATGCCTGGCACCACACCAGGCCGGTTATAATAGTAGTTTTCAGCTGGGGCAGAGGCCAGGGATGTTGGTATATATTTTACAACACGAAGGACAGCCCGTGTTACAAAGAATTATCTGACCCTAAACATCAGTCAGCATTAAGGTTAAAGGCTCTCTGTTAGATTGTCT
Organism: Homo sapiens; assembly: GCF_000001405.40. Taxonomy (NCBI): domain Eukaryota; kingdom Metazoa; phylum Chordata; class Mammalia; order Primates; family Hominidae; genus Homo; species Homo sapiens. Next base: position 85,645,769 of record NC_000002.12, read on the forward strand.
GGAGGTGGATGTCTTTTCTGTTTGATGTCTTTTCTATTTTTCAAGTTAATTGAGATGGGGTTGTGCTATGATGCTCATGCTGGTCTCAAGCAATCCTCCCGCCTCAGCTTCTGAAACTGCTGGGATTACAGGTATGAGCCACCATGCCTGGCTGGCATTTGATGTTTTGAAGTTCCCTGAGAGACCCTGATATGCAGCCAAGGTTGAGAACCTCTGCCCTAGACTAGAGCCTTACCATCCAAAGTGGGATGCATCCTTGGACCAATAACATCAGCATCAGTCTTGTTAGAAATCAGCTTGTTAGAAATGCAGACTCTCAGTCCCCTCAAACCTACCACATCAGAACCTGGATTTTAACGTGACCCTCTGATTTGTAAGAAATTAAAGTTTGCGAAGCACTGGTTTAGAGGCTCCCTTTCATCTTAAAAATGTTGTGGATTTGTCTCAAGTTGAAAACAGATAAAACATGTACTTGAGATATATTTGATATCACATAGATTATTAGCATAAATTGTTCTCATTTGATTAGCCTCTTCTGGAACTGTGGGTTTAATCTTAACTAGCTTCTGTTTATCAAGTGCTTTATTGTGGTTAGGCAGTACGCCAGTTACTTAATGTACATTAATCTCATTTCTTTCATTAAAACACACCTCCAAGACAGATGTCAGTATCATCTTTTTTACAGAGGAGGAGACCTAGGCTCAGAGTTTCAGTAATTGACCTCAAGTCAGTAGAATTAGGATTTGACCCAGGTACTCTGCTTCAAAGCCCATGTTCTTAACTCGTCCTTGAAGCAGGAATGGGAACTTACTTATGTGATCCTGAGCTTTCCTTATGTTTCCTATATTCTCAACTATTGTAATATCCAGAGGATCTGGAATATTTATATTCTACAATAATGGTCTTTGGTATTTCTTAGAACTTTGGTTGGATAAGACAGGTGGGCGGCCAGAGGTGCCTCTGCCTTAATCTAGAAACATTTTTTCCTTGTTCATGGAAGCATGAAGTGAGATACGTTTTGCTGTATTTGTAGCACTGGTTTCTTAGGCCAAAGGAATCAGGTTAGTGTGATAGACAGTGTCCACCAAGGACACCTTTTCTTGATGACCTGTTGCTTTTTTTTTTTTTTTTTTTTTTAAGACAGAGTCTCACCCTATCACCCAGGATGGAATGCAGTGGCATGATCTTGGCTCACTGCAACCTCCACCTCCTGGGTTCAAGTGATTCTCCTGCCTCAGCCTCCCAAGTAGCTGGGACCTACAGGCACCTGCCACCAGGCCTGGCTAATTTTTGTATTTTTGGTAGAGACGGGGTTTTACTGTGTTGGCCAGGCTGGTCTCAAACTCCTTACCTCAAGTGATCTGCCCACCTCGGCCTCCCAAAATGCTGGGATTACAGGCGTAAGCCCCTGTGCCCAGCCAGGAATGTCCATATTTAGGTTCTCTCAGTGGTTGACACTGTGTACCTCATAAGTGAGAATGTCTAGTCTGTCATTTCTGAGCAGGAAGGAGACATCATAGGTGATGATTAGATGGCTTCCTCTTTTCTCATCTTTAGTGTCCACTAAATTCCTTTTAAAAAGATGTACAGAAGTGTTTCAGACTCCATTGTACTTCAAGGGGCCAGGCGCAGTGGCTCATACCCATAATCCTAGCACTTTAGGAGGCTGAGGCGGGAGGATCTTTTGAGACCAGGAGTTAGCCTGGGCAACACAGTGGGACCCCATTGCTATTAAAAAAAAAATTAGCCAGTTTTAGTGGCACACACCTGTAGTTCCAGCTACCTGGGAGGCTGAGGGGAGGATCGCTTGAATCCAGAGGGTCAAGGCTGCAGTGAGCTGTGATTACACCACTGTAGTCCAGCCTGGGTGACAGAGTGAGACCCTGTCTCAAAAAAAAAAAAAAACAAAAAAACAACAAACAAAAAACAGTGCTTTAAAAAAATTCCCAACAGGAATTGAGTTTGCCATGATTGACACACCAAAAGTCCTATTAATTGAATCATGGCCAGAAGAAGTCATGTACCCTCTTCTTTATGACTGTTGCTGGATGATGTCTAGTGGCTGTTCTTCTAATTTTTCTAGTCTTGGCTATGATCCTTTCCTTCTACACCCTTTTGGTTTTAGAGAGCAGACTAACCCAGCTCTTCATACTTTCTGCAGGGGACAGGCAAATGGTATGAATTACAAGACCTCCAGGTGACTGACATCCTTCCCCAGATGATCACACTGTCAGAGGCTTACATTCAGGTGGGTTGGCCACAGGCTTAGTGAGCCACAAATAGGTGGCGTATGGGGCCAGTGAGAGGAGTGGGCCAAGGCAGGAAGAGGGATAGAGTTAGGACCTTGGTTGGAGGGCCAGGTACCTATTGGGAAGTACTTAGTAGTGAGTTGGGGGCAGAATGTATGGCCCTGAAAGTCAAGCAGAGATTTTCAGAAAAGAAGTATAAGGAAGTGTAGAAAATGTATGAGTGAGCAAAGAAAGTTGCGATTATGGCCAGGTTAGTTTTGCAGAAGTGTGCGGTCTGGTTTCGAGGAGGAAGAACCTAGACTCATCAGGGAGGCTGGCTAGAAGTCGACCACGAAGTGCTCCCCAGAGCCCCAGGCAGCTTTGTGACCCCACAGCGCTTTCTACTTGACGTTTGTTTTAGTGCCGGCCATATCGCTTTGCCTGTCTGTCCTCTCCATTGGATTGACCCATGGAGCACAGAGCATCTCTGTCTTCTCTTTATGTAACTGCCCTAGTACCTGGCAAAAGAAGGAAGATTGAGACAAAAGCCATAGCTTTGTAAGAAGAAAGTGATACCTCTCCTTCTAGAGATAACTTTTTTCTCCTCAGTGGCTGTAGCCACTGTAGCAGATTTCCAAATGGGGTATAGCAGATTTGTAAATGGGGTGACAAGTTGTCCATGGCCTGGCACAGAATAGGTATTTGATAAGTGTCTGTTGACTGAATGCCTCCTAGACTTCAGTTTGTGTTTTCATTTCTTACAGATTTGGAAGAGGCGAGATAATGATGAAACCAACCAGCAGGGGGCTTGAAGGAGGCGTCTAGGGCTTTGCTCCCAAGGGCTGTGGCTGATGATGGTAAATAAGAACACAGAAGCTGTAGCTGAACACAGGCTGGCTGGTGGGCTTCCTAGGCCAGCCCAGCTTGTATGGGTTCTGGCTACACCAGAGCACCAAGAGCCCACTTGCCTGGGATGGCCCCACACTGTCACTCAGCTGTTCTTTGATCATTTTTTTCTAGATTGATGCTCCTTTCTCCCATGCATTGAGCTCCCATCTAGCTTCAGCAGGGCAGAACCCTTCTCCAGATGTGTGTAACTTATGTCTTGAGTATCTGGGAGTAGTTGAAGAACAGATAATTCCTTCCAAACATCAAGCCTTGGGATTCTTGGAGCAAGCAGAAAGCCAGTAACTTCGCTCTGTTAGAGGTGGAGGATTTTCCTATGGTTCCCCCCATTTCCTGATTTGTATTTTTAGATGGATTAAATAGTCTCCTGTTTTTAAACCAGCCTCTTGTTTTATATCTTTTCCTTTGGTGGTTGGCTGAGGAAAATATTTTCCTTTTTAATCTTCACAAACTCTCTACCCTACAGTCTGACATCTGGTGCACATCACGCTCGCCCTTTCCTGTCAGCTTGTGGGTGGTGTGTCAGTTAGGATGCATTTGTTTCTAAGTAAAAAAATACCTGAGTCAAGGGGATACATTATTATTGTGCTTAACTAGAGGGCCAGAGGTGGGCAGTTTCCAGCTGCAGTGCAGGAATGAGTAAGGGAAGAGGAAAAAAAGGAAATAGGAAGCGCTTCTCACTACAGTGCAATTCTGAGGTGGTCTCAGCCAGTCCAGTGTGGAGCCCCAGGGCAAAGATTCCGTCAGACAATTCAGCAGAAATGGCTCCCATCAAGCTCAGTCGTGGGCTCTAGCAGCCTAGAAGAAGGGTGGCCTTGGCATGAGCACTGTGGCAGGTCCAAAGATATGGGAAGCAGCTGGAGGCAGCCAGTCAGCCCCAGCAAGTTCTGTTGAATGGAGACAGGAGCCCCGCACTCCTGTGGTGCCACCCTTTACCTGGTCACAACCTTGTCCTCACTTTCCTCTACCTCTCTGGAAGCTCCAGTATTTCCTTAGGAGGCTTATCTCTTCTATCCAGCCATTAAATTTGGGTTTTCTCAAGATTCAGTCCTAGCGTCACTCTTCTTGCTGTTTACTTTTTCCCTAGGCCATTTCAGCTATGCATTTTTATGGAAATGACTCATAAACACATCTTAATCCCAGATTTTTCTAAACTCTTGAACTTCGCTCTGTTGCCCAGGCTGGAATGCAGTGGCACAATCTTGGCTCACTGCAACCTCCACCTCCCAGGGTCAAGTGATTTCCGGCTAATTTTTTTATTTTATTTTATTTTATTTATTTTATTTTATTTTTTAATTTTAATTTTTATTTTAGAGATGGAGTCTTGCTCTGTCGCCCAGGCTAGAGTGCAGTGGCATGATCTCAGCTCACTGCAACCTCTGCCTCCTGGGTTCAAGTGATTCTCCTGCCTCAGCCTCCTGAATAGCTGGGATTATAGGCGACCACCACCGTGCCCAGCTAATTTTTGTATTTTTAGTAGAGACGGGGTTTCATCATGTTGGCCAGGCTGGTCTCGAACTCCTGACCTCAAGTGATCCACCCGCCTCGGCCTCCCAAAGTGTTGGGATTACAGGCGTGAGCCATGGTGCCCAGCCCTATTTTTGGGTGTTTTAAAGTAAACTCAAACTTAACATTGTTTAGAACTGAGCTTGCCAGGTGTGGTGGCTCCTGCCTGTAATCCTAACACTTCGGGAGGCTGAGGTGGAAGAATTGTTTGTGGCCAGGAGTTCAAGACCAGCCTGGCCAACATAGCAAGACCCTATTAGCCGGGCATGGTGGTGTGTGCCTGTAGTTCCACCTATCTGGGAGGCTGAGGCAGGAAGGTCCTTTGAGCGCAGGATTTGAGGCTGCAGTGAACCATGATTGCACCACTGCACTCCAGCCTGGGCAACAGAGCAAGACCTTGTCATTACAAAAAAGAAAAAAAATTGAGCTTGTGAGTTTCCCTTTTTTTTTTTTTGAGATGGAGTCTCACTCTTGTCCAGGCTGGAGTGCAGTGGTGTGATCTCAGCTCACTGCCGACCTCTGCCTCTCAGGCTCGAGTGATTCTCCTGCCACAGCCTTCCGAGTAGGTGGGACTACAGGTGTGCGCCCCACACCCGGCTAATTTTTGTATTTTTAGTAGAGATGGGGTTTCACCATGTTGGTCAGGCTGGTCTTGAACTCCTGACCTCAGGTGATCTGCTGACCTTGGCCTCCCAAAGTGTTGGGATTACAGGCATGAGCCACTGTGCCCTGCCATGAGTTTCTCTTTCAAACTTGGCTATTTTTGAGGTGAAGATTACACTATCCAGTTAGAGAAATTCATGTATAATAATCTGTTCAGGGAAAGTTTAATTTCAATAATTATTAACTACAACGGGTTTGTAGAAACGGGATTAGTTAGTAACAAGTAAAGTAAAGAATGTAGGAATAACAGATACAAAGAGCTGCCACTAGTTCTGGGGCTGACAGTGTCCAAAGCTGAGATCCAGACCTTGCTAAAAATATGCCCTCTGAACCTCGTTAAAAATCTGCTTTGTAGTGTACTCAGGAAAGCCATTCACAGGTGTCTCCCTGGAGGCCTCTGCTATAAAACTGTCCAGGGAGGAGAGTGCCAGGTGGAGCTACTGGGTGCCTGTGCTGCTCAAATGTATATGTGGTCTCCAAAAGCCAAGAAAAACCTATCAAACATTGTGCGTGCGTGCGTGCGTGTGTGTGTGTGTGGTGGTATGAGGTACAGCCACCTGTCTTGGAGAGGATATTTTGACATAACTCTATACTGTTGACTTCCGAGAAATGTCTCTGAGGTGGCAGGCCCCTGAATTGTTTGTTTGTTTGTTTGTTTTGTTTTTTTCTGAGAACGGAGTCTCGCTCTGTCGCCCAGGCTGGAGTGCAGTGGTGCGATCTCGGCTCACTGCAAGCTCCACCTCCCGGGTTCACGCCATTCTCCTGCCTCAGCCTCCTGAGTAGCTGGGACTACAGGCGCCTGCTACCACGCCTGGCTATTTTTTTGTATTTTTAGTAGAGACGGGGGTTCACCGTGTTATCCAGGATGGTCTCAATCTCCTGACCTCGTGATCCGCCCGCCTTGGCCTCCCAAAGTGCTGGGATTACAGGCGTGAGCCACCGTGCCTGGTTCCCTGACTTGTTTTTGGGTTTAACTCCCAACTTCTTATTTATGTCTTACTAAGGCATCTAAAGCGCTTGGTACTTTCTGCTCATCAGATCCAACAGCATAGTGTCATCACTGTAGTGGACTAGTGTGATATTTTGTGGATTGTCAAGATGATCAAGATCTCTGTGAACTGTATTATGCTAGAGAGCAGAACTGACATAGTCCTGAGGTAACACTGTGAAGGTATACTGTTGGCCCTGCCAGGTAAAAGCAAACTACTTCTGGTGATCCTTATAAATTGGTATGGAGAAATACCAATTTGATTCTAACTTGGTAGCTCCATACCAAGTGCCAAGAGCTGTTGTGTATGAGTAAAGATGCTACATCTGGCCCCAGGCGTGGTAGCTTACAGATGTAATCCCAGCAGTTTGGGAAGCCAAGGCAGGAGGATTGCTTGAGCCCAGGAGTTCAAGACCAGCCTGGGCAACAAAGTGAGACCCCATCCCTCAAAAAAAAAAAATTAGCCAGGAGTGGTGGCATGCACCTGTGGTCCCAGCTACATGGGAGGCAGGAGGATCACTTGAGTCAAGGCTGCAGTGAGCTGAGTTTGAGCTCTGGGTGACAGAGCAAGACAGTCTCAAAAAAAAAAAAAAAAAAAGATACATCTGGGACAGCAGCTTCAGCTGGAGTCACTCTGATTAAGTTTACGATAGTCCACGGTCGTTCTCCAAGATCCATCAGACTTCTGTACTGGCCCTTTGCCACTATCATTTTAGTTTAAGCTATTGCCAGTTTCTGTTTGCAGTGCTCTCAATAGGTCTCTCCACATTTCTTTGCCTCCTACCCCCAGTTTATCCATGCTTTAGTCAGAGTAATCTTTTAAAACACAAACCTGAGTCATTTCTCCCCCATACTCTGATCTCATGCTTAAAGACACTTCACTGGCTCTTAGGATAGCAAGTGAAATCCTCAGCTGCTAGCCTAATTTATCAGGAAGTTTCTACTTTTTTTTTTTTTTTTTTTTTTTTTTTTTTGAGACAGGGTCTGGCACTGTCGCCCAGGCTGGAGTGTAGTGGCATGATCTTGGCTCACTGCAATCTCCGCCTCCTGGGCTCAAGCCATCCTCCCACCTCAGCCTCCTGAGTAGCTGGGCCCACAGGCTTGCACCACTACACTGGGCTAATTGTTTTGATTTTTTTTGTAGTGGTGGTGTTTCACCATGTTGCCCAGGCTGGCCTCAAACTTCTGAGCTCAAGTGATCTGCCCGCCTCGGCCTCCTAAAGTACTGGGATTACAGGCATGAGCCACCACGCCTGGCCCCTGCTTGTTCTTGAGCCTAGGCTCGCTGAGCTTCATTCTATTGCTCAGATGTACCACATGACATGAGGCCTCTGTACTATCTGCTTCCTCTGTGAGGGATGCTCGTTCTTTCCCTTTTAATTCTTTCTCCTCCATGACCTCTCATACCCTTAATACCCTGTGTATCTCTAATTGATAGCCCTTATTGCACCTGAAAAATTTGTTTTTTCTGTGATTCTTTGATTAAGGCCTATTTTTCCAACTAAACTCTCAAGTTCCAAAGGATAGATAGAAACTTTTGTGCCCAGCCCTTGGGAAATGCTTGGCACTTAGAAGTCAATCACCCATTTATTTATTTATTTATTTTTTTGAGACGGACGGAGTTTTGCTCTTATTGCCCAGGCTGGAGTGCAATGGCATGATCTCAGCTCACCGCAACCCCTGCCTCCTGGGTTCAAGCAATTCTGCCTCAGCTTCCTGGGTAGCTGGGATTACAGGCATGCGCCACCACGTCCGGCTAATTTTGTATTTTTAGTAGAGACGGGGTTTCTCCATGTTGGTCAGGCTGGTCTTGAACTCTAGACCTCAGGTGTTCTGCCCGCCTCGGCCTCCCAAAGTGCTGGGATTACAGGCATGAGCCACCGTGCCCGGCCAATCACCCATATTTTTTGAGTAAATGCTTTAGTACTTAGCCTGTGTTCTCTGTGTTGTCCTTTTGCACAAATGATTTTGTCTCTTTATACCCTTCCAAGATGGTGAAAATAGGAATTATCACTTAAAAGTTTAGGGACTATTTCTTGGAGCTGACCGTCATATCCTGTGTGATCTTGAGGTCCTTTGTGGGTGACACATGGCTTGCTTCCACCACGGCTGTCTGGGTTGGGGGCCTGGCCTGCATGTCTTCAAAGCTGATCCCAGCATGCCCTTCCTCTTTTGGAGACCTCAAGGTCTGGCCAGAGTTTGAACCACACATGGGGAAGAAGTGAAATTCAATTCATGTTTTCTTAGCATGACCCCACAGCCAGAAATCACGAGAAAAAGATAGATGTGGAAAAAATACTCCAGATATATGATAGAGAAAAATTTGCAATGTATAGGACAGTAAATAAATGAATATACCTAGTTTATTTTTACTCGTAAAACAATAAGAAAAAGAAACCTAAACAGAAAATTGGGCAAAAAACCCAAGTAGGCATTTCACAAAAGATGAAATATAAATGGCCAATAAACATGTGAAAAGGTGTTTATTTGGTAACTAAAGAAATGCAAATTAGAACGACCATGAGACATCATTTAAAAATATTTTGGATTAGCAGAAAAAAAAAAAAGGAACCAAACCAAACCAAAACAAAACAAAACAAATATTTTGGATAGGCCAGATGCAGTGGCTCACACCTGTAATCCCAGCACTTTGGGAGGCCAAGACTGGTGGATCATCTGAGGTCAGGAGTTTGAGGCCAGCCTGGACAACATGGTGAAACCCCGTCTCTACTAAAAATGCAAAAATTAGCCAGGCATGGTAGCACGTTCCTGTAATCTCAGCTACTCCGGAGGCTGAGGCAAGAGAATTGCTTGAACCTGGGAGGCAGAGGCTGCAGTGAGCCGAGATTGTGCCACTGCCCTCCAGCCTGTATATATAAATATATATATATATTTTTGGATTAGCAAAGTTTGAAAGATTGTTAATACCCCAGTTTGGTGAGAGTGGAAAGAGGCACTTGTTTTCTTTTGGGATAGAAGTTGGTACGGCTGGCACAGAGGCCCAGATTGATAATCCAGCCTCTGTTAAAAGTAAAGGTGTCCCCCAAATTTCATGTCTTGGAATTGATTCTAAGAAGACAGACAAACAAAGATGTAAGTGCGAGGATTTTTATTTTTTGCAAATCGTTGATAATAGTTGCTTAAAAAAGAAAGGGCCGGCCGTGCGCGGTGGCTCACGCCTGTAATCCCAGCACTTTGGGAGGCTGAGGCGGGTGGATCACGAGTTCAGGAGATCAAGACCATCTTGGCTAACACAGTGAAACCCCGTGTCTAGTAAAAATACAAAAAAAAAAAAAAAAAAAAATTAGCTGGGCGTGGTGGCGGGCTCCTGTAGTCCCAGCTACTCAGGAGGCTGAGGCAGGAGAATGGCATGAACCTGGGATGCGGAGCTTGCAGTGAGCTGAGATCACGCCACTGCAATCCAGCCTGGATGACAGAGTGAGACTCTTGTCTCAAAAAAAAAAAAAAAAAAAAGTAAGGGCCAGCCATGGTATCTGACGCCTGTAGTCCCAGCACTTAGGGAGGCAGAGGCAGGAGGATTGCTTAAACCCCAGAGTGATCGCACCACTGCACTCTAGCCTGGGAGACAGAGCTGTCATGTGGCAATTAGCAATAATAGTAGATACTTACATTTATTGACCTGAAAAGGTTATTGTTAAATGAACAGTGCAGGTTACAAAGCAGCATGTATAGGATGTTTCCATTTTGTAGATCTGCTGTATCTGTTTTTGTATATGTGCACAGAAAGCTTTGGAATTATAGATAATAACATGTTAATAATGATTATGTCGTGGATTTAAAATTTCAGTTATTCATTAGGGGGACATAATGTAATTATCTTTATTTCTCTATAACTGAACTCATTTTGGCTCATGAGCCCTCAAAACATATTATTTCCATTTCGGAGTAACTCATTCCCTTCTTAATACTCAGCCTCTCTTGGCTGACTAACCACTGAATCCTCTTTCCCCTTTCCCTGGGAATGATTTACAGATTGCCCTGCGGTGAGGAGAGGCACTGGGGACTAAGCATTCCCTGGCCATCCAGGTCTCTCTGGAGTGTCTCTCGTCTTGCCTGATCATCATCTTCTTGTGCCATCACTGCTACACATCTGATTTCTGCTCATCTCAAGATCCACTAAATCTGTCACAGATTCATCCCCAACCGTGGGCTCTTACGGGTGCACCATCTTGTCCAGAGCCAATTCTGACTGCCTCTCGGTCTGTGGGTTGAGGTTGCTCTTCTGCAACCACATCACACTGGGAACACTCTGTGAGGCAGACCTCAGGCCAGCTGCCTAGCTCCATCCCTCAGGCTAGCGTCCTCACCCTTTCTGATGTCCTGTGAGAGGCAGGCTTCTCTTAGAAGCCCACACCCTGGAAAGTGAAGAATAAGTCCCCTCCTCTTGGGCTATAATCCCTCCTGGGACTTCTCTTCCCCCAACTTCCTAAGGGCAGAGGTGCAGGATGTTGGACACTTCTCAGGGACCCTAGGAGTCTCAAGTGTAGCCACTTCCTGCCAATTCTGTCCTCCTACCAGCTAGTCAACTCTTTTTTAAAATTATTTATTTATTTGTTTTTGAAATAGGATCTCTCTGTGTCACCCAGGGTGGAGTGCAGTGGCATCATCACGGCTCACTGCAGCCTTGACCTGGATTCAGGCGATCCTCCCACCTCAGCCTCCTGAATAGCTGGGACCACAGACACACACCACCATGGCCAGCTAATGTTTGTATCTTTTTTTTTTTTCTTTTAGACAGAGTTTTGCTCTTGTTGCCCAGGCTGGAGTGCAGTGGCGCAATCCTGGCTCACTGCAGCCTCTGCCTCCTGGGTTCAAGCAATTCTCCTGTCTCAGCCTTCCAAGTAGCTGGGATAACAGGCATGCACTACCACATCCAGCTAATTTTGTATTTTTTTTAGTAGATATGTGGTTTCACCATGTTAGGCTGGTCTGGAACTCCTAACCTCAAGTGATCCACCCACCTCAGCCTCCAAAAGTGCTAGGATTACAGGTGTGAGCCACCATGCCCAGCCAAATTTTTATATTTTTTATAGAGATGGTGTTTTGCCACGTTGCCCAGTCTGGTCTTGAACTCCTGGGCTCAAGTGATTCACTCACCTCAGCCTCCCAAAGTCTGCCAATTCTTGACCTCCTTTTGAATGAAGCCGCCTTTTTCATTATCAGGCACTCATTCCCACTCATATTTTTGGGATAAACTATTAATGCCTCCAGTTCTTCAAACATTGGCTCTTCATTGTCTCAATCAAACTTTTTTGTTTTTATTTTTTTAAATTTAAAACACCCTTTTCTCTCAGAGAGTTGGATTTTGTAATGGAAACAATGGCTTTAAGGACAGTAGTTAGCTATAGATTTACAAATGTCTACTTAAAATCCAGGAGCCAATGAATTGTGTGTCTCATCCCCAGGCCCAAGAGCAGGCTGCATAGACAGCTCTTTCTGGCGCTTGAACGGTGGAGGTGTGGAGCCAGAGGCTGTGGGGAGAAGATGGAAAAAGCCCCAAGCTCAGTGTCAAAACACACACCCTGCCGTAGCTCTCTCCTGGGCTAGGTGGGATTGTGGGTGTCACATGCTTCCCTGTGAAGAGACTACCAAACAGGCTTTGTGTGAACAATAAAGCTTTTTAATCACCTGGGTGCAGGTGGGCTGAGTCCAAAAAGAGTCAGCAAAGGGTGGTGGGATTATCATTAGTTCTTGTAGGTTTGGGATAGGCGGTGGAGTTAGGAGCAATTTTTTGTGGGCAGGGGGTGGATCTTACAAAGCACATTCTCAATGGCGGAGAGAATATTACAAAATACCTTCTTAAGGGTGCGGGGGTGCGGGCGTGGGGTGGGTGGGGAGAATATTACAAAGCACCTTCTCAAGGGTGGGGAAGGTGTATTGTCACAAGGTCAATTGATCAGTTAGGGTGGGGCAGGAACAAATCACAATGGTGGAATGTCATCAGTTAAGGCAGGAACTGGCTATTTTCACTTCTTTTGTGGATCTTCAGTTGCTTCAGGCCATCTGGGTGTATACGTGCAGGGCACAGGGGATATGATGGCTTAGCTTGGGCTCAGAGGCCTGACAGTGGGTAATTTCCACTCTCTTTGTCTGTAGTTTCTGAATTTCTTACAAGAAACATGTATAAGAAATATGACAAAAGTTATTTTATAAATAAAGGGACACTTCCAGGCATTTCAGTCTTTAAGAAAAGCTAAGGCTTGTTTGGCTTTTTGTTTATTTTTAGGTTTTTGGTGTCCTCATGACCTAACCTCATCCCAGTGAGTAGAGACTGGGAGGGGAGAGCAGCAGCTGGAGGGCAGGCTGGGAGCGCTTGTGAGGGAGAGGAGCTATGGACGTCTGCTTCTCTGCCAAGGGAGAGAGTGAGGTAGGCCTGGGCCCGCTGACTTCAGGGTGAGGCCACAGCTACTGCAGCGCTTTTTATTTATTTATTTATTTACTGAGATGGAGTCTTGCTCTGTCACCCAGGCTGGAGTGCAGTGGTGCAATCTCGGCTCACTGCAACCTCTGCCTCCTGGGCTGCAGTGATTCTCCTGCGTTCAAGTAATTCTCCTGCCTCGGCCTTCTGAGTAGTTGGGATTACAGGCATATGCCACCACACTTGGCTAATTTTTTGTATTTTTAGTAGAAATGGGGTTTCACCATGTTGGCGAGGCTGGTCTCGAACTCCTGACCTCAAGGATCCTCCTGCCTCGGCCTCCTAAGGTGCTGGGATTGCAGGTGTGAGCCACCACGTCTGGCCATACTGCAGCACTTTAAAGGACGGTGTCTTTTTCTTTCTCATAAAAGAGAATAGGACTTTATTAGCATTGGTGCAGACATTGTATTACACAGGAATGGGTCCCTAGCTTGCACAACCCCAGCTGAGCTTTCAGCAGATAAATCACAGCAGAAATAGAATCACCCTAGGACTTTCAATCAAAAGCTGGAAGTCCACCTTACAGAAAGACAAAAAGAAACCCCTTTTTATATCTTAACAAAGCAATAGCTCTCAAGCAGCAGAGCATCTCGAGGAAGAAAGCTTGCCCGGTCGCCATCCCATCATGCCAGAGCGTGCAGTGTCCACCCTTGACTACGCTGGGGAATTGCTGATTTTTTGAAAAAGCTTAACTTAACAATTTCTGATGTCTATCTTTTAGAGTTCTGTATGTTCCCATTTTTTATTCTTCTGAATTTTGAATTGCAAGTAGCTGTAAAATCCAATCTTTGAGTGCATGGGGGTGGGTGTGAGGCGGGGCTCAGCTTCAACCCCCTGTCCTGTAAAGCAGTGGCTGGTTTTTCCTGAGCCCAGCCCTGGGAGGTCGTGGTAGGTGTGGAGGCTGCAGAGCTCCTCCAGATGCTGCCCTCGCTGTGCCTCACACCAGAGAGGATGGAAGTGGGCTCTGGTGTCAGACTGTGGTTGAGCTGAGACAGACAAGGCCGACACAGGGCTGGGGGCCCGTGGTCCACCAGTGGAAGTGACTGCCGAGGAAGGGCGGTGAGGAGGGCGGTGTGGGAGCTGAGGCTTCTTTTCAGCCTGGCAGCTGGCGAGGGCCAGGGAGCAGGGGAAGAGCCTGGTCACCATGGTCCCAGAGCCCGTCTCACTTGGCTTTTCCTTTGCAGCTGAGGAGGATGAGGGCCAGAGAGGGACTGTGTGTATGTCCTGCCTGGGGACCCACAGCCAGGTGATAGCAGAGGTGGTTTGAAGCCCAGGCCTCCCACGCCAACCCACTGGTCTTGCTGTTTCAGCAGGGAAGGCCGGGAGCCCTAGGAGCTGGGGAAAGGCGACTGCCCGGGTCCTGGGTGACTCCCCACCCCCAGATCCCCAGCTGTCATCACTGGGGCAAGGACACATTAAACTGGTCCCTGTGGGTCAGGTCTGAGTGGGGGAGGACCTCCCCTCCCCACTGCCTCCCACAGGGGCTTGTGATGCAGGGTTTCAGGAACAGGGCTGGCTTCCCCGCCTCAGATGGAAGAAGTGGACTTGGCTGTGAGCTCCAGGAGGGCAGGGCTCAGCCATAGCCCCTACCCTAGGATGTGGCCTGGCCACAGGCACCCACTACTTTTTTTTTTTTTTTTTTGAGACGGAGTCTCACTCTGTCACCCAGGCTGGAGTGCAGAGGCGCAATCTTGGCTCGCTGCAATCTCCGCCTCCCAGGTTCAAGCAATTCTCCTCCTCAGCCTCCCAAGTAGCTGGGATTACAGGTGTGTGCCACCACATCTGGCTAATTTTTTTTTTTTTTTTTTTTTTTTTTAGTAGATACGGGGTTTCATCATGTTGGTAAGGCTGGTCTTGAACTCCTGACCTCAAGTGATCCACTCGCCTCGGTCTCCCAAAGTGCTGGGATTACAGGTGTGAGCCACTGCGCCCAGCAAAGAAATACCTTTTTTTTTTTTTTTTTTTTCCTGAGACAGAGTTGTGCTCTGTTGCCTAGGCTAGAGTGCAGTGGCACGATCTCGGCACACCGCAACCTTCGCCTCCCAGGTTCAAGTGATTCTCCTGCCTAAGCGTCCTGAGTAGCTGGGATTACAGGCACCTGCCACCATGCTCAGCTAATTTTTAAAAAATATTTTTAGTAGAGACAGGGTTTCGCCATGTTGGCCAGGCTAGTCTCGAACTCCTGACCTCAGGTGATCTGCCTGCCTCGGCCTCCCAAAGTGCTGGGATTACCGGCGTGAGCCACCATGCCTGGCCTTACATTTTTTAAAATGAGGGAACAAATGAATAAATGACCACCATGTTAGGGGCTGGCTCTGAACAGAATTGTAAAGTGGGCCAAGCTTGCTCTCAAGGTCACCTTAAGCCCACGGTTGCTGTGTCCTGCCCTCTCAGGGTCATTTCCCAGCCTCCAGGCACCTGTTCACAGAGGCTGCATCTGGCCTCGCCTCCACCCCTCCATCCTAAGGTGCTCCGCTGACTTAGAACAGGACAGTCAGGGAGAGAATGTGTCTCAGGAGGGTGGAGTCAGATGATCACGGCCTTCCTGGCATCTGAGGGGATACAGCTTCGGGTAGCAAAGTGTGATTTTCCCTGAGCCCCAGGAAAGCTTGGCCTTGGTCAGAATACATTGAACCCTGAGGGCCAGAGAGTCCCTGGGGCAAGCTCTGAGAGGGAGGCCTGGGACAGGGCAGGGCGGGGGGTTGGGGGGGAAGCTGGGGGTTGGGCACTCAGTGACTGGGGTTCTGGGCGGGGCAGTGCTCGGGGTCCGGAAAGGGTGTTTTCCTGATGGCCAGCCAGAAGCCCTCAGGAGCCTCCAGCTGTGCGGTGAGAGGGAGGATGGAGCAGCCGGCAGGAGTGGCCGCCTCTTCCTGCTTGGGGAGCAGAAGGGCCTCCCATGCCCTGATGGTCAGGACCTGCCCCCTTACCTCCCCGCAACTGGGGGCCTGGACTCACCTGGACAGCTGAGTTCTCATCAAAGGTCGGGGCTGTGGATACACTGGAGAGGGCTGGACATGGTCCCACACACCCCGAGGGCCTGTCACAGGGACAGCACCAGGGCTGAGGCCTGGGCCCCCTCAGCTCCCCACACCCAGCTCTTCCGGGAAAGAACAGCACTCACTCCACCTCCCGCCTAGTGGGTGCTACCAGTGTGACTCTGTAGACCCCTCGGGCCACTCCCTGAGCCACAGGCCTTAGGGTTTAGAGCCTGAGGAGGTGAGATGTTCACTCCAGAACACCCACTTTGTACCCCCACCCCACCAGCACACACTGGCCAGGGAACACAGCCCCATCCTATAATGGACATCCAGCCGCACTCCTCAGGCCATCCCTCCCTTCCCATCCCCCTTTTCCATGCTCTCATGATTTTTTACACTGAAACAGAGAGGGGTGCCTCCCAGTCCCTGGCCCGTGCACCTGGGACCACCTTGGACCCAGGGGAGTGAGGCCTCTGAGGATCACGGGCCCAAAGGGTGGGGGCTCTGGGAGCCAAGGGAAGTCCTAGGACCAACTGGGAGGGGTGGGTGTACCTGGCAGGTGGTGTGGGCATCCCAGCCCCTGGGCACCAGGGTCAGCAGCTGGGGCGTGTGCTGCTCCACAAATTGCTTGCACTGAGGAAGGAGACACACAGCTGTGGAGGGTCCCTTTGCAGGACTCTCCTGTCGTGTGGTCCTGGCCTCTCCACATCTCTGGATCACTCTAGGGCTCCCTCCCGACTCCTCCATCAGCCCTCACGGAACACCTCTGGCTGCAGTTGAAACCCTTAACAAACTGGAGCCAGCTGAAATGGAGGACTTCCATCAGAAAAGCAGGCGACACTGGAGACGGAGGACTCAGGCAGAGGGGTGGAATCTCAGCCACCACCCTCCCCTCCCTCCACCTCCATTTCAGTTCTAGAAGGAAACTTAACGTTCATCTGGTCCTTGAGACCAGATGTGATGGGCAGTCGGGAGGCTTGGGAGTTGCTGAGCAGGGAGCACAGTGTGGACAGCTGCCTCCTGGGAAGAGCATCAGCTGGCTTTCCTCAGGACAGGATCTCGCTTTAAGAAGGGAATTTCCTGTCCGGGTGCAGTGGCTTATGCCTGTAATCCCAGCACTTTGGGAGGCCAAGGCGGGCAGATCACTTCAGGTCAGGGGTTCGAGACCAGCCTGACCAATATGGTGAAACCTTGTCTCTACTAAAAATACAAAAATTAGCCGGGCCTGGTAGCACATGCCTGTAATCCCAGCTACTCAAGAGGCTGAGGCAGGAGAATCGCCTGAACCCGGAGGCAGAGGTTGCAGTGAGCCAAGATTGTGCCATTGCACTCCAGCCTGGGCAACAAGAGCAAAACTCCATCTCAAAAAAAAAAAAAAAAAAAAAAAAAAGGGAATTTCCTGTCATTGACTGAGTATTGGCAAGGGCCCTAGGACCTTCAAGTCCAGCCCTCTCCTTTTGCCAATGGGTTTGTCCTGAGTGAGTCACACCTTGAGGAGTGTGGGGGCAGTAAAGGGATCAGGACCCTGGAGAGAAGGCTAGTCCCTTTCCTGGCTTGAACTGGCCCTAGCATTACTCATCTCCTGGTAGATAACCAGGCCTCTGAAGGCTTGCCTGGTGCTCACTCAGCCCGTGAAGAGGGCCTGCTGGTCCTCTGGAGCCCACAGCCCTTTGTCCAGAGGCGACTCCTAACCTTTAGCAGGCTCTGCCCTAACTTACAGTCCCACCATTGTCTGCCCCACATCCTGTCTGCCTGTCTGTGCTCCATTCTGGCCCATCCTAGGTGTCTCTGGCTGCAAAGCCTTTCCTGGGCTCAGCCTTCTGCCTTGAACGGGCCCTGACCATGAGTCCCCATGTGCCCAGCCCATACCTTTTCCCTGTCCAGCCAGGAGCCAACACAGGCCTGGAGCATTGCCTGTGGTATGGCCTGCTCGCTGCTGTTCCCGGCCTGGGTGGTCACGGACATGCAGAGGTGGCACTCAGAGTCTCGCGGCAGCCATTCTCCTGTCGGCGACCCTGGAGATGTGAGCATTAGGGGGAAAGCAGGCAAGGCCACCCTACAGAGGTGTTTGGTTTCTGTCCTCCTTGGTGCATTGCAGTGGGACCACAGAGGGAGAGGGTCATGCAGTGGCAGGGTAGGGGGAGGAGGAGAGCAGGCATTGGGCTAAGGAGTGGGCAGTGGGCTCACTTGGGCCAGCGCTGTCATCCATGGAGCACCGGAGGACGAGGCGGCAGACCAGCTGGGGCAGCATGCGGCCCAGCAGCGTGTCGAGCAGGATGACGGAGTAGCGCTCAGCCAGGCACTGGCAGATGCCGCCCGCCACCAGAGGTACCACGCGGCACACCTGGGCCACTGCCACAGCTAGCGCACCCTGGGGCGGGGGCGGAGAGAGGCCAGCATGGGACCTTCACTTGGCAAGCCTCCACTCTCTGCCCAGCACCCAGCTGGGCACTTCCTACGCATTCCCTCATTCTCTTCTAGAAGGGAGGGCAAGGCTATTCACAAATAAGGACACTGGGGATCAGAGAGTCCAGGGGATGCAGGGGACTCACACAGGGTCACTGAGTGTAGGAGCCAGCTTCAGACCTACGTCTGGCCCCAAAGGCTCTGGCCCACAGCTAGTGACTCTCAGACTGACATGGTGGACCTGACCTTCCCCCAATGCTTGGGATTCAGCTGCTTGCCTGACTCTCCTCTCCTGCACTTCACACAGGCATCTTGAACTCAACATGGCCAGGAGGGAGCTCTCTGTTTTTTTGCTCAAACCTGTTTTCTTCTTTAGTCTCCCCATCTCAGCTGCTGGCATTACAGAGGGCTGGTTGCTCTGGCCAGTGTGTAAAAGTCACTTTGGAGTCCTCCCTGGTCCTCACGCTCCAGGCCCATCCATGCCCAATAGCAGTGGGCCCACCTCCCAAATGCATCCCCAGGCCAGCCCTCAGCTCCGTCCCTGTCCCATCACCTCTCACTGCAATCTCTGCAGTGATCTTTCCTTCTTTCTTTTTTTTTGAGACAGAGTCTTGCTCTGTCACCCAGGCTAGAGTACAGTGGCGTGATGTCGGCTCACTGCAACCTCCGCCTCCTGGGTTCAAGTGATTCTCCTGCCTCAGCCTCCCGAGTAGCTGGGACTACAGGCACCTGTCACATCTGGCTAATTTTTGTATTCTTAGTAGAGACGGGGTTTCGCCATGTTGCCCAAGCTGGTCTTGAACTCCTGGGCTCAAGTGAACCACCTGCCTCAGCAGGAACCTCACCTGCTGCCTTGTGCCCCTGGTGGCCCACGCAACCCTATCTGGGAAAGGCTGAGGGGGCAGGGCCTTTCCTCATTTGGGCCCCAATTTGGGCAAGGTAGCCCTGGGCTGGCGGGGCCATTGGACAATAGCCACTGCAGGTCTGGAAGACTCCAAGTTGGACTCAGGCAAGGATGGGGAATCTATCTGTGGAAATTCCCCTCTTGAAAGATCAAAGCAACCTTTCTACAGAGACCTCTGGGGATCTTTCTCCATCAGATGGTGAGCTGCTGGAGGACAAAGCTGCGTCTTGTCCGTTTTTGTACTTTGGCTCCTGGCGTGGCACCTCCATACAGTGGGGGCTTAATGTTTGTTGCATGAACTGTAGGCCTGGCACCTACCAGGCCTGAGCCTGAGCCCCAGGGTCCCCTGGGTGGGGGCAATGCACAAGCGGCTCTCTCCCCTCCTAACTTCTGGCAGCCAGCTGGGTCCTGACGGGGGTGTGAGTTGGGAGAGAGGTGGGAGCTGCAGGGAGCTACAGGTATGCGTGTGCTCCTGGGCTCTGTGAGGCCCTGGATGCCTCACCTTGGGAATCATGGCTTGGATCCGCTTGATCAGAGCCCTGCAGAGCCAGCAATAGGGGAGAGGAATGGGGAATTGCTGCTCGGAGAGATCCTGGGGAAAGAATCAGGTGGAGGCCAGGCTGGGTGCTGGGAGAAGAGTCCTCCAGGCTCTCCTCCCCTCTCTCTTCCTCCCTTTCTCTCCCTCCTCCCTTAGGCCCTGCCTGGAGCTTCCTATCACCTTCCCGGCTCTGCCTCTCCCAGGGCCCAGTGCCCATGGGCTTCGGAGGTGGCTCTAGCCCTCTGGATCTCCACTTTACTGGCTGTGGGGGCCTCCCTCACCTGTGTGTGAGGCCCAGGCCTCGCCTGGAGGGCCCCGGGCAGCACAGGGAGGACGAGCTTGTCCAGCAGAGGGTCTGGCAGAGGGTCCCGCAGAGGTTTGGGCAGGGGGTCTGACATCCCTGGCTCCTGCTCTGGCTCTGGCTGCCGGGATTTGCACAGGCCCAGGTGCATACAGATGCCGTTTGAGTCCTGGGGCACAGCACAGGGTGGGAGTGTTAGGGTCTGGGAGGGAAGCCCACCCCTATTCAGGCCGGCCCAAGGGCTCAGGGACCACTGGAATGGGAGGAAGCAGGCCTAGTGGGGGTGCTGTGGTTTAGAACTCTATGTGGGGGGACAAAAGGCAAAGATAGGGCTGTGTGGGGACTTTAGGGCAGGTGGCCGGGATTGTGTGTGAATGAGCATGAGCATATATGTGAGAATGAATAAGTGTGTAAGCATGTGTGTGAGAGTGAGGGTGTAAGGGTGTGTGAG